>NC_000024.10:20257793-20628230 GCF_000001405.40 Homo sapiens
GAATTCAGTGGTGAGTGTTACAGCACTTAAAGGTGTTATGTCCAGAGTTTGTTCCTTCAGAAGTGTCCAGAGTTTCTTCCTTCTGGCAGGTTCATGGTCTTGTTCACTTCAAGAATGAAGCTGCAGACATTAGTGGTGAGCGTTACAGCACATAAGTTTTTATGTCCAGAGTTTGTTCCTTCATATAAGTGCAGAGTTTCTTCCTTCTGGCAGATTCATGGTCTTGCTAGCTTCAAGAATGAAGCTGCAGACCTTTACGGTGAGTGTTACAGCACTTAAAGGTGTTATGTCCAGAGTTTGTTCCTTCAGATGTGTCCAGAGTTACTACCTTCCGGCAGGTTCATGGTCTTGATCACTTCAAGAATGAAGCTGCAGACCTTTACGGTGGGTGTTACAGCACTTAAAGGTGTTATGTCCAGAGTTTGTTCATTCGGATGTGTCCAGAATTTCTTCCTTCTGGCAGGTTCATGGTCTTGCTCACTTCAAGAATGAAGCTGCAGACCTTTAGGGTGAGTGTTACAGCACTTAAAAGTGTTATGTCCACAGTTTGTTCCTTCAGATGTGTCCAGAGTTTCTTTCTTCTGACAGGTTCATGGTCTAGCTCACTTCAAGAAAAATGAAGCTGCAGACCATTACGGTGGGTTTTACAGCACATACAGTGTTATGCCCAGAGTTTGGTCCTTCAGATGTGTCCAGAGTTTCTTCCATCTGGCAGGTTCTTGGTCTTGCTCACTTCAAGAGTGAACCTGCAGAATTTAGTAGTGAGTGTTACAGTACTTAAAGGTGTTATGTCCAGAGTTTGTTCCTTCAGATGTGTCCAGATATTCTTCCTTCTGGCATGTTCATGGTCTTGCTCACTTCAAAAAAGAATGAAGCTGCAGACCTTTACGGTGAGTGTTACAGCATATAAAGGTGTTATGTCCTGAATTTGGTCCTTCAGATGTGTCCAGAGTTTCTTCCTTCGGGCAGGTTCATTGTCTTGCTCACTTCAAGAATGAAGCTGCAGACCTTGCTGGTGAGTGTTACAGCAGTTAAAGTGTTATGTCCATTGTTTCTTCCATCAGATGTGTATAGAGTTTCTTCCTTCTGGCAGGTTCATGGTCTTGCTCACTTCCAGAATGAAGCTGCAGACCTTTACGGTGAGTGTCACAGCACTTAAAGGTGTTATATCCATAGTTTGTTCATTCTGATGTGTCCAAAATTTCTTCCTTGTGGCAGGTTCATGGTCTTGCTCACTTCAAGAATGAAGCTGCAGACCTTTACGGTGAGTGTTACAGCACTTAAAGGTATTATGTCCAGAGTTTGTTCCTTCAGATGTGTCCAGAGTTTCTTCCTTCTGGCAGGTTCATGGTCTTGCTCACTTCAAGAATGAAACTGCAGACACTTACTGTGAGTGTTACAGCACTTAAAGGTGTTATGTCCAGAGTTTGTTCCTTCAGATGTGTCCAGTTTCTTCCTTGTGGCAGGTTCATGGTCTTGCTCATTTCAAGAATGAAACTGTAGACCTTTACGGTGAGTGTTACAGCACTGAAAGATGTTATGTCCAGAGTTTGTTCCTTCATATGTCTCCAGAGTTTCTTCCTTCTGGCAGGTTCATGGTCTTGCTGAACTCAAGAATGAAGCTGCAGACCTTTACGGTGAGTGTTACAGCACTTAAAGGTGTTATGTCCAGAGTTTGTTCCTTCAGATATGTCCAGAGTTTCTTCCTTCTGGAAGGTTCATGGTCTTGCTCACTTCAAGAATGTAGGTGCCGACCTTTACGCTGAGTGTTACAGCTCTTAAAACTGTTATGTCCAGAGTTTGTTCCTTCAGATGTGTCCAGAGTTTCTTCCTTCTGGCAGGTTCATGGTCTTGCTCAGTTCAAGAATGAAGCTGCAGACCTTTACGGTGAGTGTTACAGCATTTAAAGGTGTTATGTCCAGAGTTTTTTCCTTTAGATGTGTCCAGAGTTTCTACATTCTGGCAGGTTCATTGTCTTGCTCACTTCAAGAATGAAGCTCCAGTCCTTTACGGTGAGTGTTACAGCACTTAAAGGTGTTATGTCCAGAGTTTGTTCCTTCAGGTGTGTCCACAGTTTCTTCCTTCTGGCAGGTTCATGGTCTTGCTCACTTCAAGAATGAAACTGCAGACCCTTACGGTGAGTGTTACAGCACTTAAAGGTTTTATGTCCAGAGTTTGTTCCTTCAGATATGTCCAGTTTGTTCCCTCTGGCAGGTTCATGGTCTTGCTTACTTCAAAATGGAAACTGTAGACCTTTACGGTTAGTGTTACAGCACTGAAAGTTGTTATGTCCAGAGTTTGTTCCTTCAGATGTGTCCAGAGTTTCTTCCATCTGGCAGGTTCATGTCCTTGCTCACTTCAAGAATGAAGCTGCAGAACTTAGTGGTGAGTTTTACAACACTTAAGGGTGTTATGTCCAGAGTTTGTTCCCTCAGATGTGCCAGAGTTTCTTCCTTCTGGCAGGTTCATGGTCTTCTTCACTTCAAGAATGAAGCTGCAGACCTTTACGGTGAGTGTTACATTATTTAAAGGTGTTATGTCCATAGTTTGTTCCTTCAGATGTGTGCAGAGTTTCTTCCTTCTGGGAGGTTAAAGTACTTGCTCATTTCAAGAATGAAGCTGCAGAACTTAGTGGTGAGCAGTACAGCAGTTAATTTTTTATGTCCAGGGTTTGTTCCTTCAGATGAGTCCAGAGTTTCTTCCTTCTGGCAGGTTCATGGTCTTGCTCACTTCAAGAATGAAGCTGCAGAACTTAGTGGTGAGTTTTACAGCACTTAAAGGTGTTATGTCCAGAGTTTGTTCCTTCAGATGTGTCCAGAGTTTCTTCCTTCTGGCAGGTTCATGGTCTTGCTCACTTCAAGAATGAAGCTGCAGAACTTAGTGGTGAGTGTTACAGCACTTAAAGGTGTTATGTCCAGAGATTGTTCCTTCAGATGTGTCCAGATTTTCTTCCTTCTGGCAGGTTCATGGTCTTGCTCACTTCAAGAATGAAGCTGCAGACCGTAGTGGTGGGTGTCACAACACTTAAAGATGTTATTTACAGAGTTTGTTCCTTCAGATGTGTCCAGAGTTTCTTCCTTCTGGCAGGTTCGTGGTCTTGCTCACTTCAAGAATGACGCGGCAGACCTTTACGGTGAGTGTTACAGCATTTAAAAGTGTTATGTCCAGAGTTTGTTCCTTCAGATGTGTCCACTTTCTTCCTTCTGGCAGGTTCATGGTCTTGCTCACTTCAAGAATGAAACTGTAGACCTTTACGGTGAGTGTTACAGCAATGAATGATGCTATGTCCAGAGTTCGTTCCTTCAGATGTGTCCAGAGTTTCTTCCTTCTGGCAGGTTCATGGTCTTGCTCACTTCAAGAATGAAGCTGCAGTCCTTTACGGTGAGTGTTACAGCATTTAAAGGTGTTATGTCCAGAGTTTGTTCCTTCAGATGTGTCCAGAGTTTCCTCCTTCTGGCAGGTTCATGGTCTTGCTCACTTCAAGAATGAAGCTGCAGACCTTAGTGGTGAGTGTTACAGCACTTAAATTTGTTATGTCCAGAGTTTGTTCCTTCAGATGTGTCCAGAGTTTCTTCCCTCTGGCTGGTTCTTGGTCTTGCTCACTTCAAGAATGAAGCTGCATACCTTTACGGTGAGTGTTACAGCATTTAATGGAGTTATGTCCAGAGTTTGTTACATCAGATGTGTCTAGAGCTCCTTCCTTCTGGGAGGTTCATGGACTTGCTCATTTCAAGAATGAAGCTGAAGTCCTTAGTGGTGAGTTTTACAACACTTAAAGGTGTTAGGTCCAGAGTTTGTTCCTTCAGATGTGTCCAGAGTTTCTTCCTTCTGGCAGGTTCATGGTCTTGCTCACTTCAAGAATGAAGCTGCAGACCTTAGTGCTGAGCGTTACAGCACTTAAGTTTTTATGTCCAGAGTTTGTTCCTTCAGATAAGTCCTGAGATTCTTCCTTCTGGCAGGTCCATGGTCTTGCTCACTTCAAGAATGAAACTGCAGACCCTTACGGTGAGTGTTACAGCACTTAAAATTGTTATGTCTAGAGTTTGTTCTTTCATATGTGTCCAGTTTCTTCCTTCTGGAAGGTTCATGGTCTTGCTCACTTCAAGAATGAAACTGTAGACCTTTACGGTGAGTGTTACAGCACTGAAAGATGATATTTCCAGAGTTTGTTCCTTCAGATGTGTCCAGAGTTTCTTCCTTCTGTCAGGTTCATGGTCTTGCTCACTTCAAGAAAGAAGCTGCAGAACTTAGTGGTGAGTTTTACAGCACTTAAAGGTGTTATATCCAGAGTTTGTTCCTTCAGATGTGTCCAGAGTTTCTTCCTTCTGGCAGGTTCATGGTCTTGCTCACTTCAAGAGTGAAGCTGCAGACCTTAGTGGTGAGTGTTACAACACTTAAAGATGTTATTTACAGAGTTTGTTCCTTCAGATGTGTCCAGAGTTTCTTCCTTCTGGCAGGTTCATGGTCTTGCTCACTTCAAGAATGAAGATGCAGACCTTTACGGTGAGTGTTACAGCACATAAAGGTGTTATGTCCAGAGTTTGTTCCTTCAGATGTGTCCAGAGTTTCTTCCTTCTGGCAGGTTCATGGTCTTGCTCACTTCAAGAATGAAGCTGCAGTCCTTTACGGTGAGTGTTACATCATTTAAAGGTGTTATGTCCAGAGTTTTTTACATCAGATGTGTCTAATTTTCCTTCCTTCTGGGAGGTTCATGGACTTGCTCATTTCAAGAATGAAGTTGCAGACCTTAGTGGTGAGTTTTACAGCACTTAAAGCTGTTATGTCCAGAGTTTGTTCCTTCAGATGTGTCCAGAGTTTCTTCCTTCTCCAGGTTCATGGTCTTGCTCACTTCAAGAATGAAGCTGCAGACCTTGGTGGTGAGCGTTACAGCACTTAAGTTTTTATGTCCAGAGTTTGTTCCTTCAGATAAGTCCAGAGTTTCTTCCTTCTGGCAGGTTCATGGTCTTGCTCACTTCAAGAATGAAGCTGCGGACCTTAGTGGTGAGCGTTACAGCACTTAAGTTTTTATGTCCAGAGTTTGTTCCTTCAGATAAGTCCAGAGTTTCTTCCTTGTGGCAGGTTCATGGTCTTGCTCACTTCAAGAATGAAGCTGCAGACCTTAGTGGTGAGCGTTACAGCACTTAAGTTTTTATGTCCAGAGTTTGTTCCTTCAGATAAGTCCAGAGATTCTTCCTTCTGGCAGGTCCATGGTCTTGCTCACTTCAAGAATGAAACTGCAGACCCTTACGGTGAATGTTACAGCACTTAAAATTGTTATGTCTAGAGTTTCTTCCTTCATATGTGTCCAGTTTCTTCCTTCTGGAAGGTTCATGGTCTTGCTCACTTCAAGAATGAACCTGTAGACCTTTACGGTGAGTGTTACAGCACTGAAAGATGTTATTTCCAGAGTTTGTTCCTTCAGATGTGTCCAGAGTTTCTTCCTTCTGGCAGGCTCATGGTCTTGCTCACTTCAAGAAAGAAGCTGCAGAACTTAATGGTGAGTTTTGCAGCACTTAAAGGTGTTATGTCCAGAGTTTGTTCCTTCAGATGTGTCCAGAGTTTCTTCCTTCTGGCAGGTTCATGGTCTTGCTCACTTCAAGAATGAAGCTGCAGACCTTAGTGGTGTGTGTTACAACACTTAAAGATGTTATTTACAGAGTTTGTTCCTTCAGATGTGTCCAGAGTTTCTTCCTTCTGGCAGGTTCATGGTCTTGCTCACTTCAAGAATGAAGATGCAGACCTTTACGGTGAGTGTTACAGCACATAAAGGTGTTATGTCCAGAGATTGTTCCTTCAGATGTGTCCAGAGTTTCTTCCTTCTGGCAGGTTCATGGTCTTGCTCACTTCAAGAATGAAGCTGCAGTCCTTTACGGTGAGTGTTACATCATTTAAAGGTGTTATATCCAGAGTTTTTTACATCAGACGTGTCTAGATTTCCTTCCTTCTGGGAGGTTCACGGACTTGCTAATTTCAAGAATGAAGCTGCAGACCTTAGTGGTGAGTTTTACAGCACTTAAAGCTGTTATGTCCAGAGTTTGTTCCTTCAGATGTGTCCAGAGTTTCTTCCTTCTCCAGGTTCATGGTCTTGCTCACTTCAAGAATGAAGCTGCAGACCTTAGTGGTGAGCGTTACAGCAGTTAAGTTTTTATGTCCAGAGTTTGTTCCTTCAGATAAGTCCAGAGTTTCGTCCTTCTGGCAGGTTCATGGTCTTGCTCACTTGAAGAATGAAGCTGCGGACCCTAGTTGTGAGCGTTACAGCACTTAAGTTTTTATGTCCAGAGTTTGTTCCTTCAGATAAGTCCAGAGTTTCTTCCTTCTGGCAGGTTCATGGTCTTGCTCACTTCAAGAATGAAGCTGCAGACCTTAGTGGTGAGCGTTACAGCAGTTAAGTTTTTATGTCCAGAGTTTGTTCCTTCAGATAAGTCCAGACTTTCTTCCTTCTGGCAGGTTCATGGTCTTGCTCACTTCAAGAATGAAGCTGCAGACCTTTACGGTGAGTGTTACAGCACTTAAAAGTGTTATGTCCAGAGTTTGTTCCTTCAGAAGTGTCCAGAGTTTCTTCCTTCTGACAAGTTCATGGTCTTGCTCACTTCAAGAATGAAGCTGCAGACCTTTACGGTGAGTGTTACAGCATTAATGGTGTTATGTACAGAGTTTGTTCCTTCAGATGTGTGCAGAGTTTCTTCCTTCTGGCAGGTTCATGGTATTGCTCACTTCAAGAATGAAGCTGCAGACCTTAGTGGTGAGTGTTACAGCACTTAAAGTTGTTATGTCCAGGGTTTGTTCCTTCAGATGTGTACAGAGTTTCTTCCCTCTGGCTGGTTCTTGGTCTTGCTCACTTCAAGAATGAAGCTGCAGACCTTTACGGTGAGTGTTACAGCATTTAATGGAGTTATGTCCAGAGTTTCTTACATCAGATGTGTCTAGAGCTCCTTCCTTCTGGGAGGTTCATGGACTTGCTCATTTCAAGAATGAAGCTGAAGACCTTAGTGGTGAGTTTTACAGCACTTAAAGGTGTTAGGTCCAGAGTTTGTTCCTTCAGATGTGTCCAGAGTTTCTTCCTTCTGGCAGGTTCATGGTGTTGCTCACTTCAAGAATGAAGCTGCAGACCTTAGTGGTGAGCGTTACAGCACTGAAGTTTTTATGTCCAGGGTTTGTTCCTTCAGATAAGTCCAGAGTTTCTTCCTTCTTGCAGGTTCATGGTCTTGCTCACTTCAAGAATGAAGCTGCAGAACTTAGTGGTGAGTTTTACAGCACATAAAGGTGTTATGTCCAGAGTTTGTTCCTTCAGATGTGTCCAGATTTTCTTCCTTCTGGCAGGTTCATGGTCTTGCTCACTTCAAGAATGACGCGGCAGACCTTTACGGTGAGTGTTACAGCATTTAAAAGTGTTATGTCCAGAGTTTGTTCCTTCAGATGTGTCCACTTTCTTCCTTCTGGCAGGTTCATGGTCTTGCTCACTTCAAGAATGAAACTGTAGACCTTTACGGTGAGTGTTACAGCAATGAATGATGCTATGTCCAGAGTTCGTTCCTTCAGATGTGTCCAGAGTTTCTTCCTTCTGGCAGGTTCATGGTCTTGCTCACTTCAAGAATGAAGCTGCAGTCCTTTACGGTGAGTGTTACAGCATTTAAAGGTGTTATGTCCAGAGTTTGTTCCTTCAGATGTGTCCAGAGTTTCTTCCTTCTGGCAGGTTCATGGTCTTGCTCACTTCAAGAATGAAGCTGCAGTCCTTTACGGTGAGTGTTACATCATTTAAAGGTGTTATGTCCAGAGTTTTTTACATCAGATGTGTCTAATATTCCTTCCTTCTGGGAGGTTCATGGACTTGCTCATTTCAAGAATGAAGCTGCAGACCTTAGTGGTGAGTTTTACAGCACTTAAAGCTGTTATGTCCAGAGTTTGTTCCTTCAGATGTGTCCAGAGTTTCTTCCTTCTCCAGGTTCATGGTCTTGCTCACTTCAAGAATGAAGCTGCAGACCTTAGTGGTGAGCGTTACAGCACTTAAGTTTTTATGTCCAGAGTTTGTTCCTTCAGATAAGTCCAGAGTTTCTTCCTTGTGGCAGGTTCATGGTCTTGCTCACTTCAAGAATGAAGCTGCAGACCTTAGTGGTGAGCGTTACAGCACTTAAGTTTTTATGTCCACAGATTCTTCCTTCAGATAAGTCCAGAGATTCTTCCTTCTGGCAGGTCCATGGTCTTGCTCACTTCAAGAATGAAACTGCAGACCCTTACGGTGAATGTTACAGCACTTAAAATTGTTATGTCTAGAGTTTCTTCCTTCATATGTGTCCAGTTTCTTCCTTCTGGAAGGTTCATGGTCTTGCTCACTTCAAGAATGAAACTGTAGACCTTTACGGTGAGTGTTACAGCACTGAAAGATGTTATTTCCAGGGTTTGTTCCTTCAGATGTGTCCAGAGTTTCTTCCTTCTGGCAGGCTCATGGTCTTGCTCACTTCAAGAAAGAAGCTGCAGAACTTAGTGGTGAGTTTTGCAGCACTTAAAGGTGTTATGTCCAGAGTTTGTTCCTTCAGATGTGTCCAGAGTTTCTTCCTTCTGGCAGGTTCATGGTCTTGCTCACTTCAAGAATGAAGCTGCAGACCTTAGTGGTGAGTGTTACAACACTTAAAGACGTTATTTACAGAGTTTGTTCCTTCAGATGTGTCCAGAGTTTCTTCCTTCTGGCAGGTTCATGGTCTTGCTCACTTCAAGAATGAAGATGCAGACCTTTACGGTGAGTGTTACAGCACATAAAGGTGTTATGTCCAGAGATTGTTCCTTCAGATGTGTCCAGAGTTTCTTCCTTCTGGCAGGTTCATAGTCTTGCTCACTTCAAGAATGAAGCTGCAGTCCTTTACGGTGAGTGTTACATCATTTAAAGGTGTTATATCCAGAGTTTTTTACATCAGATGTGTCTAGATTTCCTTCCTTCTGGGAGGTTCACGGACTTGCTCATTTCAAGAATGAAGCTGCAGACCTTAGTGGTGAGTTTTACAGCACTTAAAGCTGTTATGTCCAGAGTTTGTTCCTTCAGATGTGTCCAGAGTTTCTTCCTTCTCCAGGTTCATGGTCTTGCTCACTTCAAGAATGAAGCTGCAGACCTTAGTGGTGAGCGTTACAGCAGTTAAGTTTTTATGTCCAGAGTTTGTTCCTTCAGATAAGTCCAGAGTTTCTTCCTTCTGGCAGGTTCATGGTCTTGCTCACTTCAAGAATGAAGCTGCGGACCTTAGTGGTGAGCGTTACAGCACTTAAGTTTTTATGTCCAGAGTTTGTTCCTTCAGATAAGTCCAGACTTTCTTCCTTCTGGCAGGTTCACGGTCTTGCTCACTTCAAGAATGAAGCTGCAGACCTTTACGGTGAGTGTTACAGCACTTAAACGTGTTATGTCCAGAGTTTGTTCCTTCAGAAGTGTCCAGAGTTTCTTCCTTCTGACAAGTTCATGGTCTTGCTCACTTCAAGAATGAAGCTGCAGACCTTTACGGTGAGTGTTACAGCATTAATGGTGTTATGTACAGAGTTTGTTCCTTCAGATGTGTGCAGAGTTTCTTCCTTCTGGCAGGTTCATAGTATTGCTCACTTCAAGAATGAAGCTGCAGACCTTAGTGGTGAGCGTTACAGCAGTTAAGATTTTATGTCCAGAGTTTGTTCCTTCAGATAAGTCCAGAGTTTCTTCCTTCTGGCAGGTTCATGGTCTTGCTCACTTCAAGAATGAAGCTGCGGACCTTAGTGGTGAGCGTTACAGCACTTAAGTTTTTATGTCCAGAGTTTGTTCCTTCAGATAAGTCCAGACTTTCTTCCTTCTGGCAGGTTCATGGTCTTGCTCACTTCAAGAATGAAGCTGCAGACCTTTACGGTGAGTGTTACAGCACTTAAAGGTGTTATGTCCAGAGTTTGTTCCTTCAGAAGTGTCCAGAGTTTCTTCCTTCTGACAAGTTCATGGTCTTGCTCACTTCAAGAATGAAGCTGCAGACCTTTACGGTGAGTGTTACAGCATTAATGGTGTTATGTACAGTGTTTGTTCCTTCAGATGTGTGCAGAGTTTCTTCCTTCTGGCAGGTTCATAGTATTGCTCACTTCAAGAATGAAGCTGCAGACCTTAGTGGTGAGTGTTACAGCACTTAAAGTTGTTATGTCCAGGGTTTGTTCCTTCAGATGTGTACAGACTTTCTTCCCTCTGGCTGGTTCTTGGTCTTGCTCACTTCAAGAATGAAGCTGCAGACCTTTACGGTGAGTGTTACAGCATTTAATGGAGTTATGTCCAGAGTTTCTTACATCAGATGTGTCTAGAGCTCCTTCCTTCTGGGAGGTTCATGGACTTGCTCATTTCAAGAATGAAGCTGAAGACCTTAGTGGTGAGTTTTACAGCACTTAAAGGTGTTAGGTCCAGAGTTTGTTCCTTCAGATGTGTCCAGAGTTTCTTCCTTCTGGCAGGTTCATGGTCTTGCTCACTTCAAGAATGAAGCTGCAGAACTTAGTGGTGAGTTTTACAGCACATAAAGGTGTTATGTCCAGAGTTTGTTCCTTCAGATGTGTCCAGAGTTTCTTCCTTCTGGCAGGTTCATGGTCTTGCTCACTTCAAGAATGAAGCTTCAGACCTTAGTGGTGAGCGATACAGCCCTTTAGTTTTTATGTCCACAGTTTGTTCCTTCAGATAAGTCCAGAGATTCTTCCTTCTGGCAGGTTCATGGTCTTGCTCACTTCAAGAATGAAACTGCAGACCCTTACGGTGAGTGTTACAGCACTTAAAGGGGTTATGTCTAGAGTTTGTTCCTTCATATGTGTCCAGTTTCTTCCTTCTGGAAGGTTCATGGTCTTGCTCACTTCAAGAATGAAACTGTAGACATTTACGGTGAGTGTTACAGCACTGAAAGATGTTATGTCCAGAGTTTGTTCCTTCAGATGTGTCCAGAGTTTCTTCCTTCTGGCAGGATCATTGTCTTGCTCACTTCAAGAATGAAGCTGCAGAACTTAGTGGTGAGTTTTACAGCACTTAAAGGTGTTACGTCCAGGGTTTGTTCCTTCAGATGTGTCCAGAGTTTCTTCCTTCTGGCAGGTTCATGGTATTGCTCATTTCAAGAATGAAGCTGCAGACCTTAGTGGTGAGTGTTACAACACTTAAAGTTGTTATGTCCAGAGTTTGTTCCTTCAGATGTGTCCAGAGTTTCTTCCTTCTGGCAGGTTCATGGTCTTGCTCACTTTAAGAATGAAGCTGCAGACCTTTACGGTCAGTGTTACAGCACTTAAAGGTGTTAAGTCCAGAGTTTGTTCCTTCAGATGTGTCCAGAGTTTCTTCCTTCTGGCAGGTTCTTGGTCTTGCTCACTTCAAGAATGAAGCTGCAGACCTTTACGGTCAGTGTTACAGCACTTAAAGGTGTTATGTCCTTAGTTTGTTCCTTCAGTTGTTTGCAGAATTTCTTCCTTCTGGCAGGTTCATGGTATTGCTCACTTCAAGAATGAAGCTGCAGACCTCAGTGGTGAGTGTTACAGCACTTAAAGTTTTTATGTCCAGAGTTTGTTCCTTCAGGTGTGTCCAGAGTTTCTTCCTTCTGGCAGGTTCATGGTCTTGCTCACTTCAAGAATGAAGCTGCAGACCTTTACGGTGTGTGTTACATCATTTAAAGGTGTTATGTCCAGAGTTTGTTACATCAGATATGTCTAGAGTTCCTTCCTTCTGGGAGGTTCATGTACTTGCTCATTTCAAGGATGAAGCTGCAGACTTTAGTGGTGAGTTTTACAGCACTTAAAGGTGTTATGTCCAGAGTTTGTCCCTTCAGATGTGTCCAGAGTGTCTTCTTTCTGGCAGGTTCATGGTCTTGCTCACTTCAAGAATGAAGCTGCAGACCGTAGTGGTGAGCGTTACAGCAGTTAAGTTTTTATGTCCAGAGTTTGTTCCTTCAGATAAGTCCAGAGTTTCTTCCTTCTGACAGGTTCATGGTCTTGCTCACTTCAAGAATGAAGCTGCAGAACTTAGTGGTGAGTTTTACAGCACTTAAAGGTGTTATGTCCAGAGTTTGTTAATTCAGATGTGTCCAGAGTTTCTTCCTTCTGGCAGGTTCATGGTCTTGCTCACTTCAAGAATGAAACTGCAGACCCTTACGGTGAGTGTTACAGCACTTAAAGGTGTTATGTCCAGAGTTTGTTCCTTCAGATGTGTCCAGAGTTTCTTCCTTCTGGCAGGTTCATGGTCTTGCTCACCTCAAGAATGACGCGGCAGACCTTTACGGTGAGTGTTACAGCATTTAAAGGTGTTATGTCCAGAGTTTGTTCCTTCAGATGTGTCCAGTTTCTTCCTTCTGGCAGGTTCATGGTCTTGCCCCCTTCAAGAATGAATCTGTAGACCTTTACGGTGAGTGTTACAGCAATGAAAGATGTTATGTCCAGAGTTTGTTCCTTCAGATGTGTCCAGTGTTTCTTCCTTCTGGCAGGTTCATGGTCTTGCTCACTTCAAGAATGAAGCTGCAGACCTTTACGTTACGGCACTTAAAGGTGTTATGTCCAGAGTTTGTTCCTACAGATGTATCCAGAGTTTCTTCCTTCTGGCAGGTTCTTGGTCTTGCTCACCTCAAGAATGAAGCTGCAGACCTTTACGGTGAGTGTTACAGCATTTAAAGGTGTTATGTCCAGAGTTTGTTCCTTCAGATGTGTGCAGAGTTTCTTCCTTCTGGCAGGTTCATGGACTTGCTCATTTGAAGAATGGAGCTGCAGACCTTAGTGGTGAGTTTTACAGCATTTAAAGGTGTTAGGTCCAGAGTTTGTTCCTTCAGATGTGTCCAGAGTTTCTTCCTTCTGGCAGCTTCATGGTCTTGCTCACTTCAAGAATGAAGCTGCAGACCTTAGTGGTGACCGTTACAGCACTTAAGTTTTTATGTCCAGAGTTTTTTCCTTTAGATATATCTAGAGTTTCTTCCTTCTGGCAGGTTCATGGTCTTGCTCAATTCAAGAATGAAACTGCAGACCCTTCCGGTGAGTGTTACAGCATTTAAAGGTGTTATGTCTAGACTTTGTTCCTTCAGATGTGTCCAGTTTCTTCTTTCTGGAAGGTTCATGGTCTTGCTCACTTCAAGAATGAAACAGTAGACCTTTACGGTGAGTGTTACAGCACTTAAAGTTGTTATGTCCAGAGTTTGTTCCTTCAGATGTGTGCAGAGTTTCTTCCTTCTGGCAGGTTCTTGGTCTTGCTCACTTCAAGAATGAAGCTACAGACCTTTACGGTGAGTGTTACAGCATTTAAAACTGTTATGTCCAGAGTTTCTAACATCAGATGTGTCTAGAGTTCCTTCCTTCTGGGAGATTCATGGACTTGCTCATTTCAAGAATGAAGCTGCAGACCTTAGTGGTGAGTTTTACAGCACTTAAAGGTGTTATGTCCAGAGTTTGTTCCTTCAGATGTGTCCAGAGTTTCTTCCTTCTTGCAGGTCGTGGTCTTGCTCACTTCCTTAATGAAGCTGCAGACCTTTACGTTGAGCGTTACAGCACTTAAAGGTGTTATGTCCAGAGTTTGTTCCTTCAGATGTGTCCAGAGTTTCTTTCTTCTGGCAGGTTCATGGTCTTGCTCACTTCAAGAATGTAGCTCCAGTCCTTTACGGTGAGTGTTATAGCACTTAAAGGTGTTATATCCAGAGTTTGTTCCTTCAGATGTGTCCAGCATTTCTTCCTTCTGGCAGGTTCATGGTCTTGCTCACCTCCAGAATGAAAATGCAGAACTTTACGGTGAGGTTTACAGCATTTAAAAGTGTTATGTCCAGAGTTTTTTCCTTCAGATGTGTCCAGAGTTTCTTCCTTCTGACAGGTTTGTCGTCTTGCTCACTTCAAGAATGAAGCTGCACACCTTAGTGGTGAGCGTTACAGCACTTAAGTTTTTAAGTCCAGAGTTTGTTCCTTCAGATGTGTCCAGGGTTTCTTCCTTCTGGCAGGTTCATGGTCTTGCTGACCTCAAGAATGAAGCTGCAGACCTTTACGGTGAGTGTTACAGCATTTAAATGTGTTATGTCCAGAGTTCGTTCATTCAGATGTGTCCAGTATTTCTTCCTTGTGGCAGGTTCATGGTCTTGCTCACTTCACGAATGAAGCTGCAGACCTTTACGCTGAGTTTTACAGCACTTAAAACTGTTAAGTCCAGAGTTTCTTCCTTCAGATGTGTCCAGAGTTTCTTCCTTCTGGCAGGTTCATCGTCTTGTTCACTTCAAGAATGAAGCTGCAGACATTTACGGTGACTGTTACAGCATTCAAATGTGTTATGCCCAGAGATTTTTCCTTCAGATGTGTCCAGAGTTTCTACCTTCTGGCAGGTTGATGGTCTTGCTCACTTGAAGAATGAAGCTGCAGACCTTTACGTTGAATGTTACAGCACTTAAAGGTGTTATGTCCAGAGTTTTTTCCTTCAGATGTGTCCAGAGTTTCTTTCTTCTGGTAGGTTCATGGTCTTGCTCACTTCAAGAATGAAACTGCAGACCTTACGTTGAGTGTTACAGCACTTAAAGGTGTTATGTCCAGAGTTTGTTCCTTCAGATGTGTCCACTTTCCTCCTTCTGGCAGGTTCATGGTCTTGCTCACTTCAAGAATGAATCTGTAGACTGTTACGGTGAGTGTTACAGCACTGAATCATGTTATGTCCAGAGTTTGTTCCTTCAGATGTGTCTAGAGTTTGTTCCATCTGTCAGGATCTTGTCCTTGCTCACTTCAAGAATGAAGCTGTAGAACTTAGTGGTGTGTTTTACACCACTTAAAGGTGTTATGTCCACAGTTTCTTCCTTCAGATATGTCCAGAGTTTCTTCCTTCTGACAGGTTCATGGTCTTGCTGACCTCAAGAATGAAGTTGCAGACCTTTACGGTGAGTGTTACAGCACTTAAAGGTGTTATGTCCAGTGTTTTTTCCTTCAGATGTGTCCAGAGTTTCTTCATTCTGGCAGTTTCATGGTCTTGCTCACTTCAAGAATGAAGCTGCAGAACGTAGTGGTGAGTTTTACAGCACTTAAAGGTGTTATGTCCAGAATTTGTTCCTTCAGATGTGTCCAGAGTTTCTTCCTTCTCGCCGGTTCATGCTCTTGCTCACTTCAAGAATGAAGCTGCAGACCTTAGTGGTGAGTGTTACAGCACTTAAAGATGTTATGTCCAGAGTTTGTTCCTTCAGATGTGTCCAGAGTTTCTTCCTTCTGGCAGGTTCATGGTCTTGCTCACTTCCAGAATGAAGCTGCAGACCTTTACGGTCAGTGTTAAAGCACTTAAAGGTGTTATGTCCAGAGTTTGTTCCTTCAGATGTGTCCAGAGTTTCTTCCTTCTGGCAGGTTCATGGTCTTGCTCACTTCAAGAATGAAGCTGCAGACGATTACGGTGAGTGTTACAGCATTTAAAGGTGTTATGTCCATAGTTTGTTCCTTCAGATGTGTGCAGAGTTTCTTCCTTCTGGCAGGTTCATGGTATTGCTCATTTCAAGAATGAACCTGCAGACCTTAGTGGTGAGTGTTACAGCACTTAAAGTTTTTATGTCCAGAGTTTGTTCCTTCAGATGTGTGCAGAGTTTCTTCCTTCTGGCAGGTTCATGGTCTTGCTCACTTCAAGAATGAAGCTGCAGACCTTAGTGGTGAGCGTTACAGCACTTAAGTTTTTATGTCCAGGGTTTGTTCCTTCAGATAATTCCAGAGTTTCTTCCTTCTGGCAGGTTCATGGTCTTGCTCACTTCAAGAATGAAGCTGCAGACCTCAGTGGTGAGTTTTGCAGCACTTAAAGTTGTTATGTCCAGAGTTTGTTCCTTCAGATGTGTCCAGAGTTTCTTCCTTCTGGCAGGTTCATGGTCTTGCTCAATTCAAGAATGACGCGGCAGAGCTTTACGGTGAGTGTTACAGCATTTAAAGGTGTTATGTCCAGAGTTTGTTCCTTCAGATGTGTCCACTTTCTTCCTTCTGGCAGGTTCATGGTCTTGCTCACTTCAAGAATGAAACTGTAGACCTTTACGGTGAGTGTTACAGCAATGAAAGATGCTATGTCCAGAGTTTGTTCCTTCAGATGTGTCCAGAGTTTCTTCCTTCTGGCAGGTTCATGGTCTTGCTCATTTCAAGAATGAAGCTGAAGACTTAGTGGTGAGTTTTACAGCACTTAAAGGTGTTAGGTCCAGAGTTTGTTCCTTCAGATGTGTCCAGAGTTTCTTCCTTCTGGCAGGTTAATGGTCTTGCTCACTTCAAGAATGAAGCTGCAGACCATAGTGGTGATCGTTACAGCACTTAAGTTTTTATGTCCAGAGTTTTTTCCTTCAGATATGTTTAGAGTTTCTTCCTTCTGGCAGGTTCATGGTCCTGCTCACTTCAAAAATGAAGCTGCAGACCTTTACGGTGAGTGTTACAGCATTTAAATGTGTTATGTCCATAGTTTGTTCCTTCAGATGTGTGCAGAGTTTCTTCCTTCTGGCAGTACCATGGTATTGCTCACCTCAAGAATGAAGCTGCAGAACTTAGTGGTGAGTGTTACAGCACTTCAAGTTGTTATGTCCAGAGTTTGTTCCTTCAGATATGTCCAGAGTTTCTTCTTTCTGGCAGGTTCATGTTCTTGCTCACTTTAAGAATGAAGCTGCAGTCCTTTACGGTGAGTGTTACATCATTTAAAGGTGTTATGTCCAAATTTTTTTAACTCAGATGTGTCTAGAGTTCCTTCTTTCTGGGAGGTTCATGTAGTTGCTCATTTCAAGAATGAAGCTGCAGACATTAGTGGTGAGTTTTACAGCAATTAAAGGTGTTATGTCCAGAGTTTGTTCCTTCAGATGTGTCCAGAGTTTCTTCCTTCTGGCAGGTTCATGGGCTTGCTCACTTCAAGAATGAAGCTGCAGACCTTTACGGTGAGTGTTACAGCACTTAAAGGTGTTATGTCCAGAGTTTGTTCCTTCAGATGTGTCCAGAGTTTCTTCCTTCTGGCAGTTTCATGGTCTTGCTCACTTCAAGAATGACGCAGCAGACCTTTACGGTGAGTGTTACAGCATTTAAAGGTGATATGTCCATAGTTTGTTCCTTCAGATGTGTGCAGAGTTTCTTCCTTCCGGCAGGTTCATGGTATTGCTCACTTCAAGAATGAAGCTGCAGACCTTAGTGGTGAGTGTTACAGCACTTAAAGTTGTTATGTCCAGAGTTTGTTCCTTCAGATGTGTCCAGAGTTTCTTCCTTCTGGCAGGTTCATGGTCTTGCTCACTTCAAGAATGAAGCTGCAGACCTTTACGGTGAGTGTTACAGCATTTAAAGGTGTTATGTCCAGAGTTTGTTCCTTCAGATGTGTGCAGAGTTTCTTCCTTCCGGCAGGCTCATGGTATTGCTCACTTCAAGAATGAAGCTGCAGACCTTAGTGGTGAGTGTTACAGCATTTAAAGGTGTTATGTCCACAGTTTTTTCCAACAGATGTGTCTAGAATTCCTTACTTCTGGGAGTTTCATGGACTTCCTCATTTCAAGAATGAAGCTGCAAACCTTAGTGGTGAGTTTTACAGCATTTAAAGGTGTTATGTCCAGAGTTTGTTCCTTCAGATGTGTGCAGAGTTTTTTCCTTCCGGCAGGTTCATGGTATTTCTCACTTCAAGAATGAAGCTGCGGACCTTAGTGGTGAGCGTTACAGCACTTAAGTTTTTACGTCCAGAGTTTGTTCCTTCAGATTAGTCCAGAGTTTCTTCCTTCTGGCAGGTTCATGGTCTTGCTCACTTCAAGAATGAAGCTGCAGACCCTTACGGTGAGTGTTACAGCACTTAAAGGTGTTATGTCCAGAGTTTGTTCCTTCAGATGTGTCCAGAGTTTCTTCCTTCTGGCAGGTTCATGGTCTTGCTCATTTCAACAATGAAGCTGCAGACCTTTACTGTCAGTGTTACAGCATTTAAAGGTGTTATGTCCAGAGTTTGTTCCTTCAGATGTGTCAAGAGTTTCTTCTTTCTGGCAGGATCATGGTCTTGCTCACTTCAAGAATGAAGCTGCAGACCTTAGTGGTGAGCGTTACAGCACTTAAGTTTTTATGTCCAGAGTTTGTTCCTTCACATAAGTCCAGAGTTTCTTCCTTCTGTCCGGTTTATGGTCTTGCTCACTTCAAGAATGAAGCTGCATACCTTAGTGGTGAGTGTTACAACACTTAAAGATGTTATTTCCAGAGTTTGTTCCTTCAGATGTGTCCAGAGTTTCTTCCTTCTGGCAGGTTCATAGCCTTGCTCACTTCAAGAATGAAGCTGCAGACCTTTACGGTGAGTGTTACAGCACATAAAGGTGTTATGTCCAGAGTTTGTTCCTTCAGATGTGTCCAGAGTTTCTTCCTTCTGGCAGGTTCATGGTCTGGCTCACTTCAAGAATGAGGCGGTAGACCTTTACGGTGAGTGTTACAGCATATAAAGTTGTTATGTCCAGAGTTTGTTCCTTCAGATGTGTCCAGTTTCTTCCTTCTGGCAGGTTCATGGTCTTGCTCACTTCAAGAATGAAACTGTAGAACATTACGGTGAGTGTTACAGCAATGAAAGATGGTATATCCAGAGTTTGTTCCTTCAGATGTGTCCAGAGTTTCTTTCTTCTGGCAGGTTCATGGTCTTGCTCACTTCAAGAATGAAGCTGCAGACCATTACGGTGAGTGTTACAGCATTTAAATGTGTTATGTCCAGAGTTTGTTCCATCAGATGTGTCTAGAGTTCCTTACTTCTGGGAGGTTCATAGACTTGCTCATTTCAAGAATGAAGCTGCAGACCTTTACGGTGAGTGTTATAGCACTTAAAGGTGTTATGTCCAGAGTTTGTTCCTTCCGATGTGTCCAGAGTTTCTTCCTTCTGGCAGGTTCATGGTCTTGCTCACTTCAAGAATGAAGCTGCAGAACTTAGTGGTGAGTTTTACACACTTAAAGGTGTTATGTCCAGAGTTTTTTCCTTCAGATGTGTCCAGAGTTTCTTCCTTCTGGCAGGTTCATGGTCTTGCTCACCTCAAGAATGAAGCTGCAGACCTTTACGGTGAGTGTTACAGCATTTAAAGGTGTTAGGTCCAGAGTTTGTTCCTCCAGATGTGTGCAGAGTTTCTTCCTTCTGGCAGGTTCATGGTATTGCTCACTTCAACAATAAAGCTGCAGACCTTAGTGGTGTGTTTTACAGCACTTAAGTGTGTTATTTCCAGAGTTTCTTCCTTCAGATGTGTCCAGAGTTTCTTCCTTCTGGCTGGTTCATGGTCTTGCTCACCTCAAGAATGAAGCTGCAGACATTTACGGTGAGTGTTACAGCACTTAAAGGTGTTATGTCCAGAGTTTGTTCCTTTAGATGTGTCCAGAGTTTCTCCCTTCTGGCAAGTTCATGGTCTTGCTCACTTCAAGAGTGAAGCTGCAGACATTTACGGTGAGTGTTACAGCATTAATGGTGTTATGTACAGAGTTTGTTCCTTCAGATGTGTGCAGAGTTTCTTCCTTCTGGCAGGTTCATGGTATTGCTCACTTCAAGAATGAAGCTGCAGACCTTAGTGGTGAGTGTTACAGCACTTAAAGTTGTTAAGTCCAGAGTTTGTTCCTTCAGATGTGTCCAGAGCTTCTTCCCTCTGGCAGGTTCTTGGTCTTGCTCACTTCAAGAGTGAAGCTGCAGACCTTTACGGTGAGTGTTACAGCATTTAATGGAGTTATGTCCAGAGTTTCTTACATAAGATGTGTCTAGAGTTCCTTCCTTCTGGGAGGTTCATGGACTTGCTCATTTCAAGAATGAAGCTGAAGACCTTAGTGGTGAGTTTTACAGCACTTAAAGGTGTTAGGTCCAGAGTTTGTTCCTTCAGATGTGTCCAGAGTTTCTTCCTTCTGGCAGGTTCATGGTCTTGCTCACTTCAAGAATGAAGCTGCAGACCTTAGTGATGATCGTTACAGCACTTAAGTTTTTATGTCCAGAGTTTTTTCCTTCAGATATGTTTAGAGTTTCTTCCTTCTGGCAGGTTCATGGTCGTGCTCACTTCAAAAATGAAGCTGCAGACCTTTACGGTGAGTGTTACAGCATTTAAATGTGTTATGTCCATAGTTTGTTCCTTCAGATGTGTGCAGAGTTTCTTCCTTCTGGCAGTACCATGGTATTGCTCACCTCAAGAATGAAGCTGCAGAACTTAGTGGTGAGTGTTACAGCACTTCAAGTTGTTATGTCCAGAGTTTGTTCCTTCAGATATGTCCAGAGTTTCTTCTTTCTGGCAGGTTCATGTTCTTGCTCACTTTAAGAATGAAGCTGCAGTCCTTTACGGTGAGTGTTACATCATTTAAAGGTGTTATGTCCAAATTTTTTTAACTCAGATGTGTCTAGAGTTCCTTCCTTCTGGGAGGTTCATGTACTTGCTCATTTCAAGAATGAAGCTGCAGACATTAGTGGTGAGTTTTACAGCACTTAAAGGTGTTATGTCCAGAGTTTGTTCCTTCAGATGTGTCCAGAGTTTCTTCCTTCTGGCAGGTTCATGGTCTTGCTCACTTCAAGAATGAAACTGCAGACCCTTACGGTGAGTGATACAGACCTTAAAGGTGTTATGTCCAGAGTTTGTTCCTTCTGATGTGTGCAGAGTTTCTTCCTTCTGGCAGGTTCATGGTATTGCTCACTTCAAGAATGAAGCTGCAGACCTTAGTGGTGAGTGTTGCAGCACTTAAAGTTGTTATGTCCAGAGTTTGTTCCTTCAGATGTGTCCATTTTCTTCCTTCTGGCTGGTTAATGGTCCTGCTCACTTCATGAATGAAACTGTAGACCTTTACGGTGAGTGTTACAGCACTGAAACATGTCATGCCCAGAGTTTGTTCCTTCAGATAGGTCCAGAGTTTATTCTTTCTGGCAGGTTCATAGTCTTGCTCACTTCAAGGAAGAAGCTGCAGACCTTTACGTTGAGTGTTACAGCACTTAAAGGTGTTATGTCCAGAGTTTGTTCCTTCAGATGTTTCCAGAGTTTCTTTCTTCTGGCAGGTTCATGGTCTTGCTCACTTCAAGAATGAAGCTCCAGTCATTTACGGTGAGTGTTACAGCACTTAAAGGTGTTATATCCAGAGTTTGTTCCTTCAGATGTGTCCAGCATTTCTTCCTTCTGGCAGGTTCATGGTCTTGCTCCCCTCAAGAATGAAAATGCAGACCTTTACGGTGAGGGTTACAGCATTTAAAAGTGTTATGTCCAGAGTTTTTTCCTTCAGATGTGTCCAGAGTTTCTTCCTTCTGACAGGTTCGTCGTCTTGCTCACTTCAAAAATGAAGCTGCACACCTTAGTGGTGAGTGTTACAGCATTTAAAGGTGTTATGTCCAGAGTTTGTTCCTTCAGATGTGTGCAGAGTTTCTTCCTTCTGGCAGGTTCATGGTCTTGCTCACTTCAAGAATGAAGCTGCAGAACTTAGTGGTGAGTTTTACACACTTAAAGTTGTTATGTCCAGAGTTTTTTCCTTCAGATGTGTCCAGAGTTTCTTCCTTCTGGCAGGTTCATGGTCTTGCTCACCTCAAGAATGAAGCTGCAGACCTTTACGGTGAGTGTTACAGCATTTAAAGGTGTTAGGTCCAGAGTTTGTTCCTTCAGATGTGAGCAGAGTTTCTTCCTTCTGGCAGGTTCATGGTATTGCTCACTTCAATAATAAAGCTGCAGACGTTAGTGGTGTGTTTTACAGCACTTAAATGTGTTATGTCCAGAGTTTCTTCCTTCAGATGTGTCCAAAGTTTCTTCCTTCTGGCTGGTTCATGGTCTTGCTCACCTCAAGAATGAAGCTGCAGACCTTTACGGTGAGTGTTACAGCACTTAAAGGTGTTATGTCCAGAGTTTGTTCCTTTAGATGTGTCCAGAGTTTCTTCCTTCTGGCAAGTTCATGGTCTTGCTCACTTCAAGAATGAAGCTGCAGACATTTACGGTGAGTGTTACAGCATTAATGGTGTTATGTACAGAGTTTGTTCCTTCAGATGTGTGCAGAGTTTCTTCCTTCTGGCAGGTTCATGGTATTGCTCACTTCAAGAATGAAGCTGCAGACCTTAGTGGTGAGTGTTACAGCACTTAAAGTTGTTATGTCCAGAGTTTGTTCCTTCAGATGTGTCCAGAGTTTCTTCCCTCTGGCAGGTTCTTGGTCTTGCTCACTTCAAGAATGAAGCTGCAGACATTTACGGTGAGTGTTACAGCATTTAATGGAGTTATGTCCAGAGTTTCTTACATCAGATATGTCTAGAGTTCCTTCCTTCTGGGAGGTTCATGGACTTGCTCATTTCAAGAATGAAGCTGAAGACCTTAGTGGTGAGTTTTACAGCACTTAAAGGTGTTAGGTCCAGAGTTTGTTCCTTCAGATGTGTCCAGAGTTTCTTCCTTCTGGCAGGTTAATGGTCTTGCTCACTTCAAGAATGAAGCTGCAGACCATAGTGGTGATCGTTACAGCACTTAAGTTTTTATGTCCAGAGTTTTTTCCTTCAGATATGTTTAGAGTTTCTTCCTTCTGGCAGGTTCATGGTCCTGCTCACTTCAAAAATGAAGCTGCAGACCTTTACGGTGAGTGTTACAGCATTTAAATGTGTTATGTCCATAGTTTGTTCCTTCAGATGTGTGCAGAGTTTCTTCCTCCTGGCAGGACCATGGTATTGCTCATCTCAAGAATGAAGCTGCAGAACTTAGTGGTGAGTGTTACAGCACTTCAAGTTGTTATGTCCAGACTTTGTTCCTTCAGATATGTCCAGAGTTTCTTCTTTCTTGCTGGTTCATGGTCTTGCTCACTTCAAGAATGAAGCTGCAGTCCTTTACGGTGAGTGTTACATCATTTAAAGGTGTTATGTCCAAAGTTTTTTTACCTCAGATGTGTCCAGAGTTTCTTCCTTCTGGCAGGTTCATGGTCTTGCTCACTTCAAGAATGAGGCGGCAGACCTTTACGGTGAGTGTTACAGCATATAAAGGTGTTATGTCCAGAGTTTGTTCCTTCAGATGTGTCCAGTTTCTTCCTTCTGGCAGTTTCATGGTCTTGCTCAGTTCAAGAATGAAACTGTAGAACTTTACGGTGAGTGTTACAGCAATGAAAGATGCTATATCCAGAGTTTGTTCCTTCAGATGTGTCCAGAGTTTCTTCCTTCTGGCAGGTTCATGGTCTTGCTCACTTCAAGAATGAAGCTGCAAACCATTACGGTGAGTGTTACAGCATTTAAATGTGTTATGTCCAGAGTTTGTTCCATCAGATGTGTCTAGAGTTCCTTACTTCTGGGAGGTTCATAGACTTGCTCATTTCAAGAATGAAGCTGCAGACCTTTACGGTGAGTGTTATAGCACTTAAAGGTGTTATGTCCAGAGTTTGTTCCTTCCGATGTGTCCAGAGTTTCTTCCTTCTGGCAGGTTCATGGTCTTGCTCACTTCAAGAATGAAGCTGCAGAACTTAGTGGTGAGTTTTACACTCTTAAAGGTGTTATGTCCAGAGTTTTTCCTTCAGATGTGTCCAGAGTTTCTTCCTTCTGGCAGGTTCATGGTCTTGCTCACCTCAAGAATGAAGCTGCAGACATTTACGGTGTGTGTTACAGCATTTAAAGGTGTTAGGTCCAGAGTTTGTTCCTTCAGATGTGTGCAGAGTTTCTTCCTTCTGGCAGGTTCATGGTATTGCTCACTTCAATAATAAAGCTGCAGACCTTAGTGGTGTGTTTTACAGCACTTAAATGTGTTATGTCCAGAGTTTCTTCCTTCAGATGTGTCCAGAGTTTCTTCCTTCTGGCTGGTTCATGGTCTTGCTCACCTCAAGAATGAAGCTGCAGACATTTACGGTGAGTGTTACAGCATTAGTGGTGTTATGTACAGAGTTTGTTCCTTCAGATGTGTGCAGAGTTTCTTCCTTCTGGCAGGTTCATGGTATTGCTCACTTCAAGAAGGAAGCTGCAGACCTTAGTCGTGAGTGTTACAGCACTTAAAGTTGTTATGTCCAGAGTTTGTTCCTTCAGATGTTTCCAGAGTTTCTTCCCTCTGGCAGGTTCTTGGTCTTGCTCACTTCAAGAATGAAGCTGCAGACCTTTACGGTGAGTGTTACAGCATTTAATGGAGTTATGTCCAGAGTTTCTTACATCAGATGTGTCTAGAGTTCCTTCCTTCTGGGAGGTTCATGGACTTGCTCATTTCAAGAATGAAGCTGAAGACCTTTGTGGTGAGTTTTACAGCACTTAAAGGTGTTAGGTCCAGAGTTTGTTCCTTCAGATGTGTCCAGAGTTTCTTCCTTCTGGCAGGTTCATTGTCTTGCTCACTTCAAGAATGAAACTGCAGACCCTTACGGTGAGTGATACAGCCCTTAAAGGTGTTATGTCCAGAGTTTGTTCCTTCAGATGTGTCCAGAGTTTCTTCCTTCTGGCAGGTTCGTCGTCTTGCTCACTTCAAAAATGAAGCTGCACACATTAGTGGTGAGTGTTACAGCATTTAAAGGTGTTATGTCCAGAGTTTGTTCCTCAGATGTGTGCAGAGTTTCTTCCTTCTGGCAGGTTCATGGTGTTGCTCACTTCAAGAATGAAGCTGCAGACCTTAGTGGTGAGTGTTACAGCACTTAAAGTTGTTATGTCCAGAGTTTGTTCCTTCAGATGTGTCCAGAGTTTCTTCCTTCTGGCAGGTTCTTGGTCTTGCTCACTTCAAGAATGAAGCTGCAGACCTTTACGGTGAGTGTTACAGCATTTAAAGGTGTTATGTCCAGAGTTTCTTACATCAGATGTGTCTAGATTTCCTTCCTTCTGGGAGTTTCATGGACTTGCTCATTTCAAGAATGAAGCTGCAGACCTTAGTGGTGAGTTTTACAGCACTTAAAGGTGTTATGCCCAGGGTTTGTTCCTTCAGATCTGTCCAGAGATTCTTCCTTCTGGCAGGTTCATTGTCTTGCTCACTTCAAGAATGAAGCTGCAGACCTTAGTGGTGAGCGTTACAGCACTTACGTTTTTATGTCCAGAGTTTGTTCCTTCAGATAAGTCCAGAGATTCTTCCCTCTGGCAGGTTCATGGTCTTGCTCACTTCAAGAATGAAACTGCAGACCCTTACGATGAGTGTTACAGCACTTCAAGGGGTTATGTCTAGAGTTTGTTCCTATCTATGTGTCCAGTTTCTTCCTTCTGGAAGGTTCATGGTCTTGCTCACTTCAAGAATGAAACTGTAGACATTTACGGTGAGTGTTACAGCATTGAAAGATGTTATGTCCAGAGTTTGTTCCTCCAGATGTGTCCAGAGTTTCTTCTTTCTGGCAGGTTCATCGTCTTGCTCACTTCAAGAATGAAGCTGCAGAACTTAGTGGTGAGTTTTACAGCATTTAAAGGTGTTATGTCCAGAGTTTGTTCCTTCAGATGTGTCCAGAGTTTCTTCCTTCTGGCAGGTTCATGGTCTTGCTCACTTCAAGAATGAAGCTGCAGACCTTAGTGGTGAGTGTTGCAGCACTTAAAGATGTTATGTCCAGAGATTGTTCCTTCAGATGTGTCCAGAGTTTCTTCCTTCTGGCAGTTTCATGGTCTTGCTCACTTCAAGAATGAAGCTGCAGACCTTTACGGTCAGTGTTACAGCATTTAAAGGTGTTATGTCCATAGTTTGTTCCTTCAGATGTGTGCAGAGTTTCTTCCTTCTGACAGGTTCATGGTATTGCTCACTTCAAGAATGAAGCTGCAGACCTTAGTGGTGAGTGTTACAGCACTTAAAGTTGTTATGTCCAGAGTTTGTTCCTTCAGATGTGTCCATTTTCTTTCTTCTGGCTGGTTCATGGTCCTGCTCACTTCAAGAATGAAACAGTAGACCTTTACGGTGAGTGTTACAGCACTGAAACATGTCATGTCCAGAGTTTGTTCCTTCAGATAGGTCCAGAGTTTCTTCTTTCTGGAAGGTTCATGGTCTTGCTCACTTCAAGAATGAAGCTGCAGACCTTTACGTTGAGTGTTACAACACTTAAAGGTGTTATGTCCAGAGTTTTTTCCTTCAGATGTGTCCAGAGTTTCTTTCTTCTGGCACGTTCATGGTCTTGCTCACTTCAAGAATGAAGCTCCAGTCCTTTACGGGGAGTTTTACAGCACTTAAAGGTGTTATATCCAGAGTTTGTTCCTTCAGATGTGTCCAGAATTTCTTCCTTCTGGCAGGTTCATGGTCTTGCTCACCTCAAGAATGAAAATGCAGACCTTTACGGTGAGGTTTACAGCATTTAAAAGTGTTATGTCCAGAGTTTTTTCCTTCAGATGTGTATAGAGTTTCTTCCTTCTGACAGGTTCGTCGTCTTGCTCACTTCAAGAATGAAGCTGCACACCTTAGTGGTGAGTGTTACAGCATTTAAAGGTGTTATGTCCAGAGTTTGTTCCTTCAGATGTGTGCAGAGTTTCTTCCTTCTGGCAGGTTCATGGTATTGCTCACTTCAAGAATGAAGCTGCAGACCTTAGTGGTGAGTGTTACAACACTTAATGTTATTATGTCCAGAGTTTGTTCCTTCAGATGTTTGCAGAGTTTCTTCCTTCTGGCAGGTTCTTGGTCTTGCTCACTTCAAGAATGAAGCTGCAGACCTTTACGGTGAGTGTTACAGCACTTAAAGGTGTTATGTCCAGAGTTTTTTACATCAGATGTGTCCAGACTTTCTTCCTTCTGGCAGTTTCGTGGTCTTCCTCACTTCAAGAATGAAGCTGCAGACCTTAGTGGTGAGTGTTACAGCTCTTTAAGTTGTTATGTCCAGAGTTTTTTCCTTCAGATGTGTCCGGAGTTTCTTCCTACTGGTAGGTTCATGGTCTTGGTCACTTCAAGTATGAAGCTGCAGTCGTTACTGTTGAGTTTTAAAGCACTTAAAGGTGTTATGTCCAGAGTTTGCTCCTTCAGATGTGTCCAGAGTTTCTTCCTTCTGGCAGGTTCATGGTGATGCTCACTTCAAGAATGAAGCTGCAGAACTTACTGGTGAATGTTACAGCACTTAAAGGTGTTATGTCCAGAGTTTGTTTCCTCAGATGTGTCCAGAGTTTCTTCCTTCTGGCAGTTTCGTGGTCTTCCTCACTTCAAGAATGAAGCTGCAGAACTTACTGGTTTGTGTTACAGCACTTAAAGGTGTTATGTCCAGAGTTTGTTCCTTCAGATGTGTCCTGAGTGTCTTCCTTCTGGCAGGTTCATGGTCTTGCTCACTTCACTAATGAAGCTGCAGACATTACTGGTGAGTGTTACAGCACTTAAAGGTGTTAAGTCCAGAGTTTGTTCCTTCAGATGTGTCCAGGGTTTCTGTTTTCTGGCAGGTTCATGGTCTCCCTCACTTCAAGAATGAAGCTGCCGACCTTAGTGGTGAGTGTTACAGCACTTGAAGGTGTTATGTCCAGAGTTCTTTCCTTCAGATGTGTCCAGCGTTTCTTCCTTCTGGCAGGTTCATGGTCTTCCTCACTTCAAGAATGAAGCTGCAGACCTTACTGGTGAGTGTTACAGCAATTAAAGTTGTTATATCCAGAGTTTGTTCCTTCAGATGTTTCCAGAGTTTCTTCCTTCTGGCAGGTTCGTGGTCTTGCTCACTTCTTTAATGCAGCTGCAGACCTTACTGGTGAGTGTTACAGCACTTAAATGTGTTATGTCCAGAGTTTGTTTCTTCAGAGGTGTCCAGAGTTTCTTCCTTCTGGCAGTTTCGTGGTCTTCCTCACTTCAAGAATGAAGCTGCAGACCTTACTGGTGAGTGTTACAGCACTTAAAGGTGTTATGTCCAGACATTTTTCCGTCAGATGTGTCCAGGGTTTCTGTCTTCTGGCAGGTTCATGGTCTTGCTCACTTCAAGAATGAAGCTGCAGACTTTAGTGGTGACTGTTACAGCACTTAAAGGTGTTATGTCCAGAGTTTTTTCCTTCAGATGTGTCCAGCGTTTCTTCCTTCTGGCAGTTTCATGGTCTTGCTCACTTCAAGAATGAAGCTGCAGACCTTACTGTTGAGTGTTAAAGCACTTAAAGGTGTTATGTCCAGAGTTTGTTCCTTCAGATGTGTCCAGAGTTTCTTCCTTCTGGCAGGTTCATGGTGTTGCTCACTTCAACAATGAAGCTGCAGACCTTAGTGTTGAGTGTTACAGCACTTAAAAGTGTTATGTCCAGAGTTTGTTCCTTCAGATGTGTCCAGAGTTTTTTCCTTCTGGCAGGTTCGTGGTCTTGCTCACTTCCTTAATGAAGCTGCAGACCTTACTGGTGAGTGTTACAGCACTTAAAGGTGTTATGTCCAGAGTTTGTTTCTTCAGATATATCCAGTGTTTCTTCCTTCTGGCAGGTTCATGGTGTTGCTCACTTTAAGAATGAAGCTGCTGACCTTAATGGTGAGTGTTACAGCACTTGAAGGTGTTATGTGCAGAGTTTTTTCCTTCAGATGTGTCCAGAGTTTCTTCCTTCTTGCAGGTTCGTGGTCTTGCTCACTTCCTTAATGAAGCTGCAGACCTTAATGGTGACTGTTACAGCACTTAAAGGTGTTATGTCCAGAGTTTTTTTCCTTCAGATGTGTCCTGAGTGTCTTCCTTCTGGCAGGTTCATGGTCTTGCTCACTTCACTAATGAAGCTGCAGACCTTACTGGTGAGTTTTACAGCACTTAAAGGTGTTATGTCCAGAGTTTGTTCCTCCAGATGTGTCCAGGGTTTCTGTCTTCTGGCAGGTACATGGTCTTGCTCACTTCAAGAATGAAGCTGCCGAACTTAGTGGTGATTGTTACAGTACTTAAAGGTGTTATGTCCAGAGTTTTTTCCTTCAGATGTGTCCAGCGTTTCTTCCTTCTGGCAGGTTCATAGTCTTGCTCACTTGAAGAATGAAGCTGCAGACCATACTCTTTAGTGTTAAAGCACTTCAAGGTGTTATGTCCAGAGTTTGTTCCTTCAGATGTGTCCAGAGTTTCTTCCTTCTGGCATGTTCATGGTGTTGCTCACTTCAAGAATGAAGCTGCAGACCTTAGTGTTGAGTGTTACAGCACTTATAGGTGTTATGTCCAGTGTTTGTTCCTTCAGATGTGTCCAGAGTTTCTTCCTTCTTGCAGGTTCGTGGTCTTGCTCACTTCCTTAATGAAGCTGCAGACCTTACTGGTGAGTGTTACAGCACTTAAAGGTGTTATGTCCAGAGTTTGTTCCTTCAGATGTGTCCAGTGTTTCTTCCTTCTGGCAGGTTCATGGTCTTGCTCACTTCAAGAATGAAGCTGCAGACTTTTGTGGTGAGTGTTACAGCATTTAAAGTTGTTATGTCCACAATTTGTTCCTTCAGATGTGTCCGGGGTTTCTTCCTTCTGGCAGGTTCATGGTCTTGCTCACTTCAAGAATGAAGTTGCAGACCTTACTGGTGACTGTTACAGTACTTAAAGCTGTTATGTCCAGAGTTTGATCCTTCAGATATTTCCAGAGTTTCTTCCTTCTGGCAGGTTCGTGTTCTTGCTCACTTCTTTAATGAAGCTGCAGACCTTACTGGTGAGTATTACAGCACTTAAATGTGTTATGTCCAGAGATTGTTTCTCCAGATGTGTCCAGAGTTTCTTCCTTCTGGCAGTTTCGTGGTCTTCCTCACTTCAAGAATGAAGCTGCAGACCTTAGTGTTGAGTGTTACAGCACGTAAAGGTGTTATGTCCAGAGTTTGTTCCTTCAGATGTGTCCAGAGTTACTTCCTTCTGGCAGGTTCATGGTGTTGCTCACTTCAAGAATCAAGCTGCAGACCTTACTGTTGAGTGTTACAGCACTTAAAGCTGTTATGTCCAGAGTTTGTTCCTTCAGATGTTTCCAGAGTTTCTTCCTTCTGGCAGGTTCGTGGTCTTGCTCACTTCTTTAATGAAGCTGCAGACCTTACTGGTGAGTGTTACATCACTTAAAGGTGTTATGTCCAGAGTTTGTTCCTTCAGATGTGTCCAGAGTGTCTTCCTTCTGGCAGGTTCATGGTCTTGCTCACTTCACTAATGAAGCTGCAGTCCTTACTGGTGAGTGTTACAGCACTTAAAGGTGTTATGTCCAGAGTTTGTTCCTTCAGATGTGTCCAGGGTTTCTGTCTTCTGGCAGGTTCATGGTCTTCCTCACTTCAAGAATGAAGCTGCCGACCTTAGTGGTGAGTGTTACAGCACTTGAAGGTGTTATGTCCAGAATTCTTTCCTTCAGATGTGTCCAGCGTTTCTTCCTTCTGGCAGGTTCATGGTCTTCCTCACTTCAAGAATGAAGCTGCAGACCTTACTGTTGAGTGTTACAGCAATTAAAGTTGTTATATCCAGAGTTTGTTCCTTCAGATGTTTCCAGAGTTTCTTCCTTCTGGCAGGTTCGTGGTCTTGCTCACATCTTTAATGAAGCTGCAGACCTTACTGGTGAGTCTTACAGCACTTAAAGGTGTTATGTCCAGATTTTGTTTCTTCAGATGTGTCCAGAGTTTCTTCCTTCTTGCAGTTTCGTGGTCTTCCTCACTTCAAGAATGAAGCTGCAGACCTTACTGGTGAGTGTTACAGCACTTTAAGGTGTTATGTCCAGAGTTTGTTCCTTCAGTTGTGTCCAGAGTGTCTTCCTTCTGGCAGGTTCATGGTCTTGCTCACTTCAAGAATGAAGCTGCAGACCTTACTGGTGAGTGTTACAGCACTTAAAGGTGTTATGTCCAGAGTTTGTTACTTCACATGTGTCCAGGGTTTCTGTCTTATGGCAGGTACATGGTCTTGCTCACTTCAAGAATGAAGCTGCAGAGCTTACTAGTGAGTGTTACAGCACTTGAAGGTGTTATGTGCAGAGTTTTTTCCTTCAGATGTGTCCAGAGTTTCTTCCTTCTTGCAGGTTCGTGGTCTTGCTCACTTCCTTAATGAAGCTGCAGACCTTACTGGTGAGTGTTACAGCACTTAAAGGTTTTAGGTCCAGAGTTTGTTCCTTCAGATGTGTCCAGTGTTTCTTCCTTCTGGCAGGTTCATGGTCTTGCTCACTTCAAGAATGAAGCTGCAGACTTTTGTGGTGAGTGTTACAGCAGTTAAAGTTGTTATGTCCAGAATTTGTTCCTTAAGATGTGTCCAGTGTTTCTTCCTTCTGGCAGGTTCATGGTCTCGCTCACTTCAAGAATGAAGCTGCAGGCCTTACTGGTGAGTGTTACAGCACTTAAAGGTGTTATGTCCAGAGTTTGTTCCTTCACATTTGTCCAGGGTTTCTGTCGTATTGCAGGTACATGGTCTTGCTCACTTCAAGAATGAAGCTGCCGAACTTAGGGGTGAGTGTTACAGTACTTAAAGGTGTTATGTCCAGAGTTTTTTCTTTCAGATGCGTCCAGCGTTTCTTCCTTCTGGCAGGTACATGGTCTTGCTCACTTCAAGAATGAAGCTGCAGACATTACTGTTTAGTGTTAAAGCACTTAAAGGTGTTATGTCCAGAGTTTGTTCCTTCAGATTTGTCCAGAGTTTCTTCCTTCTGGCAGGTTCATGGTGTTGCTCACTTCAACAATGAAGCTGCAGACCTTAGTGTTGAGTGTTACAGCACTTAAAAGTGTTATGTCCAGAGTTTGTTCCTTCAGATGTGTCCAGAGTTTTTTCCTTCTGGCAGGTTCGTGGTCTTGCTCACTTCCTTAATGAAGCTGCAGACCTTACTGGTGAGTGTTACAGCACTTAAAGGTGTTATGTCCAGAGTTTGTTCCTTCAGATATGTCCAGTGTTTCTTCCTTCTGGCAGGTTCATGGTGTTGCTCACTTTAAGAATGAAGCTGCAGACCTTAATGGTGAGTGTTACAGCACTTGAAGGTGTTATGTGCAGAGTTTTTTCCTTCAGATGTGTCCAGAGTTTCTTCCTTCTTGCAGGTTCGTGGTCTTGCTCACTTCCTTAATGAAGCTGCAGACCTTAATGGTGAGTGTTACAGCACTTAAAGGTGTTATGTCCAGAGTTTTTTTCCTTCAGATGTGTCCTGAGTGTCTTCCTTCTGGCAGGTTCATGGTCTTGCTCACTTCACTAATGAAGCTGCAGACCTTACTGGTGAGTTTTACAGCACTTAAAGGTGTTATGTCCAGAGTTTGTTCCTCCAGATGTGTCCAGGGTTTCTGTCTTCTGGCAGGTACATGGTCTTGCTCACTTCAAGAATGAAGCTGCCGAACTTAGTGGTGATTGTTACAGTACTTAAAGGTGTTATGTCCAGAGTTTTTTCCTTCAGATGTGTCCAGCGTTTCTTCCTTCTGGAAGGTTCATAGTCTTGCTCACTTGAAGAATGAAGCTGCAGACCATACTCTTTAGTGTTAAAGCACTTCAAGGTGTTATGTCCAGAGTTTGTTCCTTCAGATGTGTCCAGAGTTTCTTCCTTCTGGCATGTTCATGGTGTTGCTCACTTCAAGAATGAAGCTGCAGACTTTAGTGTTGAGTGTTACAGCACTTATAGGTGTTATGTCCAGTGTTTGTTCCTTCAGATGTGCCCAGAGTTTCTTCCTTCTTGCAGGTTCGTGTTCTTGCTCACTTCCTTAATGAAGCTGCAGACCTTACTGGTGAGTGTTACAGCACTTAAAGGTGTTATGTCCAGAGTTTGTTCCTTCAGATGTGTCCAGTGTTTCTTCCTTCTGGCAGGTTCATGGTCTTGCTCACTTCAAGAATGAAGCTGCAGACTTTTGTGGTGAGTGTTACAGCATTTAAAGTTGTTATGTCCACAATTTGTTCCTTCAGATGTGTCCAGTGTTTCTTCCTTCTGGCAGGTTCATGGTCTTGCTCACTTCAAGAATGAAGTTGCAGACCTTACTGGTGACTGTTACAGTACTTAAAGCTGTTATGTCCAGAGTTTGATCCTTCAGATATTTCCAGAGTTTCTTCCTTCTGGCAGGTTCGTGTTCTTGCTCACTTCTTTAATGAAGCTGCAGAACTTACTGGTGAGTATTACAGCACTTAAATGTGTTATGTCCAGAGATTGTTTCTCCAGATGTGTCCAGAGTTTCTTCCTTCTGGCAGTTTCGTGGTCTTCCTCACTTCAAGAATGAAGCTGCAGACCTTAGTGGTGAGTGTTACAGCACGTAAAGGTGTTATGTCCAGAGTTTGTTCCTTCAGATGTGTCCAGAGTTACTTCCTTCTGGCAGGTTCATGGTGTTGCTCACTTCAAGAATCAAGCTGCAGACCTTACTGTTGAGTGTTACAGCACTTAAAGCTATTATGTCCAGAGTTTGTTCCTTCAGATGTTTCCAGAGTTTCTTCCTTCTGGCAGGTTCGTGGTCTTGCTCACTTCTTTAATGAAGCTGCAGACCTTACTGGTGAGTGTTACATCACTTAAAGGTGTTATGTCCAGAGTTTGTTCCTTCAGATGTGTCCAGATTGTCTTCCTTCTGGCAGGTTCATGGTCTTGCTCACTTCACTAATGAAGCTGCAGTCCTTACTGGTGAGTGTTACAGCACTTAAAGGTGTTATGTCCAGAGTTTGTTCCTTCAGATGTGTCCAGGGTTTCTGTCTTCTGACAGGTTCATGGTCTTCCTCACTTCAAGAATGAAGCTGCCGACCTTAGTGGTGAGTGTTACAGCACTTGAAGGTGTTATGTCCAGAGTTCTTTCCTTCAGATGTGTCCAGCGTTTCTTCCTTCTGGCAGGTTCATGGTCTTCCTCACTTCAAGAATGAAGCTGCAGACCTTACTGTTGAGTGTTACAGCAATTAAAGTTGTTATATCCAGAGTTTGTTCCTTCAGATGTTTCCAGAGTTTCTTCCTTCTGGCAGGTTCGTGGTCTTGCTCACATCTTTAATGAAGCTGCAGACCTTACTGGTGAGTCTTACAGCACTTAAAGGTGTTATGTCCAGAGATTGTTTCTTCAGATGTGTCCAGAGTTTCTTCCTTCTGGCAGTTTCGTGGTCTTCCTCACTTCAAGAATGAAGCCGCAGACCTTAGTGTTGAGTGTTACAGCACGTAAAGGTGTTATGTCCAGAGTTTGTTCCTTCAGATGTGTCCAGAGTGTCTTCCTTCTGGCAGGTTCATGGTCTTGCTCACTTCAAGAATGAAGCTGCAGACCTTACTGGTGAGTGTTACAGCACTTAAAGCTGTTATGTCCAGAGTTTGTTTCTTCAGATGTGTCCAGAATTTCTTCCTTCCGGCAGTTTCGTGGTCTTCCTCACTTCAAGAATGAAGCTGCAGACCTTAGTGTTGAGTGTTACAGCACTTAAATGTGTTATGTCCAGAGTTTTTTCCTTCAGATATGTCCAGCGTTTCTTCCTTCTGGCAGGTTCATGGTGTTGCTCACTTCAAGAGTGAAGCTGCAGACCTTACTGTTGAGTTTTAAAGCACTTAAAGCTGTTATGTCCAGAGTTTGTTCCTTCAGATGTGTCCAGAGTTTCTTCCTTCTGGCAGGTTCATGGTCTTGCTCACTTCACTAATGAAGCTGCAGACCTTACTGGTGAGGGTGGCAGCACTTAAAGGTGTTATGACCAGAGTTTGTTCCTTCAGGTGTGTCCAGGGTTTCTGTCTTCTGGCAGGTTCATCGTCTTGCTCACTTCAAGAATGAAGCTGCCGACCTTTGTGGTGAGTGTTACAGCATTTGGAGTTGTTATGTCCAGAGTTTTTTCCTTCAGATGTGTCCAGCGTTTCTTCCTACTGGCAGGTTCATGGTCTTGCTCACTTCAAGAATGAAGCTGCAGACCTTACTATTGAGTGTTAAAGCACTTAAAGGTGTTATATCCAGAGTTTGATCCTTCAGATGTGTCCAGAGTTTCTTCCTTCTGGCAGGTTCATGGTGTTGCTCAATTCAAGAATGAAGCTGCAGACCTTAGTGTTGAGTGTTACAGCACTTAAAGGTGTTATGTCCAGAGTTTGTTCCTTCAGATGTGTCCAGAGTTTCTTCCTTCTTGGAGGTTCGTGGTCTTGTTCACTTCCTTAATGAAGCTGCAGACCTTACCGGTGAGTGTTACAGCACATAAAGGTGTTATGTCCAGAGTTTGTTCCTTCAGATGTGTCCAGGGTTTCTGTCTTCTGGCAGGATCATGGTCTTGCTCATTGAAGAATGAAGCTGCCGACCTTAGTGGTGAGTGTTACAGCATTTAAAGGTGTTATGTCCAGACTTTGTTCCTTCAGATATGTCCAGAGTTTCTTCCTTCTGGCAGGTTCATTGTCTTGCTCATTTCAAGAATGAAACTGCAGACTTTAGTGGTGAGTGTTACAGCACTTAAAGTTGTTATGTCCAGAGTTTGTTCCTTCAGATGTGTCCAGAGTGTCTTCCTTCTGGCAGCTTCATGGTCTTGCTCACTTCACTAATGAAGCTGCAGACCTTACTGGTGAGTGTTACAGCACTTAAAGATGTTATGTCCAGAGTTTGTTCCTTCAGATGTGTCCAGGGTTTCTGTCTTCTGGCAGGTTCATGTTATGGCTCACTTCAAGAATGAAGCTGCAGACCTTAGTGGTGAGAGTTACAGCACTTAAAGGTGTTATGTCCAGAGTTTTTTCCTTCAGATGTGTCCAGCGTTTCTTCCTTCTGGCAGGTTCATAGTCTTGCTCACTTCAAGAATGAAGCTGCAGACCTTACTGTTGAGTGTTAAGGCACTTAAAGGTGTTATGTCCAGAGTTTGTTCCTTCAGACGTGTCCAGAGTTTCTTCCTTCTGGCAGGTTCGTGGTGTTGCTCACTTCCAGAATGAAGCTGCAGACCTTAGTGTTGAGTGTTACAACACTTAAAGGTGTTATGTCCAGAGTTTTTTCCTTCAGATATATCCAGCGCTTCTTCCTTCTGGCAGGTTCATGGTCTTGCACACTTCAAGAATGAAGCTGCAGACCTTACTGTTGAGTTTTAAAGCACTTAAATTTGTTATGTCCAGAGTTTGTTCCTTCAGATGTGTCCAGAGGTTCTTCCTTCTGGCAGGTTCATGGTGTTGCTCACTTCAAGAATGAAGCTGCAGACCTTAGTGGTGAGTGTTACAGCACTTAAAGGTGTTATGTCCTGAGTTTGTTCCTTCAGATGTGTCAAGAGTTTCTTCCTTCTTGCAGGTTCGTGGTCTTGCTCACTTCCTTAATGAAGCTGCAGACCTTACTGGTGAATGTTACAGCACTTAAAGGTGTTATGTCCAGAGTTTGTTCCTCCAGATGTGTCCAGGGTTTCTGTCTTCTGGCAGTTTCATGGTGTTGCTCACTTCAAGAATGAAGCTGCAGTCCTTAGTGTTGAGTGTTACAGCACTTAAAGGTGTTATGTCCAGAGTTTGTTCCTTCAGATGATTCCAGAGTTTCTTCCTTCTTGCAGGTTCGTGGTCTTGCTCACTTCCTTAATGAAGCTGCAGACCTTACTGGTGAGTGTTACAGCACTTAAAGGTTTTAGGTCCAGAGTTTGTTCCTTCAGATGTGTCCAGTGTTTCTTCCTTCTGGCAGGTTCATGGTCTTGCTCACTTCAAGAATGAAGCTGCAGACTTTGTGGTGAGTGTTACAGCAGTTAAAGTTGTTATGTCCAGAATTTGTTCCTTCAGATGTGTCCAGTGTTTCTTCCTTCTGGCAGGTTCATGGTCTTGCTCACTTCAAGAATGAAGCTGCAGGCCTTGCTGCTGAGTGTTACAGCACTTAAAGCTCATATGTCCAGAGTTTGTTCCTTCAGATGTTTCCAGAGTTTCTTCCTTCTGGCACGTTCGTGGTCTTGCTCACTTCTTTAATGAAGCTGCAGACCTTACTTGTGAGTGTTACAGCACTTAAATGTGTTATGTCCAGAGTTTGTTTCTTCAGATGTGTCCAGAGTTTCTTCTTTCTGGCAGTTTCGTGGTCTTCCTCACTTCAAGAATGAAGCTGCAGACCTTACTGGTGAGTGTTACAGCACTTAAAGTTGTTATGTCCAGAGTTTGTTCCTTCAGATGTGTCCAGGGTTTCTATCTTCTGGCAGGTTCATGGTGTTGCTCACTTCAAGAATGAATCTGCCGACCTTAGTGGTGAGTTTTACAGCACTTAAAGGTGTTATGTCCAGAGTTTTTTCCTTCAGATATGTCCAGCGTTTCTTCCTTCTGGCAGGTTCATGGTCTTGCTCATTTCAAGAATGAAGCTGCAGACTTTTACGGTGAGTGTTACAGCACTTAAAGGTGTTTTGTCCAGAGTTTGTTGCTTCAGATGTGTCCAGAGTTTCTTTCTTCTGGCAGGTTCATGGTGTTGCTCACTTCAAGAATGAAGCTGCAGACCTTACTGGTGAGTGTTACAGCACTTAAAGCTGTTATGTCCAGAGTTTGTTCCTTCATATGTTTCCAGAGTTTCTTCCTTCTGGCAGGTTCGTGGTCTTGCTCACTTCTTTAATGAAGCTGCAGACCTTACTGGTGAGTGTTACAGCACTTAAAGTTGTTATGTCCAGAGTTTGTTTCTTCAGATGTGTCCAGAGATTCTTCCTTCTGGCAGTTTCCTGGTCTTCCTCACTTCAAGAATGAAGCTGCCGACCTTAGTGGTGAGTGTTACAGCACTTGAAGGTGTTATGTCCAGAATTCTTTCCTTCAGATGTGTCCAGCGTTTCTTCCTTCTGGCAGGTTCATGGTCTTCCTCACTTCAAGAATGAAGCTGCAGACCTTACTGTTGAGTGTTACAGCAATTAAAGTTGTTATATCCAGAGTTTGTTCCTTCAGATGTTTCCAGAGTTTCTTCCTTCTGGCAGGTTCGTGGTCTTGCTCACATCTTTAATGAAGCTGCAGACCTTACTGGTGAGTCTTACAGCACTTAAAGGTGTTATGTCCAGATTTTGTTTCTTCAGATGTGTCCAGAGTTTCTTCCTTCTTGCAGTTTCGTGGTCTTCCTCACTTCAAGAATGAAGCTGCAGACCTTACTGGTGAGTGTTACAGCACTTTAAGGTGTTATGTCCAGAGTTTGTTCCTTCAGATGTGTGCAGAGTTTCTTCCTTCTGGCAGGTTCATGTATTGCTCACTTCAAGAATGAAGCTGCAGACCTTAGTGGTGAGTGTTACAACACTTAATGTTATTATGTCCAGAGTTTGTTCCTTCAGATGTTTGCAGAGTTTCTTCCTTCTGGCAGGTTCTTGGTCTTGCTCACTTCAAGAATGAAGCTGCAGACCTTTACGGTGAGTGTTACAGCATTTAAAGGTGTTATGTCCAGAGTTTCTTACATCAGATGTGTCTAGAGTTCCTTCCTTCTGGGAGGTTCATGGACTTGCTCATTTCAAGAATGAAGCTGCAGACCTTAGTGGTGAGTTTTACAGCACTTAAAGGTGTTATATCCATGGTTTGTTCCTTCAGATCTGTCCAGAGATTCTTCTTTCTGGCAGGTTCATTGTCTTGCTCACTTCAAGAATGAAGCTGCAGACCTTAGTGGTGAGCGTTACAGCACTTAAGTTTTTATGTCCAGAGTTTGTTCCTTCAGATAAGTCCAGAGATTTTTCCTTCTGGCAGGTTCATGGTCTTGCTCACTTCAGGATTGAAACTGTAGACCTTTACGGTGAGTGTTACAGCAATGAAAGATGCTATATCCAGCGTTTGTTCCTTCAGATGTGTCCAGAGTTTCTTCCTTCTGGCTGGTTCATGGTCTTGCTCACTTCAAGAATGAAGCTGCAGACCTTTACGGTGAGTGTTACAGCATTTAAAGGTGTTATGTCCAGAGTTTGTTCCTTCAGATGTGTCCAGAGTTTCCTCCTTCTGGCAGGTTCATGGTCGTGCTCACTTCAAGAATGAAGCTGCAGACCTTAGTGGTGAACGTTACAGCACTTAAGTTTTTATGTCCAGAGTTTGTTCCTTCAGATAAGTCCAGAGATTCTTCCTTCTGGCATGTTCATGGTCTTGCTCACTTCAAGAATGAAACTGCAGACCCTTAGGGTGAGCGTTACAGCACTTAAGGGTGTTATGTCTAGAGATTGTTCCTTCATATGTGTCCAGTTTCTTCCTTCTGGAAGTTTCATGGTCTTGCTCACTGCAAGAATGAAACTGTAGACCTTTACGGTGAGTGTTACAGCACTGAAAGATGTTATGTCCAGAGTTTGTTACTTCAGATATGTCCAGAGTTTCTTCCTTCTGGCAGGTTCATGGTCTTGCTCACTTCAAGAAAGAAGCTGCAGAACTTAGTGGTGAGTTTTACAGCACTTAAAGGTGTTATGTCCACAGTTTGTTCCTTCAGATGTGTCCAGAGTTTCTTCCTTCTGGCAGGTTCATGGTATTGCTCACTTCAAGAATGAAGCTGCAGACCTTAGTGTTTAGTTTTACAGCACTTAAAGGTGTTATGTCCAGAGTTTGTTCCTTCAGATGTGTCCAGAGTTTCTTCCTTCTGGCAGGTTCCTGGTCTTGCTCACTTCAAGAATGAAGCTGCAGTCCTTTACGTTGAGTGTTACATCATTTAAATGTGTTATGTCCATAGTTTGTTCCTTCAGATGTGTGCAGAGTTTCTTCCTTCTGGGATGTTCATCTACTTGCTCATTTGAAGAATGAAGCTGCAGACCTTAGTGGTGAGTTTTACAGCACTTAAAGGTGTTATGTCCAGAGTTTGTTCCTTCAGATACGTCCAGAGTTTCTTCCTTCTGGCAGGTTCATGGTCTTGCTCACTTCAAGAATGAAGCTGCAGACCTTTACGGTGAGTGTTACAGCATTTAAAGGTGTTATGTCCAGAGTTTTTTCCATCAGATGTGTCTAGAGTTCCTTACTTCTGGGAGGTTCATGGACTTGCTCATTTCAAGAATGAAGCTGCAGACCGTAGTGGTGAGTTTTACAGCACTTAAAGGGGTTATGTCCAGAGTTTGTTCCTTCAGATGTGTCCAGAGTTTCTTCCTTCTGGCAGGTTCATGGTCTTGCTCACTTCAAGAATGAAGCTGCATACCTTAGTGGTGAGCGTTACAGCAGTTAAGTTTTTATGTCCAAAGTTTGTTCCTTCAGATATGTCCAGAGTTTCTTCCTTCTGGCTGGTTCATGGTCTTGCTCACTTCAAGAATGAAGCTGCAGACCTTTACGGTGAGTGTTACATCATTTAAAGGTGTTATGTCCAGAGTTTTTTACATCAGATGTGTCTAGAGTTCCTTCCTTCTGGGAGGTTCATGGATTTGCTCATTTCAAGAATGAAGCTGCAGACCTTAGTGGTGAGTTTTACAGCAACGTAAAGGTGTTATGTCCAGAGTTTGTTCCTTCAGATGTGTCCAGAGTTTCTTCCTTCTGGCAGGTTCATGGTCTTGGTCACTTCAAGAATGAAGCTGCAGAACTTAGTGGTGAGTTTTACAGCACTTAAAGGTGTTATGTCCAGAGTTTGTTCCTTCAGATGTGTCCAGAGTTTCTTCCTTCTGGCAGGTTCATGGTCTTGCTCACTTCAAGAATGAAGCTGCAGACCTTTACGTTGAGTGTTACAGCACTTAAAGGTGTTATGTCCAGAGATTGTTCCTTCAGATGTGTCCAGAGTTTCTTCCTTCTGGCAGGTTCATTGTCTTGCTCACTTCAAGAATGAAGCTGCGGACCTTAGTGGTGAGCGTTACAGCACTTAAGTTTTTATGTCCACAGTTTGTTCCTTCAGATAAGTCCAGAGTTTCTTCCTTCTGGCAGGTTCATGGTCTTGCTCAATTCAAGAATGAAGCTGCAGACCTTTACGGTGAGTGCTACAGCACTTAAAGGTGTTATGTCCAGATTTTTTTCCTTCACATGTGTCCACAGTTTCTTCCTTCTGGCAGGTTCATGGTCTTGCTCACTTCAAGAATGACGCAGCAGACCTTTACGGTGAGTTTTAAAGCATTTAAAGGTGTTATGTACAGAGTTTGTTCCTTCAGATGTGTCCAGTTTCTTCCTTCTGGCAGGTTCATGGTCTTGCTCACTTCAAGAATGAAACTGTAGACCTTTACGGTGAGTGTTACAGCAATGAAAGATGCTATGTCCAGAGTTTGTTCCTTCAGATGTGTCCAGAGTTTCTTCCTTCTGGCAGGTTCATGGTCTTGCTCACTTCAAGAAAGAAGCTGCAGAACTTAGTGGTGAGTTTTACAGCACTTAAAGGTGTTATGTCCATAGATTGTTCCTTCAGATGTGTCCAGTTTCTTCCTTCTGGCAGGTTCATGGACTTGCTCACTTCAAGAATGAAACTGTAGACCTTTACGGTGAGTGTTACAGCAAAGAAGGATGCTATGTCCAGAGTTTGTTCCTTCAGATGTGTCCAGAGTTTCTTCCTTCTGGCAGGTTCATGGTCTTGCTCATTTCAAGAATGAAGCTGCAGACCTTTACAGTGAGTGTTACAGCATTTAAAGGTGTTATGTCCAGAGTTTGTTCCATCAGATGTGTCTAGAGTTCCTTACTTCTGGGAGGTTCATGGACTTGTTCATTTCAAGAATGAAGCTGCAGACCGTAGTGGTGAGTATTATAGCACTTAAAGTGGTTATGTCCAGAGTTTGTTCCTTCAGATGTGTGCAGAGTTTCTTCCTTCTGGCAGGTTCATGGTATTGCTCACTTCAAGAATGAAGCTGCATACCTTAGTGGTGAGCGTTACAGCAGTTAAGTTTTTATGTCCAGAGTTTGTTCCTTCAGATAAGTCCAGAGTTTCTTCCTTCTGGCAGGTTCATGGTCTTGCTCACTTCAAGAATGAAGCTGCGGACCTTAGTGGTGAGCGTTACAGCACTTAAGTTTTTATGTCCAGAGTTTGTTCCTTCAGATAAGTCCAGAGTTTCTTCCTTCTGGCACGTTCATGGTCTTGCTCACTTCAAGAATGAAGCTGCAGACCTTTACGGTGAGTGTTACAGCACTTAAAGGTGTTATGTCCAGAGTTTGTTCCTTCAGATAAGTCCAGAGTTTCTTCCTTCTGGCAGGCTCATGGTCTTGCTCACTTTAAGAATGAAGCTGTAGACCTAAACGGTGAGTGTTACAGCAATGAAAGATGCTATGTCCAGAGTTTGTTGCTTCAGATGTGTCCAGAGTTTCTTCCTTCTGGCAGGTTCATCGTCTTGCTCACTTCAAGAATGAAGCTGCAGACCTTTACGGTGAGTGTTACAGCATTTAAAGGTGTTATGTCCATAGTTTGTTCCTTCAGATGTGTGCAGAGTTTCTTCCTTCTGGCAGGATCATGGTATTGCTCACTTCAAGAATGAAGCTGCAGACCTTAGTGGTGAGTGTTACAGCACTTAAAGTTGTTATGTCCAGAGTTTGTTCCTTCAGATATGTCCAGAGTTTCTTCTTTCTGGCAGGTTCATGGTCTTGCTCACTTCAAGAATGAAGCTGCAGTCCTTTACGGTGAGTGTTACATCATTTAAAGGTGTTATGTCCAGAGTTTTTTACATCAGATTTGTCTAGATTTCCTTCCTTCTGGGAGGTTCATGGACTTGCTCATTTGAAGAATGAAGCTGCAGACCTCAGTGATGAGTTTTACAGCACTTAAAGCTGTTATGTCCAGAGTTTGTTCCTTCAGATGTGTCCAGAGTTTCTTCCTTCTTGCAGGTTCATGGTCTTGTTCACTTCAAGAATGAAGCTGCAGACCTTTACGGTGAGTGTGACAGCACTTAAAGGTGTTATGTCCAGAGTTTGTTCCTTCAGATGTGTCCAGAGTTTCTTCCTTCTGGCAGGTTCATAGTCTTGCTCACTTCAAGAATGACGGAGCAGACCTTTACGGTGAGTGTTACAGCATTTAAAGGTGTTATGTCCAGAGATTTTTCCAACAGATGTGTCTAGAATTCCTTACTTCCGGGAGGTTCATGGACTTGCTCATTTCAAGAATGAAGCTGCAGACCTTAGTGGTGGGTTTTACAGCACTTAAAGGTGTTATGTCCAGAGTTTGTTCCTTCAGATGTGTCCAGAGTTTCTTCCTTCTGGCAGGTTCATGTTCTTGCTCACTTCAAGAATGAAGCTGCAGACCTTAGTGGTGATCATTACAGCACTTAAGTTTTTATATCCAGAGTTTGTTCCTTCAGATATGACCAGAGTTTCTTCCTTCTGGCAGGTTCATGGTCTTGCTCACTTCAAGAATGAAACTGCGGACCCTTACGGTGAGTGTTACAGAACTTAAAAGTGTTATGTCTAGATTTTGTTCCTTCAGATGTGTCCAGTTTCTTCCGTCTGGAAGGTTCATGGTCTTGCTCACTTCAAGAATGAAACTGTAGACCTTTACGGTGAGTGTTACAGCACTTAAATGTGTTATGTCCAGAGTTTGTTCCTTCAGATGTGTGCAGAGTTTCTTCTTTCTGGCAGGATCATGGTCTTGCTCACTTCAAGAATGAAGCTGCAGACCTTAGTGGTGAGCGTTACAGCACTTACGTTTTTATGTCCAGAGTTTGTTCCTTCACATAAGTCCAGAGTTTCTTCCTTCTGTCCGGTTCATGGTCTTGCTCACTTCAAGAATGAAGCTGCAGACCTTAGTAATGAGTGTTTCAGCACTTAAAGATGTTATTCCAGAGTTTGCTCCTTCAGATGTGTCCAGAGTTTCTTCCTTCTGGCAGGTTCATGGTCTTGCTCACTTCAAGAATGAAGCTGCAGACCTTTACGGTGAGTGTTACAGCACTTAAAGGCGTTATGTCCAGAGTTTTTTCCTTCAGATGTGTCCTGAGTTTCTTCCTTCTGGCAGGCTCATGGTCTTGCTCACTTCAAGAATGAAACTGCAGACCCTTACGGTGAGTGTTACAGCATTTAAAGGTGTTATGTCTAGAGTTTGTTCCTTCATATGTGTCCAGTTTCTTCCTTCTGGAAGGTTCATGGTCTTGCTCACTTCAAGAATGAAACTATAGACTTTTACGGTGAGTGTTACAGCACTGAAAGATTTTATGTCCAGAGTTTGTTCCTTCAGATGTGTCCAGAGTTTCTTCCTTCTGGCAGGTTCATGGTCTTGCTCACTTCAAGAATGAAGCTGCAGACCTTTTCGGTGAGTGTTACAGCATTTAAAGGTGTTCTGTCCATAGTTTGTTCCTTCAGATGTGTGCAGAGTTTCTTCCTTCTGGCAGTTCGTGGTATTGCTCACTTCAAGAATGATGCTGCAGTCCTTAGTGGTGAGTGTTACAGCACTTAAAGTTGTTATGTCCAGAGTTTGTTCCTTCAGATGTGTCCAGAGTTTCTTCCTGCTGGCAGGTTCATGGTCTTGCTCACTTCAAGAATGAAGCTGCAGACCTTAGTGTTGAGCGTTACAGCAGTTAAGTTTTTATGTCCAGAGTTTGTTCCTGCAGATAAGTCCGGAGTTACTTCCTTCTGGCAGGTTCATGGTCTTGCTCACTTCAAGAATGAAGCTGCAGACCTTTACGGTGAGTGTTATAGCACTTAAACGTGTTATGTCCAGAGTTTGTTCCTTCAGATGTATCCAGAGTTTCTTCCTTCTGGCAGGTTCATGGTCTTGCTCACTTCAAGAATGACGCAGCAGTCCTTTACGGTGAGTGTTACAGCATTTAACGGTGTTATGTCCAGAGTTTGTTCCTTCAGATGTGTCCAGTTTCTTCCTTCTGGCAGGTTCATGGTCTTGCTCACTTCAAGAATGAAACTGTAGACTTTTACGGTGAGTGTTACAGCAATGAAAGATGCTATGTCCAGAGTTTGTTCCTTCAGATGTGTCCAGAGTTTCTTCCTTCTGGCAGGTTCATGGTCTTGCTCACTTCAAGAATGAAGCTGCAGACCTTTAAGGTGAGTGTTACAGCATTTAAAGGTGTTATGTCCAGAGTTTTTTCCAACAGATGTGTCTAGAATTCCTTACTTCTGGGAGGTTCATGGACTTGCTCATTTCAAGAATGAAGCTGCAGACCTTAGTGGTGAGTTTTACAGCACTTAAAGGTGTTATGTCCAGAGTTTGCTCCTTCAGATGTGTCCAGAGTTTCTTCCTTCTGGCAGGTTCATGGTCTTGCTCACTTCAAGAATGAAGTTGCAGACCTTAGTGGTGATCATTACAGCACTTAAGTTTTTATATCCAGAGTTTGTTCTTTCAGATATGCCCAGAGTTTCTTCCTTCTGGCAGGTTCATGGTCTTGCTCACTTCAAGAATGAAACTGCAGACCCTTACGGTGAGTGTTACAGCACTTAAAAGTGTTATGTCTAGAGTTTGTTTCTTCAGATGTGTCCAGTTTCTTCAGTATGGAAGGTTCATGGTCTTGCTCACTTCAAGAATGAAACTGTAGACTTTTACGGTGAGTGTTACAGCACTGAAAGATGTTATGTCCAGAGTTTGTTCCTTCAGATATGTCCAGAGTTTCTTCCTTCTAGCAGGTTCCTGGTCTTGCTCACTTCAAGAATGAAGCTGCAGAAATTAGTGGTCAGTTTTACAGCACTTAATGGTGTTATGTCCAGAGATTGTTCCTTCAGATGTGTCCAGACTTTCTTCCTTCTGGCAGGTTCATGGTCTTGCTCACTTCAGGAATGAAGCTGCAGACCTTAGTGGTGGGTGGTACAGCACTTAAGATGTTATGTCCAGAGTTTGTTCCTTCAGATGTGTCCAGAGTTTCTTCCTTCTGGCAGGTTCATGGTCTTGCTCACTTCAAGAATGAAGCTGCAGTCCTTTACGGTCAGTGTTACAGCATTTTAAGATGTTATGTCTAGAGTTTGTTCCTACAGATGTGTCCAGAGGTTCTTCCTTCTGGCAGGATCATGGTCTTGCTCATTTCAGGAATGAAGCTGCAGACCTTAGTGGTGAGCGATACGGCACTTAAGTTTTTATGTCCAGAGTTTGTTCCTTCACATAAGTCCATAGTTTCTTCCTTCTGTCCGGTTCATGGTCTTGCTCACTTCAAGAATGAAGCTACAGAACTTAGTGGTGAGTTTTACAGCACTTAAAGGTGTTATGTCCAGAGTTTTTTCCTTCAGATGTGTCCAGACTTTCTTCCTTCTGGCAGGTTCATGGTCTTGCTCACTTCCAGAATGAAGCTGCAGACGTTAGTGGTGAGTGTTACAGCACTTAAAGATGTTATGTCCAGAGTTTGTTCCTTCAGATGTGTCCAGAGTGTCTTCCTTCTGGCAGGTTCATGGTCTTGCTCACTTCAAGAATGAAACTGTAGACCTTTACGGTCAGTGTTATAGCACTTAAAGGTGTTATGTCCAGAGTTTTTTCCTTCAGATATGTCCAGAGTTTCTTCCTTCTGGCAGGTTCATGGTATTACACACTTCAAGAATGAAGCTGCAGACCTTTACGGTGAGTGTTATAGCATTTGAAGGTGTTATGTCCAGAGTTTGTTCCATCAGATGTGTCTAGAGTTCCTTACTTCTGGGAGGTTCATGGACTTGCTCATTTGAAGAACGAAGCTGCAGACGGTAGTGGTGAGTTTTACAGCACTTAAAGGTGTTATGTCCAGAGTTTGTTCCTTCAGATGTGTCCAGAGATTCCTCCTTCTGGCATGTTCATGGTCTTGCTCACTTCCTTAATGAAGCTGCAGACCTTACTGGTGAGTGTTACAGCACTTAAAGGTGTTACGTCCAGTGTTTGTTCCTTCAGATGTGTCCAGGGTTTCTGTCTTCTGTCAGATTCATGGTCTTTCTCACTTCAAGAATGAAGCTGCAGACCTTAGTGGTGAGTGTTACAGCACTTAAAGGTGTTATGTCCAGAGTTTTTTCATTCAGATGTGTCCAGAGTTTCTTCCTTCTTGCAGTTTCGTGGTCTTGCTCACTTCCTTAATGAAGCTGCAGGCTTTACTGGTGAGTGTTACAGCACTTAAAGGTGTTATGTCCAGAGTTTGTTCCTTCAGATGTGTCCAGAGTTTCTTCCTTCTAGCAGGTTCATGGTCTTGCTCATTTCAAGAATGAAGCTGTAGACCTTTTCGGTGTGTGTTACAGCATTTATAGGTGTTATGTCCATAGTTTGTTCCTTCAGATGTGTGCAGAGTTTCTTCCTTCAGGCAGGTTCATGGTATTGCTCACTTCAGGAATAAAGCTGCAGACCTTAGTCGTGAGTGTTACAGCACTTAAGTTGTTATGTCCAGAGTTTGTTCCTTCAGATGTGTCCAGAGTTTCTTCCTTCTGGCAGGTTCATGGACTTCCTCATTTCAAGAATGAAGCTGCAGACCTTACTGGTGAGTTTTACAGCACTTAAAGGTGTTATGTCCAGAGTTTGTTCCTTCACATGTGTCCAGAGTTTCTTCCTTCTGGCAGGTTCATGGTCTTGCTCACTTCAAGAATGAAGCTGCAGACCTTAGTGGTGAGCGTTACAGCAGTTAAGTTTTTATGTCCAGAGTTTGTTCCTTCAGATAAGTCCAGAGTCTCTTCCTTCTGGCAGATTCATGGTCTTGCTCACTTCAAGAATGAAGCTGCGGACCTTAGTGGTGAGCGTTACAGCACTTAAGTTTTTATGTCGAGAGTTTGTTCCTTCAGATAAGTCCAGAGTTTCTTCCTTCTGGCAGGTTCATGGTCTTGCTCACTTCAAGAATGAAGCTGCAGACCTTTACGGTGAGTGTTACAGCACTTAAAGGTGCTATGTCCAGAGATTGTTCCTTCAGAAGTGTCCACAGTTTCTTCCTTCTGGCAGGTTCATGGTCTTGCTCACTTCAAGAATGACGCAGCAGACCTTTACGGTGAGTGTTACAGCATTTAAAGGTGTTATGTCCAGAGTTTGTTCCTTCAGATGTGTCCAGTTTCTTCCTTCTGGCAGGTTCATGGTCTTGCTCACTTCAATTATGAAACTGTAGAACTTTACGGTGAGTGTTACAGCAATGAAAGAGGCTAGGTCCAGAGTTTTTTCCTTCAGATGTTTCCAGGGTTTCTTCCTTCTTTCAGGTTCATGGTCTTGCTCACTTCAAGAATGAAGCTGCAGACCTTTACGGTGAGTGTTACAGCATTTAAAGGTTTTATGTCCAGAGTTTGTTCCATCAGATGTGTCTAGAGTTCCTTACTTCTGGGAGGTTCATGGACTTGCTCATTTCAAGAATGAAGCTGCAGACCTTTACGGTGAGTGTTTTAGCACGTAAAGGTGTTATGTCCAGAGTTTGTTCCTTCAGATGTTTCCAGAGTTTCTTCCTTCTGGCAGGTTCATGGTCTTGCTCACTTCAAGAATGAAGCTGCAGAACTTTGTGGTGAGTTTTACAGCACTTAAAGGTGTTATGTCCAGAGTTTTTCCTTCAGATGTGTCCAGAATTTCTTCCTTCTGACAGTTCCATGGTGTTGCTAACTTCAAGAATGATGCTGCAGACCTTAGTGTTGAGTGTTATAGCACTTAAAGGTGTTATGTCCAGATTTTGTTCCATCAGATGTGTCTAGAGTTTCTTCCTTCTGGGAGGTTCATGGTCTTGCTCACTTCGAGAATGAAGCTGCATACTTTAGTGTTGAGTTTTACAGCACTTAAAGGTGTTAGGTCCAGAAGTTGTTCCTTCAGATGTGTCCAGAGTTTCTTACTTCTGGCAGGTTCATGGTCTTGCTCACTTCAAAAATGAAGCTGCAGACCTCAGTGGTGAGCGTTACACCACTTAAGTTGTCAAGTCCAGTGTTTCTTCCTTCAGATGTGTCCAGAGTTTCTTCCTTCGGGCAGGTTCATGGTCCTGCTCACTTCAAGAATGAAGCTCCAGTCCTTTACGGTGAGTGTTACAGCACTTAAAGGTGTTATGTCCAGAGTTTGTTCCTTCAGATGTGTGCAGAGTTTCTTCCTTCTGGCAGGTTCATAGTCTTGCTCACTTCAAGAATGAAACTGCAGACCCTTACGATGAGTGTTACAGCACTTAAAGGTTTTATGTCCAGAGTTTGTTCCTTCAGATGTGTCCAGTTTGTTCCCTCTGGCAGGTTCATGGTCTTGCTTACTTCAAAATTGAAACTGTAGACCTTTACGTTTAGTGTTATAGCACTGAAAGATGTTATGTCCAGAGTTTGTTCCTTCATATGTGTCCAGAGTTTCTTCCATCTGGCAGGTTCATGTCCTTGCTCACTTCAAGAATGAAGCTGCAGAACTTAGTGGTGAGTTTTACAACACTTAAGGGTGTTATGTCCAGAGTTTGTTCCCTCAGATGTGTCCAGAGTTTCTTTCTTTTGGCAGGTTCATGGTCTTGCTCACTTTAGGAATGAAGCTGCAGACCTTTACCGTGAGTGTTACAGCACTTAACGGTATTATGTCCATAGTTTGTTCCTTCAGATGTGTCCCGAGTTTCTTCCTTCTGGCAGATTCATGGTCTTGGTAGCTTCAACAATGAAGCTGCAGACCTTTACGGTGAGTGTTACAGCACTTAATGTTGTTATGTCCAGAGTTTGTTCCTTCAGATGTGTCCAGAGTTTCTTCCTTCTGGCAGGTTCATGGTCTTCCTCACTTCAACAATGAAGCTGCAGACCTTAGTGGTGAGCGTTACAGCAATTAAGTTGTTATGTCCAGAGTTTTTTCCTTCAGATGTGTCCAGAGATTCTTCCTTCTGGCAGGTTCATGGTCTTGCTCACTTCAAGAATGGAACTGCAGACCCTTACGGTGAATTTTACAGCACTTAAAGTTGTTATGTCCAGAGTTTGTTCCTTCAGATGTGTCCATTTTCTTCCTTCTGGCTGGTTCATGGTCCTGCTCACTTCAAGTATGAAATTGTAGACCTTTACGGTGAGTGTTACAGCACTGAAACATGTCATGTCCAGAGTTTGTTCCTTCAGATATGTCCAGAGTTTGTTCCTTCTGGCAGGTTCATGGTCTTGCTCACTTCAAGAATGAAGCTGCGGACCTTTAGGGTGAGTGTTACAGCACTTAAAGGTGTTATGTCCATAGTTTGTTCCTTCAGATGTGTCCAGTTTCTTTCTTCTGGCAGGTTCATGGTCTTGCTCACTTCAAGAATGAAGCTGCAGACCATACTGGTGAGTGTTACAGCACTTAAAGGTGTTATGTCCAGAGTTTTTTCCTACAGATGTCTCCAGAGTTTCTTCCTTCTGGCAGGTTCGTGGTCTTGTTCACTTCAAGAATGATGCTGCAGACCTTAGTGGTGAGTGTTACAGCACTAAAAGGTGTTATGTCCAGAGTTTGTTCCTGCAGAAATATCCAGAGTTTCTTCCTTCTGGCAGGTTTATGGTCTTGCTCACTTTAAGAATGAAGCTGCAGACCTTACTGGTGAGTGTTACAGCAGTTAAAGTTTTTATGTCCAGAGTTTGTTCCTTCAGATGTGTCCAGAGTTTCTTCCTTCTGGCAGGTTCATGGTCTTGCTCACTTCAAGAATGAAGCTGCAGACCTTAGTGGTGAGTGTTACAGCTCTTAAAGCTGTTATGTCCAGAGTTTTTTCATTCAGATGTCTCCAGAGTTTCTTCCTTCTGGCAGGTTCGTGGTCTTGCTCACTTCAAGAATGAAGCTGCAGACCTTACCGGTGAGGGTTACAGCACTTAAAGGTGTTATGTCCAGAGTTTGTTCCTTCAGATGTGTCCAGAGTTTCTTCCTTCTGACAGGTTCGTGGTCTTCCTCACTTCCTTAATGAAGCTGCAGACCATACTGGTGAGTGTTACAACACTTAAAGCTGTTATGTCCAGAGATTGTTGCTTTAGATATGTCCAGAGTTTCTTCTTTCTGACAGTTTCATGGTCTTGCTCACTTCAAGTATGAAACTGCAGACCTTACTGGTGAGTGTTACAGCACTTAAAGGTGTTATTTCCAGAGTTTGTTCCTTCAGATATGTCCAGAGTTTCTTCCTTCTGGCAGGTTCATGGTCTTGCTCACTTCAAGAATGAAGCTGCAGACCTTTGCGGTGAGTGTTACAACACCTAAAGGTGTTATATCCAGAGATTGTTCCTTCAGATGTGTCCAGAGTTTCTTCCTTCTGTCCGGTTCACGGTCTTGCTCACTTCAAGAATGAAGCTGCAGACCTTACTGGTTAGTGTTACAGCACTTAAAGGTGTTATTTCCAGAGTTTGTTCCTTCAGATGTGTCCAGTTTCTTCCTTCTGGCAGGTTCATGGTCTTGCTCACTTCAAGAATAAAACTGTAGAACTTTACGGTTAGTGTTACAGCACTGAAAGATGTTATGTCCAGAGTTTGTTCCTTCAGATGTGTCCAGAGTTTCTTCCATCTGGCAGGTTCATGTCCTTGCTCACTTCAAGAATGAAGCTGCAGAACTTAGTGGTGGGTTTTACAACACTTAAGGGTGTTATGTCCAGAGTTTGTTCCCTGAGATGTGTCCAGAGTTTCTTTCTTTTGGCAGGTTCATGGTCTTGCTCACTTTAGGATTGAAGCTGCAGACCTTTACCGTGAGTGTTACAGCACTTAACGGTATTATGTCCATAGTTTGTTCCTTCAGATGTGTCCCGAGTTTCTTCCTTCTGGCAGATTCATGGTCTTGGTAGCTTCAAGAATGAAGCTGCAGACCTTTACGGTGAGTGTTACAGCACTTAATGTTGTTATGTCCAGAGTTTGTTCCTTCAGATGTGTCCAGAGTTTCTTCCTTCTGGCAGGTTCATGGTCTTCCTCACTTCAACAATGAAGCTGCAGACCTTAGTGGTGAGCGTTACAGTAATTAAGTTGTTATGTCCAGAGTTTTTTCCTTCAGATGTGTCCAGAGTTTCTTCCTTCTGGCAGGTTCATGATCTTGCTCACTTCAAGAATGGAACTGCAGACCCTTACGGTGAGTTTTACAGCACTTAAAGTTGTTATGTCCAGAGTTTGTTCCTTCAGATGTGTCCATTTTCTTCCTTCTGGCTGGTTCATGGTCCTGCTCACTTCAAGAATGAAATTGTAGACCTTTACGGTGAGTGTTACATGACTGATACATGTCATGTCCAGAGTTTGTTCCTTCAGATATGTCCAGAGTTTCTTCCTTCTGGCAGGTTCATGGTCTTGCTCACTTCAAGAATGAAGCTGCGGACTTTAAGGGTGAGTGTTACAGCACTTAAAGGTGTTATGTCCAGAGTTTGTTCCTTCAGATGTGTCCAGAGTTTCTTTCTTCTGGCAGGTTCATGGTCTTGCTCACTTCAAGAATGACGCAGCAGACCTTTACGGTGAGTGTTACAGCATTTAAAGGTGTTATGTCCAGAGTTTGTTCCTTCAGATGTGTGCAGAGTTTCTTCCTTCTGGCAGGTTCATGGTCTTGCTCACTTCAAGAATGAAGCTGCAGATCTTTCTGGTGAGTTTTACAGCACTTAAAGGTGTTATGTCCAGAGTTTTTTCCTTCAGATGTGTCCAGAGTTTCTTCCTTCTGACAGGTCCATGGTGTTGCTAACTTCAAGAATGATGCTGCAGACCTTAGTGTTGAGTGTTACAGCACTTAAAGGTGTTATGTCCAGATTTTGTTCCATCAGATGTGTCTAGAGTTTCTTCCTTCTGGGAGGTTCATGGTCTTGCTCACTTCGAGAATGAAGCTGCATAATTTAGTGTTGAGTTTTACAGCACTTAAAGGTGTTAGGTCCAGAAGTTGTTCCTTCAGATGTGTCCAGAGGTTTTACTTCTGGCAGGTTCATGGTCTTGCTCACTTCAAGAATGAAGCTGCAGACCTTAGTGGTGAGCGTTACACCACTTAAGTTGTCATGTCCAGTGTTTCTTCCTTCAGATGTGTCCAGAGTTTCTTCCTTCGGGCAGGTTAATGGTCTTGCTCACTTCAAGAATGAAGCTCCAGTCCTTTACGGTGAGTGTTACAGCACTTAAAGGTGTTATGTCCAGAGTTTGTTTCTTCAGATGTGTGCAGAGTTTCTTCCTTCCGGCAGGTTCATAGTCTTCCTCACTTCAAGAATGACACTGCAGACCCTTACGATGAGTGTTACAGCACTTAAAGGTTTTATGTCCAGAGTTTGTTCCTTCAGATGTGTCCAGTTTGTTCCCTCTGGCAGGTTCATGGTCTTGCTTACTTCAAAATTGAAACTGTAGACCTTTACGGTTAGTGTTATAGCACTGAAAGATGTTATGTCCAGAGTTTGTTCCTTCAGATGTGTCCAGAGTTTCTTCCATCTGGCAGGTTCATGTCCTTGCTCACTTCAAGAATGAAGCTGCAGAACTTAGTGGTGAGTTTTACAGCACTTAAGGGTGTTATGTCCAGAATTTGTTCCCTCAGATGTGTCCAGAGTTTCTTTCTTTTGGCAGGTTCATGGTCTTGCTCACTTTAGGAATGAAGCTGCAGACCTTTACCGTGAGTGTTACAGCACTTAACGGTATTATGTCCATAGTTTGTTCCTTCAGATGTGTCCCGAGTTTCTTCCTTCTGGCAGATTCATTGTCTTGGTAGCTTCAAGAATGAAGCTACAGACCTTTACGGTGAGTGTTACAGCACTTAATGTTGTTATGTCCAGAGTTTGTTCCTTCAGATGTGTCCAGAGTTTCTTCCTTCTGGCAGGTTCATGGTCTTCCTCACTTCAACAATGAAGCTGCAGACCTTAGTGGTGAGCGTTACAGTAATTAAGTTGTTATGTCCAGGGTTTTTTCCTTCAGATGTGTCCAGAGTTTCTTCCTTCTGGCAGGTTCATGGTCTTGCTCACTTCAAGAATGGAACTGCAGACCATACTGGTGAGTGTTACAGCACTTAAAGGTGTTATGTCCAGAGTTTTTTCCTTCAGATATCTCCAGAGTTTCTTCCTTCTGGCAGGTTCGTGGTCTTGTTCATTTCAAGAATGGTGCTGCAGACCTTAGTGGTGAGTGTTACAGCAGTAAAAGGTGTTATGTCCAGAGTTTGTTCCTGCAGAAATATCCAGAATTTCTTCCTTCTGGCAGGTTTATGGTCTTGCTCACTTTAAGAATGAAGCTGCAGACCTTACTAGTGAGTGTTACAGCAGTTAAAGTTGTTATGTCCAGAGTTTGTTCCTTCAGATGTGTCCAGAGTTTCTTCCTTCTGGCAGGTTCATGGTCTTGCTCACTTCAAGAATGAAGCTGCAGACCTTAGTGGTGAGTGTTACAGCTCTTAAAGCTGTTATGTACAGAGTTTTTCCTTCAGATGTCTCCAGAGTTTCTTCCTTCTGGCAGGTTCGTGGTCTTGCTCACTTCAAGAATGAAGCTGCAGACCTTACCGGTGAGGGTTACAGCACTTAAAGGTGTTATGTCCAGAGTTTGTTCCTTCAGATGTGTCCAGAGTTTCTTCCTTCTGGCAGGTTCGTGGTCTTCCTCACTTCCTTAATGAAGCTGCAGACCATACTGGTGAGTGTTACAACACTTAAAGCTATTATGTCCAGAGATTGTTGCTTTAGATATGTCCAGAGTTTCTTCCTTCTGACACTTTCATGGTCTTGCTCACTTCAAGAATGAAGCTGCAGACCTTACTGGTGAGTGTTACAGCACTTAAAGTTGTTATTTCCAGAGTTTCTTCCTTCAGATATGTCCAGAGTTTCTTCCTTCTGGCAGGTTCATGGTCTTGCTCACTTCAAGAATGAACCTGCAGACCTTTGCGGTGAGTGTTACAACACCTAAAGGTGTTATATCCAGAGATTGTTCCTTCAGATGTGTCCAGAGTTTCTTCCTTCTGTCAGGTTCACGGTCTTGCTCACTTCAAGAATGAAGCTGCAGACCTTACTGGTTAGTGTTACAGCACTTAAAGGTGTTATTTCCAGAGTTCGTTCCTTCAGATGTGTCCAGTTTCTTCCTTCTGGCAGGTTCATGGTTTGCTCACTTCAAGAATGAAACTGTAGAACTTTACGGTGAGTGTTACAGCAATGAAAGAGGCTATGTCCAGAGTTTTTTCCTTCAGATGTGTCCAGAGTTTCTTCCTTCTGGCAGGTACATGGTCTTGCTCACTTCAAGAATGAAGCTGCAGACCTTTACGGTGAGTGTTACAGCATTTAAAGGTTTTATGTCCAGAGTTTGTTCCATCAGATGAGTCTAGAGTTCCTTACTTCTGGGAGGTTCATGGACTTGCTCATTTCAAGAATGAAGCTGCAGACCTTTACGGTGAGTGTTATAGCACTTAAAGGTGTTATGTCCAGAGGTGGTTCCTTCAGATGTTTCCAGAGTTTCTTCCTTCTGGCAGGTTCATGATCTTGCTCACTTCAAGAATGAAGCTGCAGAACTTTGTGGTGAGTTTTACAGCACTTAAAGGTGTTATGTCCAGAGTTTTTTCCTTCAGATGTGTCCAGAGTTTCTTCCTTCTGACAGGTCCATGGTGTTGCTAACTTCAAGAATGATGCTGCAGACTTTAGTGTTGAGTGTTACAGCACTTAAAGGTGTTATGTCCAGATTTTGTTCCATCAGATGTGTCTAGAGTTTCTTCCTTCTGGAAGGTTCATGGTCTTGCTCACTTCGAGAATGAAGCTGCATACTTTAGTGGTGAGTTTCACAGCACTTAAAGGTGTTAGGTACAGAAGTTGTTCCTTCAGATGTGTCCAGAGTTTCTTCCTTCTGGCAGGTTCGTGGTCTTTCTCACTTCCTTAATGAAGCTGCAGACCATACTGGTGAGTGTTACAACACTTAAAGCTGTTATGTCCAGAGATTTTTGCTTTAGATATGTCCAGAGTTTCTTCCTTCTGACAGTTTCATGGTCTTGCTCACTTCAAGAATGAAGCTGCAGACCTTACTGGTGAGTGTTACAGCACTTAAAGGTGTTATTTCCAGAGTTTGTTACTTCAGATATGTCCAGAGTTTCTTCCTTCTGGCAGGTTCATGGTCTTGCTCACTTCAAGAACGAAGCTGCAGACCTTTGCGGTGAGTGATACAACACCGAAAGGTGTTATATCCAGAGTTTGTTCCTTCAGATGTGTCCAGAGTTTCTTCCTTCTGTCAGGTTCACGGTCTTGCTCACTTCAAGAGTGAAGCTGCAGACCTTACTGGTTAGTGTTACAGCACTTAAAGGTGTTATTTCCAGAGTTTGTTCCTTCAGATGTGTCCAGAGTTTCTTCCTTCTGGCAGGTTCATGTTCTTGCTCCCTTCACGAATGAAGCTGCAGACCTTACTGTTGAGTGTTAAAGCACTGAACGGTGATATGTCCAGAATTTGTTCCTTCAGATGTGTCCAGAGTTTCTTCCTTCTTGCAGATTCATGGTGTTGCTCACTTCAAGAATGAAGCTGCAGACCTTAGTGATGAGTGTTACAGCACGTTAAGGTGTTATGTCCAGAGTTTTTTCCTTCAGATGTGTCCAGCGTTTCTTCCTTCTGGCAGGTTCATCGTCTTGCTCACTTCAAGAATGAAGCTGCAGACCTTACTGTTGAGTGTTAAAGCACTTAAAGCTGTTATGTCCAGAGTTTGTTCCTTCAGATGTGTACAGAGTGTCTTGCTTCTGGCAGGTTCATGGTGTTGCTCACTTCCAGAATTAAGCTGCAGACCTTAGTGTTGAGTGTTACAGCACTTAATGCTGTTATGTCCAGAGTTTGTTCCTTCAGAAGTGTCCAGAGTTTCTTCCTTCTTGCAGGTTCGTGGTCTTGCTCAATTCCTTAATGAAGCTGCAGACCTTCCTGGTGAGTGTTACAGCACTTAAAGGTGTTATGTCCAGAGTTTTTTCCTTCAGATGTCTCCAGAGTTTCTTCCTTCTGGCAGGTTCGTGGTCTTGTTCACTTCAAGAATGATGCTGCAGACCTTAGTGGTGAGTGTTACAGCACTAAAAGGTGTTATGTCCAGAGTTTGTTCCTGCAGAAATATCCAGAGTTTCTTCCTTCTGGCAGGTTTATGGTCTTGCTCAATTTAAGAATGAAGCTGCAGACCTTACTGGTGAGTGTTACAGCACTTTAAGGTGTTATGTCCAGAGTTTTTTCCTTCAGATGTGTCCAGAGTTTCTTCCTTCTGGCAGGTTCATGGTCTTGCTCACTTCAAGAATGAAGCTGCAGACCTTTGCGGTGAGTGTTGCAACTATTAAAGGTGTTATGTCCAGAGTTTGTTCCTTCAGATATGTCAAGAGTTTCTTCCTTCTGGCAGGTTCGTGGTCTTGCTCACTTCTTTAATGAAGCTGCAGACCTTACTGGTGAGTGTTATAGCACTTAAAGGTGTTATGTCCGGAGATTGTTCCTTCAGATGTGTCCAGAGTTTCTTCCTTCTGGCAGGTTCCAGGATTGCTCACTTCAACAATGAAGCTTCAGACCTTACTGGTGAGTATTACGGCACTTAAATGTGTTATGTCCGGAGTTTGTTCCTTCAGATGTGTCCAGAGTTTCTTCCTTCTGACAGGTTCCTGGCTTGCTCACTTCAAGAATGAAGCTGCAAACATTTGCGGTGAGTGTTGCAGCACTTAAAGTGTTATTTCCAGAGTTTGTTCCTTCAGATGTGTCCAGAGTTTCTTCCTTCTGGCAGGTACACGGTCTTGCGCACTTCAAGAATGAAGCTGCAGACCTTACTGGTGAGTGTTACTGCACTTTAAGTTGTTATGTCCAGACTTTTTTCCTTCAGATCTGTCCAGAGTTTCTTCCTTCTGGCAGGTTCATGGTCTTGCTCACTTCAAGAATGAAGCTGCAGACCTTTGCGGTGAGTGTTGCAGCACTTAAAGGTGTTATGTCCAGAGTTTGTTCCTTCAGATGTGTCTAGAGTTTCTTCCTTCTGGCAGGTTCACGGTCTTGCTCACTTCAAGAATGAAGCTGCAGACCTTACTGGTGAGTGTTACAGCACTTTAAAGTGTTATGTCCAGAGTTTTTTCCTTCAGATTTGTCCACAGTTTCTTCCTACTGGCAGGTTCATGGTCTTGGTCACTTCAAGAATGAAGCTGCAGACCTTACTAGTGAGTGTTACAGCACTTAAAGGTGTTATTTCCATTGTTTGCTCCTTCAGATGTGTCCAGAGTTTCTGTCTTCTGGCAGGTTCATGGTCTTGCTCACTTCAAGAATGAAGCTGCGGACCTTAGTGGTGAGTGTTACAGCACTTAAATGTGTTATACACACAGTTTTTTCCTTCAGATGTGTCCAGGGTTTCTGTCTTCTGGCAGGTCCATGGTCTTGCTCATTTAAAGAATGAAGCTGCAGACCTTAGTGGTGTGTGTTACAGCACTTAAATGTGTTATGTCCAGAATTTGTTCCTTCAGATATGTCCAGAGTTTCTTCCTTCTTGCAGGTTCGTGGTCTTGCTGACTTCACTAATGAAGCTGCAGGCCTTACTGGTGAGTGTTACAACACTTAAAGGTGTCATGTCCAGAGTTTGTTCCTTCAGATGTGTCCAGAGTTTCTTCCTTCTGGCAGTTTCGTGATCTTGCTCACTTCAAGAACGAAGCTGCAGACCTTAGTGGTGAGTGTTACAGCACTTAAAGGTGTTATGTCCAGAATTTTTTCCTTCAGATGTGTCCAGCGTTTCTTCCTTCTGGCAGGATTATGGTCTTGCACACTTCAAGAATGAAGCTGCAGACCTTACTGTTCAGTTTTAAAGCACTTAAAGGTGTTATGTCCAGAGTTTGTTCCTTCAGATGTGTCTAAAGTTTCTTCCTTCTGGCAGGTTCACGGTCTTGCCCACTTCAAGAATGAAGCTGCAGACCTTACTGGTGAGTGTTACAGCACTTTAAGTTGTTATGTCCAGAGTTTTTTCCTTCAGATGTGTCCAGAGTTTCTTCCTACTGGCAGTTTAATGGTCTTGGTCACTTCAAGAATGAAGGTGCACACCTCAGTGGTGCCTGTTACAGCACTTAAAAGTGTTATGTCCAGCGTTTGATCCTTCAGATGTGTCCAGAGTTTCTTCCTTCCGGGAGGTTCGTGGTCTTGCTCACTTCAAGAATGAAGCTGCAGACCTTAGTGGTGAGTGTTAAAGCACTTAAAGGTGTTATGTCCGGAGTTTTTTCCTTCAGATGTGTCCAGAGTTTCTTCCTTCTGGGAGGTTCATGGTCTTGCTCACTTCAATAATGAAGCTGCAGACCTTACTGTTGAGTGTTACAGCACTTAAAGGTGTTATGTAAAGAGTTTGTTCCTTCAGATGTGTCCAGAGTTTCTTCTTTCTGGCAGGTTCATGGTCTTGCTCACTTCAAGAATGAAGCTGCAGACCTTACTGGTGTGTGTTACAGCACTAAAGGTGTTATGTCCAGAGTTTGTTCCTTCAGATGTGTGCAGAGTTTCTTCCTTCTGACAGATTCATGGTCTTGCTCACTTCAAGAATGAAGCTGCAGACCTTACTGGTGAGTGTTACAGCACTTAAAGGTGTTATGTCCAGAGTTTGTTCCTTCAGTTGTTTCCAGAGTTTCTTCCTTCTGACAAGTTCGTGGTCTTGCTCACTACCTTAATGAAGCTGCAGACCTTACTGTTGAGTGTTACAGCACTTAAAGCTGTTATGTCCAGTGTTTGTTCCTTCAGATGTGTCCAGGGTTTCTGTCTTCTGGCAGGTTCATGGTCTTGCTCATTTCAAGAATGAACCTGCAGACCTTACTGGTGAGTGTTACAGCACTTAAAGGTGTTATGTCCAGAGTTTGTTCCTTCAGATGTGTCCAGGGTTTCTGTCTTCTGGCAGGTACATGGTCTTGCTCTCTTCAAGAATGAAGCTGCCGAACTTAGTGGTGAGTGTTACAGCACTTAAAGGTCTTATGTCCAGAGTGTGTTCCTTCAGATGTGTCCAGACTTTCTTCCTTCTGGCAGGTTCATCGTGTTGCTCACTTCAACAATGAAGCTGCAGACCTTAGTGTTGAGTGTTACAGCACTTAAAGCTGTTATGTCCAGAGTTTGTTCCTTCAGAAGTGTCCAGAATGTCTTCCTTCTTGCAGGTTCGTGGTCTTGCACACTTCCTTAATGAAGCTGCAGACCTTACTGGTGAGTGTTACAGCACTTAAAGGTCTTAAGTCCAGAGTATGTTCCTTCAGATGTGTCCAGTGTTCCTTCCTTCTGGCAGGTTCATGGTCTTGCTCACTTCAAGAATGAAGCTGCAGACCTTACCGGTGAGTGTTACAGCACTTAAAGGTGTTATGTCCAGAGTTTGTTCCTTCAAAGTTTTCCAGAGTTTCTTCCTTCTGACAGGTTCGTGGTCTTGCTCACTTCTTTAATGAAGCTGCAGACCTTACTGGTGAGAGTTACAGCACTTAAAGGTGTTATGTCCAGTGTTTGTTCCTTCAGATGTGTCCAGGGTTTCTGTCTTCTGGCAGGTTCATGGTCTTGCTCACTTCAAGAATGAACCTGCAGACCTTAGTCGTGAGTGTTACAGCACTTAAAGGTGTTATGTTCAGAGTTTTTTCCTTCAGATGTGTCCGGCGTTTCTTCCTTCTGGCAGGTTCATCGTCTTGCTCACTTCAAGAATGAAGCTGCAGACCTTACCTGTGAGGGTTACAGCACTTAAAGGTGTTATGTCCAGAGTTTGTTCCTTCAGATGTGTCCAGAGTTTCTTCCTTCTGGCAGGTTCATGGTGTTGCTCACTTCAAGAATGAAGCTGCAGACCCTAGTGTTGAGTGTTACAGCACTTAAAGGTGTTATGTCCAGAGTTTTTTCCTTCAGATGTCTCCAGAGTTTCTTCCTTCTGGAAGGTTCGTGGTCTTGTTCACTTCAAGAATGATGCTGCAGACCTTAGTGGTGAGTGTTACAGCACTAAAAGGTGTTATGTCCAGAGTTTCTTCCTGCAGAAATATCCAGAGTTTCTTCCTTCTGGCAGGTTTATGGTCTTGCTCACTTTAAGAATGAAGCTGCAGACCTTACTGGTGAGTGTTACAGCAGTTAAAGTTGTTATGTCCAGAGTTTGTTCCTTCAGATGTGTCCAGAGTTTCTTCCTTTTGGCAGGTTCAGGGTCTTGCTCACTTCAAGAATGAAGCTGCAGACCTTAGTGGTGAGTGTTACAGCTCTTAAAGCTGTTATGTCCAGAGTTTTTTCCTTCAGATGTGTCCAGAGTTTCTTCCTTCTGGCAGGTTCGTGGTCTTCCTCACTTCCTTAATGAAGCTGCAGACCATACTGGTGAGTGTTACAACACTTAAAGCTGTTATGTCCAGAGATTTTTGCTTTACATATGTCCAGAGTTTCTTCCTTCTGACAGTTTCATGGTCTTGCTCACTTTATGAATGAAGCTGCAGACCTTACTGGTGAGTGTTACAGCACTTAAAGGTGTTATTTCCAGAGTTTGTTCCTTCAGATATGTCCAGAGTTTCTTCCTTCTGGCAGGTTCCTGGTCTTGCTCACTTCAAGAATGAAGCTGCAGACCTTTGCGGTGAGTGTTACAACACCTAAAGGTGTTATATCCAGAGTTTCTTCCTTCAGATGTGTCCAGAGTTTCTTCCTTCTGTCAGGTTCACGGTCTTGCTCACTTCAAGAATGAAGCTGCAGACCTTACTGTTTAGTGTAACAGCACTTAAAGGTGTTATTTCCAGAGTTTGTTCCTTCAGATGTGTCCAGAGTTTCTTCCTTCTGGCAGGTTCATGTTATTGCTCCCTTCCCGAATGAAGCTGCAGACCTTACTGTTGAGTGTTAAAGCACTGAACGGTGATATGTCCAGAGTTTGTTCCTTCAGATCTGTCCAGAGTTTCTTCTTCTTGCAGATTCATGGTGTTGCTCACTTGAAGAATGAAGCTGCAGACCTTTGTGATGAGTGTTACAGCACTTTAAGATGTTATGTCCAGAGTTTGAATTCTTTCCTTCAGATGTGTCCAGCGTTTCTTCCTTCTGGCAGGTTCATGGTCTTCCTCACTTCAAGAATGAAGCTGCAGACCTTACTGTTGAGTGTTACAGCAATTAAAGTTGTTATATCCAGAGTTTGTTCCTTCAGATGTTTCCAGAGTTTCTTCCTTCTGGCAGGTTCGTGGTCTTGCTCACATCTTTAATGAAGCTGCAGACCTTACTGGTGAGTCTTACAGCACTTAAAGGTGTTATGTCCAGATTTTGTTTCTTCAGATGTGTCCAGAGTTTCTTCCTTCTTGCAGTTTCGTGGTCTTCCTCACTTCAAGAATGAAGCTGCAGACCTTACTGGTGAGTGTTACAGCACTTTAAGGTGTTATGTCCAGAGTTTGTTCCTTCAGTTGTGTCCAGAGTGTCTTCCTTCTGGCAGGTTCATGGTCTTGCTCACTTCAAGAATGAAGCTGCAGACCTTACTGGTGAGTGTTACAGCACTTAAAGGTGTTATGTCCAGAGTTTGTTACTTCACATGTGTCCAGGGTTTCTGTCTTATGGCAGGTACATGGTCTTGCTCACTTCAAGAATGAAGCTGCAGAGCTTACTAGTGAGTGTTACAGCACTTGAAGGTGTTATGTGCAGAGTTTTTTCCTTCAGATGTGTCCAGAGTTTCTTCCTTCTTGCAGGTTCGTGGTCTTGCTCACTTCCTTAATGAAGCTGCAGACCTTACTGGTGAGTGTTACAGCACTTAAAGGTTTTAGGTCCAGAGTTTGTTCCTTCAGATGTGTCCAGTGTTTCTTCCTTCTGGCAGGTTCATGGTCTTGCTCACTTCAAGAATGAAGCTGCAGACTTTTGTGGTGAGTGTTACAGCAGTTAAAGTTGTTATGTCCACAATTTGTTCCTTCAGATGTGTCCAGTGTTTCTTCCTTCTGGCAGGTTCATGGTCTTGCTCACTTCAAGAATGAAGCTGCAGACCTTACTGGTGAGTGTTGCAGTACTTAAAGCTGTTATGTCCAGAGTTTGATCCTTCAGATGTTTCCAGAGTTTCTTCCTTCTGGCAGGTTCGTGGTCTTGCTCACTTCTTTAATGAAGCTGCAGACCATACTGGTGAGTGTTACAGCACTTAAAGGTGTTATGTCCAGAGATTGTTTCTTCAGATGTGTCCAGAGTTTCTTCCTTCTGGCAGTTTCGTGGTCTTCCTCACTTCAAGAATGAAGCTGCAGACCTTAGTGTTGAGTGTTACAGCACGTAAAGGTGTTATGTCCAGAGTTTGTTCCTTCAGATGTGTCCAGAGTGTCTTCCTTCTGGCAGGTTCATGGTCTTGCTCACTTCACTAATGAAGCTGCAGACCTTACTGGGGAGTGTTACAGCACTTTAAGGTGTTTTGTGCAGAGTTTCTTCCTTCAGATGTGTCCAGTGTTTCTTCCTTCTGGCAGGTTCATGGTCTTGCTCACTTCAAGAATGAAGCTGCAGACTTTTGTGGTGAGTGTTACAGCAGTTAACGTTGTTATGTCCACAATTTGTTCCTTCAGATGTGTCCAGTGTTTCTTCCTTCTGGCAGTTTCGTGGTCTTCCTCACTTCAAGAATGAAGCTGCAGACCTTAGTGTTGAGTGTTACAGCACTTAAATGTGTTATGTCCAGAGTTTTTTCCTTCAGATATGTCCAGCGTTTCTTCCTTCTGACAAGTTCATGGTGTTGCTCACTTCAAGAGTGAAGCTGCAGACCTTACTGTTGAGTTTTAAAGCACTTAAAGCTGTTATGTCCAGAGTTTGTTCCTTCAGATGTGTCCAGAGTTTCTTCCTTCTGGCAGGTTCGTGGTCTTGCTCACTTCTTTAATGAAGCTGCAGTCCTTACTGGTGAGTGTTACAGCACTTAAAGGTGTTATGTCCAGAGTTTGTTTCTTCAGATGTGTCCAGAGTTTCTTCCTTCTGGCAGTTTCGTGGTCTTCCTCACTTCAAGAACGAAGCTGCAGACCTTACTGGTGAGTGTTACAGCACTTAAAGTTGTTATGTCCAGAGATTGTTCCTTCAGATGTGTCCAGAGTGTCTTCCTTCTGGCAGGTTCATGGTCTTGCTCACTTCACTAATGAAGCTGCAGACCTTACTGGTGAGGGTGGCAGCACTTAAAGGTGTTATGACCAGAGGTTGTTCCTTCAGATGTGTCCAGGGTTTCTGTCTTCTGGCAGGTTCATGGTCTTGCTCACTTCAAGAATGAAGCTGCCGACCTTTGTGGTGAGTGTTACAGCACTTGGAGTTGTTATGTCCAGAGTTTTTTCCTTCAGATGTGTCCAGCGTTTCTTCCTACTGGCAGGTTCATGGTCTTGCTCACTTCAAGAATGAAGCTGCAGACCTTACTATTCAGTGTTAAAGCACTTAAAGGTGTTATATCCAGAGTTAGATCCTTCAGATGTGTCCAGAGTTTCTTCCTTCTCGCAGGTTCATGGTGTTGCTCAATTCAAGAATGAAGCTGCAGACTTTAGTGTTGAGTGTTACAGCACTTAAATGTGTTATGTCCAGAGTTTGTTCCTTCAGATGTGTCCAGAATTTCTTCATTCTTGGAGGTTCGTGGTCTTGCTCACTTCCTTAATGAAGCTGCAGACCTTACCGGTGAGTGTTACAGCACTTAAAGGTGTTATGTCCAGAGTTTGTTCCTTCAGATGTGTCCAGGGTTTCTGTCTTCTGGCAGGATCATGGTCTTGCTCACTTGAAGAATGAAGCTGCCGACCTTAGTGGTGAGTGTTACAGCATTTAAAGGTGTTATGTCCAGACTTTGTTCCCTCAGATATGTCCAGAGTTTCTTCCTTCTGGCAGGTTCATTGTCTTGCTCATTTTAAGAATGAAACTGCAGACCTTAGTGGTGAGTGTTACAGCACTTAAAGGTGTTATGTCCAGAGTATGTTCCTTCAGATGTGTCCAGAGTGTCTTCCTTCTGGCAGCTTCATGGTCTTGCTCACTTCACTAATGAAGCTGCAGACCTTACTGGTGAGTGTTACAGCACTTAAAGATGTTATGTCCAGAGTTTGTTCATTCAGATATGTCCAGGGTTTCTGTCTTCTGGCAGGTTCATGTTATGACTCACTTCAAGAATGAAGCTGCAGACCTTAGTGGTGAGAGTTACAGCACTTAAAGGTGTTATGCCCAGAGTTTTTTCCTTCAGATGTGTCCAGCGTTTCTTCCTTCTGGCAGATTCATAGTCTTGCTCACTTCAAGAATGAAGCTGCAGACCTTACTGTTGAGTGTTAAGGCACTTAAAAGTGTTATGTCCAGAGTTTGTTCCTTCAGACGTGTCCAGAGTTTCTTCCTTCTGGCAGGTTCGTGGTGTTGCTCACTTCCAGAATGAAGCTGCAGACCTTAGTGTTGAGTGTTACAACACTTAAAGGTGTTATGTCCAGAGTTTTTTCCTTCAGATATGTCCAGCGCTTCTTCCTTCTGGCAGGTTCATGGTCTTGCACACTTCAAGAATGAAGCTGCAGACCTTACTGTTGAGTTTTAAAGCACTTAAAGTTGTTATGTCCAGAGTCTGTTCCTTCAGATGTGTCCAGAGTTTCTTCCTTCTTGCAGGTTCCTGGTCTTGCTCACTTCCTTAATGAAGCTGCAGACCTTACTGGTGAGTTTTACAGCACTTAAAGGTGTTATGTCCAGAGTTTGTTCCTCCAGATGTGTCCAGAGTGTCTTCCTTCTGGCAGATTCATGGTCTTGTTCACTTCACTAATGAAGCTGCAGACCTTACTGGTGAGTGTTACAGCACTTAAAGGTGTTATATCCAGAGATTGTTCCTTCAGATGTGTCCAGGGTTTCTGTCTTCTGGCAGGTTCATCGTGTTGCTCACTTCAAGAATGAAGCTGCAGTCCTTAGTGTTGAGTGTTACAGCACTTAAAGGTGTTATGTCCAGTATTTGTTCCTTCAGATGTTTCCAGAGTTTCTTCATTCTGGCACTTTCGTGGTCTTCCTCACTTCAAGAATGAAGCTGCAGACCTTACCGGTGAGTGTTACAGCACTTAAAGGTGTTATGTCCAGAGTTTGTTCCTTCAGATGTGTCCAGGGTTTCTGTCTTCTGGCAGGTTCATGGTGTTGCTCACTTCAAGAATGAAGCTGCCGACCTTAGTGGTGAGTTTTACAGCACTTAAAGGTGTTATGTCCAGAGTTTTTTCCTTCAGATATGTCCAGCGTTTCTTCCTTCTGACAGGTTCATGGTGTTGCTCACTTCAAGAGTGAAGCTGCAGACCTTACTGTTGAGTTTTAAAGCACTTAAAGCTGTTATGTCCAGAGTTTGTTCCTTCAGATGTGTCCAGAGTTTCTTCCTTCTGGCAGGTTCGTGGTCTTGCTCACTTCTTTAATGAAGCTGCAGTCCTTACTGGTGAGTGTTACAGCACTTAAAGGTGTTATGTCCAGAGTTTGTTTCTTCAGATGTGTCCAGAGTTTCTTCCTTCTGGCAGTTTCGTGGTCTTCCTCACTTCAAGAACGAAGCTGCAGACCTTACTGGTGAGTGTTACAGCACTTAAAGGTGTTATGTCCAGAGATTGTTCCTTCAGATGTGTCCAGAGTGTCTTCCTTCTGGCAGGTTCATGGTCTTGCTCACTTCACTAATGAAGCTGCAGACCTTACTGCTGAGGGTGGCAGCACTTAAAGGTGTTATGACCAGAGGTTGTTCCTTCAGATGTGTCCAGGGTTTCTGTCTTCTGGCAGGTTCATGGTCTTGCTCACTTCAAGAATGAAGCTGCCGACCTTTGTGGTGAGTGTTACAGCACTTGGAGTTGTTATATCCAGTGTTTTTTCCTTCAGATGTGTCCAGCGTTTCTACCTACTGGCAGGTTCATGGTCTTGCTCACTTCAAGAATGAAGCTGCAGACCTTACTATTGAGTGTTAAAGCACTTAAAGGTGTTATGTCCAGAGTTTGTTGCTTCAGATGTGTCCAGAGTTTCTTTCTTCTGGCAGGTTCATGGTGTTGCTCACTTCAAGAATGAAGCTGCAGACCTTACTGGTGAGTGTTACAGCACTCAAAGCTGTTATGTCCAGAGTTTGTACCTTCAGATGTTTCCAGAGTTTCTTCCTTCTGGCAGGTTCGTGGTCTTGCTCACTTCTTTAATGAAGCTGCAGACCTTATTGGTGAGTGTTACAGCACTTAAAGTTGTTATGTCCAGAGTCTGTTTCTTCAGATGTGTCCAGAGATTCTTCCTTCTGGCAGTTTCCTGGTCTTCCTCACTTCAAGAATGAAGCTGCAGACTTTACTGGTGAGTGTTACAGCACTTAAAGTTGTTATGTCCAGAGTTTGTTCCTTCAGATGTGTCCAGAGTGTCTTCCTTCGGGCATGTTCATGGTCTTGCTCACTTCACTAATGAAGCTGCAGACCTTACTGGTGAGGGTTACAGCACTTAAAGGTGTTATGTCCAGAGTTTGTTCCTTCAGATGTGTCCAGGGTTTCTGTCTTCTGGCAGGTTCATGGTCTTGCTCAATTCAAGAATGAAGCTGCCGAAATTAGTGGTGAGTGTTACAGCACTTAAAGGTGTTATGTCCAGAGTTTTTTCCTTCAGATGTGTCCGGCGTTTCTTCCTTCTGGCAGGTTCATGGTCTTGCTCACTTCAAGAATGAAGCTGCAGACCTTACTATTCAGTGTTAAAGCACTTAGAGGTGTTATATCCAGAGTTTGATCCTTCAGATGTGTCCAGAGTTTCTTCCTTCTTGCAGGTTCATGGTGTTGCTCACTTCAAGAATGAAGCTGCAGACCTTAGTGTTGAGTGTTACAGCACTTAAAGGTGTTATGTCCAGAGTTTGTTCCTTCAGATGTGTCCAGAGTTTATTCCTTCTTGCAGGTTCGTGGTCTTGCTCACTTCCTTAATGAAGCTGCAGACCTTACCGGTGAGTGTTATAGCACTTAAAGGTGTTATGTCCAGAGTTTGTTCCCTCAGATGTGTCCAGGGTTTCTGTCTTCTGGCAGGTTCATGGTCTTGCTCACTTCAAGAATGAAGCCGCCGACCTTAGTGGTGAGTGTTACACCATTTAAAGGTGTTATGTCCAGACTTTGTTCCTTCAGATATGTCCGGAGATTCTTCCTTCTGGCAGGTTCTTTGTCTTGCTCATTGCAAGAATGAAACTGCAGACCTTAGTGGTGAGTGTTACAGCACTTAAATGTGTTATGTCCAGAGTTTGTTCCTTCAGATGTGTCCAGAATGTCTTCCTTCTGGCAGCTTCATAGTCTTGCTCACTTCACTAATGAAGCTGCAGACCTTACTGGTGAGTGTTACAGCACTTAAAGGTGTTATGTCCAGAGTTTGTTCCTTCAGATGTGTCCAGGGTTTCTGTCTTCTGGCAGGTTCATGTTCTTGCTCACTTCAAGAATGAAGCTGCAGACCTTAGTGGTGACTGTTACAGCACTTAAAGGTGTTATGTCCAGAGTTTTTTCCTTCAGATGTGTCCAGCGTTTCTTCCTTCTGGCAGGTTCATGGTCTTGCTCACTTCCAGAATGAAGCTGCAGACCTTACTGTTGAGTGTTAAGGCACTTAAAGGTGTTATCTACAGAGTTTGTTCTTTCAGATGTGTCCAGACTTTCTTCCTTCTGGCAGGTTCATGGTCTTGCTCACTTCAAGAATGAAGCTGCAGACCTTACTATTCAGTGTTAAAGCACTTAAAGGTGTTATATCCAGAATTTGATCCGTCAGATGTGTCCAGCGCTTCTTCCTTCTGGCAGGTTCATGGTCTTGCACACTTCAAGAATGAAGCTGCAGAGCTTACTGTTGAGTTTTAAAGCACTTAAAGTTGTTATGTCCAGAGTTTGCTCCTTCAGATGTGTCCAGAGGTTCTTCCTTCTGGCAGGTTCATGGTGTTGCTCACTTCAAAAATGAAGCTGCAGACCTTAGTGGTGAGTGTTACAGCACTTAAAGGTGTTATGTCCTGAGTTTGTTCCTTCAGATGTGTCCAGAGTTTCTTCCTTCTTGCAGGTTCGTGGTCTTGCTCACTTCCTTAATGAAGCTTCAGACCTTACTGGTGAGTGTTACAGCACTTAAAGGTGTTATGTCCAGAGTTTGTTCCTCCAGATGTGTCCAGAGTGTCTTCCTTCTGGCAGGTTCATGTTCTTGTTCACTTCACTAATGAAGCTGCAAACCTTACTGGTGAGTGTTACAGCACTTAAAGGTGTTATGTCCAGAGTTTGTTCCTTCTGATGTGTCCAGGGTTTCTGTCTTCTGGCAGGTTCATGGTGTTGCTCACTTCAAGAATGAAGCTGCAGTCCTTAGTGTTGAGTGTTACAGCACTTAAAGGTGTTATGTCCAGAGTTTGTTCCTTCAGATGTTTCCAGAGTTTCTTCCTTCTTGCAGGTTCGTGGTCTTGCTCACTTCCTTAATGAAGCTGCAGACCTTACTGGTGAGTGTTACAGCACTTAAAGATTTTAGGTCCAGAGTTTGTTCCTTCAGATGTGTCCAGTGTTTCTTCCTTCTGGCAGGTTCATGGTCTTGCTCACTTCAAGAATGAAGCTGCAGACTTTTGTGGTGAGTGTTACAGCAGTTAAAGTTGTTATGTCCAGAATTTTTTCCTTCAGATGTGTCCAGTGTTTCTTCCTTCTGGCAGGTTCATGGTCTTGCTCACTTCAAGAATGAAGCTGCAGGCCTTACTGGTGAGTGTTACAGCACTTAAAGCTGATATGTCCAGAGTTTGTTCCTTCAGATGTTTCCAGAGTTTCTTCCTTCTAGCAGGTTCGTGGTCTTGCTCACTTCTTTAATGAAGCTGCAGACCTTACTTGTGAGTGTTACAGCACTTAAATGTGTTATGTCCAGAGTTTGTTTCTTCAGATGTGTCCAGAGTTTCTTCTTTCTGGGAGTTTCGTGGTCTTCCTCACTTCAAGAATGAAGCTGCAGACCTTACTGGTGAGTGTTACAGCACTTAAAGGTGTTATGTCCAGAGTTTGTTCCTTCAGATGTGTCCAGGGTTTCTGTCTTCTGGCAGGTTCATGGTGTTGCTCACTTCAAGAATGAAGCTACCGACCTTAGTGGTGAGTTTTACAGCACTTAAAGGTGTTATGCCCAGAGTTTTTTCCTTCAGATATGTCCAGCGTTTCTTCCTTCTGGCAGGTTCATGGTCTTGCTCATTTCAAGAATGAAGCTGCAGACTTTTACGGTGAGTGTTACAGCACTTAAAGGTGTTTTGTCCAGAGTTTGTTGCTTCAGATGTGTCCAGAGTTTCTTTCTTCTGGCAGGTTCATGGTGTTGCTCACTTCAAGAATGAAGCTGCAGACCTTACTGGTGAGTGTTACAGCACTTAAAGCTGTTATGTCCAGAGTTTGTTCCTTCATATGTTTCCAGAGTTTCTTCCTTCTGGCAGGTTCGTGGTCTTGCTCACTTCTTTAATGAAGCTGCAGACCTTACTGGTGAGTGTTACAGCACTTAAAGTTGTTATGTCCAGAGTTTGTTTCTTCAGATGTGTCCAGAGATTCTTCCTTCTGGCAGTTTCCTGGTCTTCCTCACTTCAAGAATGAAGCTGCAGACTTTACTGGTGAGTGTTACAGCACTTAAAGTTGTTATGTCCAGAGTTTGTTCCTTCAGATGTGTCCAGAGTGTCTTCCTTCTGGCATGTTCATGGTCTTGCTCACTTCACTAATGAAGCTGCAGACCTTACTGGTGAGGGTTACAGCACTTAAAGGTGTTATGTACAGAGTTTGTTCCTTCAGATGTGTCCAGGGTTTCTGTCTTCTGGCAGGTTCATGGTCTTGCTCAATTCAAGAATGAAGCTGCCGATATTAGTGGTGAGTGTTACAGCACTTAAAGGTGTTATGTCCAGTGTTTGTTCTTTCAGATGTGTCCAGCGTTTCTTCCTTTTGGCAGGTTCGTGGTCTGGCTCACTTCAAGAATGAAGCTGCAGACCATACTCTTTAGTGTTAAAGCACTTCAAGGTGTTATGTCCAGAGTTTGTTCCTTCAGATGTGTCCAGAGTTTCTTCCTTCTGGCATGTTCATGTTGTTGCTCACTTCAAGAATGAAGCTGCAGACCTTAGTGTTGAGTGTTACAGCACTTAAAGGTGTTATGTCCAGTGTTTGTTCCTTCAGATGTGTCCAGAGTTTCTTCCTTCTTGCATGTTCGTGGTCTTGCTCACTTCCTTAATGAAGCTGCAGACCTTACTGGTGAGTGTTACAGCACTTAAAGGTGTTATGTCCAGAGTTTGTTCCTTCAGATGTGTCCAGAGTTACATCCTTCTGGCAGGTTCATGGTGTTGCTCACTTCAAGAATCAAGCTGCAGACCTTACTGGTGAGTGTTACAGCACTTAAAGCTGTTATGTCCAGAGTTTGTTCCTTCAGATGTTTCCAGAGTTTCTTCCTTCTGGCAGGTTCGTGGTCTTGCTCACTTCTTTAATGAAGCTGCAGACCTTACTGGTGAGTGTTACAGCACTTAAAGGTGTTATGTCCAGAGTTTGTTCCTTCAGATGTGTCCAGAGTGTCTTCCTTCTGGCAGGTTCGTGGTCTTGCTCACTTCACTAATGAAGCTGCAGACCTTACTGGTGAGTATTACAGCACTTAAAGGTGTTATGTCCAGAGTTTGTTCCTTCAGATGTGTCCAGGGTTTCTGTCTTCTGGCAGGTTCATGGTCTTCCTCACTTCAAGAATGAAGCTGCCGACCTTAGTGTTGAGTGTTACAGCACTTGAAGGTGTTATGTCCAGAGTTCTTTCCTTCAGATGTGTCCAGCGTTTCTTCCTTCTGGCAGGTTCATGGTCTTCCTCACTTCAAGAATGAAGCTGCAGACCTTACTGGTGAGTGTTACAGCAATTAAAGTTGTTATATCCAGAGTTTGTTCCTTCAGATGTTTCCAGAGTTTCTTCCTTCTGGCAGGTTCGTCTTCTTGCTCTCTTCTTTAATGAAGCTGCAGACCTTACTGGTGAGTGTTACAGCACTTAAAGGTGTTAGGTCCAGAGTTTGTTTCTTCAGATGTGTCCAGAGTTTCTTCCTTCTGGCAGTTTCGTGGTCTTCCTCACTTCAAGAATGAAGCTGCAGACCTTACTGGTGAGTGTTACAGCACTTTAAGGTGTTATGTCCAGAGTTTGTTCCTTCAGATGTGTCCAGAGTGTCTTCCTTCTGGCAGGTTCATGGTCTTGCTCACTTCACTAATGAAGCTGCAGACCTTACTGGTGAGTGTTACAGCACTTAAAGGTGTTATGTCCAGAGTTTGTTCCTTCAGATGTGTCCAGGGTTTCTGTCTTCTGGCAGGTTCATGGACTTCCTCACTTCAAGAATGAAGCTGCCGACCTTAGTGGTGAGTGTTACAGCACTTGAAGTTGTTATGTCCAGAGTTCTTTCCTTCAGATGTGTCCAGCGTTTCTTCCTTCTGGCAGGTTCATGGTCTTCCTCACTTCAAGAATGAAGCTGCAGACCTTACTGGTGAGTGTTACAGCAATTAAAGTTGTTATATCCAGAGTTTGTTCCTTCAGATGTTTCCAGAGTTTCTTCCTTCTGGCAGGTTCGTGGTGTTGCTCACTTCTTTAATGAAGCTACAGACCTTACTGGTGAGTGTTACAGCACTTAAAGGTGTTATGTCCAGAGTTTGTTTCTTCAGATGTGTCCAGAGTTTCTTCCTTCTGGCAGTTTCGTGGTCTTCCTCACTTCAAGAATGAAGCTGCAGACCTTACTGGTGAGTGTTACAGCACTTTAAGGTGTTATGTCCAGAGTTTCTTCCTTCAGATGTGTCCAGAGTGTCTTCCTTCTGGCAGGTTCATGGTCTTACTCACTTCAAGAATGAAGCTGCAGACCTTACTGGTGAGTGTTACAGCACTTAAAGGTGTTATGTCCAGAGATTTTTCCTTCAGATGTGTCCAGGGTTTCTGTCTTCTGACAGGTTCATGGTCTTCCTCACTTCCAGAATGAAGCTGCCGACCTTAGTGGTGAGTGTTACAGCACTTGAAGGTGTTATGTCCAGAGTTCTTTCCTTCAGATGTGTCCAGCGTTTCTTCCTTCTGGCAGGTTCATGGTCTTCCTCACTTCAAGAATGAAGCTGCAGACCTTACTGTTGAGTGTTACAGCAATTAAAGTTGTTATATCCAGAGTTTGTTCCTTCAGATGTTTCCAGAGTTTCTTCCTTCTGGCAGGTTCGTGGTCTTGCTCACATCTTTAATGAAGCTGCAGACCTTACTGGTGAGTCTTACAGCACTTAAAGGTGTTATGTCCAGAGATTGTTTCTTCAGATGTGTCCAGAGTTTCTTCCTTCTGGCAGTTTCGTGGTCTTCCTCACTTCAAGAATGAAGCCGCAGACCTTAGTGTTGAGTGTTACAGCACGTAAAGGTGTTATGTCCAGAGTTTGTTCCTTCAGATGTGTCCAGAGTGTCTTCCTTCTGGCAGGTTCATGGTCTTGCTCACTTCAAGAATGAAGCTGCAGACCTTACTGGTGAGTGTTACAGCACTTAAAGCTGTTATGTCCAGAGTTTGTTTCTTCAGATGTGTCCAGAATTTCTTCCTTCCGGCAGTTTCGTGGTCTTCCTCACTTCAAGAATGAAGCTGCAGACCTTAGTGTTGAGTGTTACAGCACTTAAATGTGTTATGTCCAGAGTTTTTTCCTTCAGATATGTCCAGCGTTTCTTCCTTCTGGCAGGTTCATGGTGTTGCTCACTTCAAGAGTGAAGCTGCAGACCTTACTGTTGAGTTTTAAAGCACTTAAAGCTGTTATGTCCAGAGTTTGTTCCTTCAGATGTGTCCAGAGTTTCTTCCTTCTGGCAGGTTCATGGTCTTGCTCACTTCACTAATGAAGCTGCAGACCTTACTGGTGAGGGTGGCAGCACTTAAAGGTGTTATGACCAGAGTTTGTTCCTTCAGGTGTGTCCAGGGTTTCTGTCTTCTGGCAGGTTCATCGTCTTGCTCACTTCAAGAATGAAGCTGCCGACCTTTGTGGTGAGTGTTACAGCATTTGGAGTTGTTATGTCCAGAGTTTTTTCCTTCAGATGTGTCCAGCGTTTCTTCCTACTGGCAGGTTCATGGTCTTGCTCACTTCAAGAATGAAGCTGCAGACCTTACTATTGAGTGTTAAAGCACTTAAAGGTGTTATATCCAGAGTTTGATCCTTCAGATGTGTCCAGAGTTTCTTCCTTCTGGCAGGTTCATGGTGTTGCTCAATTCAAGAATGAAGCTGCAGACCTTAGTGTTGAGTGTTACAGCACTTAAAGGTGTTATGTCCAGAGTTTGTTCCTTCAGATGTGTCCAGAGTTTCTTCCTTCTTGGAGGTTCGTGGTCTTGTTCACTTCCTTAATGAAGCTGCAGACCTTACCGGTGAGTGTTACAGCACATAAAGGTGTTATGTCCAGAGTTTGTTCCTTCAGATGTGTCCAGGGTTTCTGTCTTCTGGCAGGATCATGGTCTTGCTCATTGAAGAATGAAGCTGCCGACCTTAGTGGTGAGTGTTACAGCATTTAAAGGTGTTATGTCCAGACTTTGTTCCTTCAGATATGTCCAGAGTTTCTTCCTTCTGGCAGGTTCATTGTCTTGCTCATTTCAAGAATGAAACTGCAGACTTTAGTGGTGAGTGTTACAGCACTTAAAGTTGTTATGTCCAGAGTTTGTTCCTTCAGATGTGTCCAGAGTGTCTTCCTTCTGGCAGCTTCATGGTCTTGCTCACTTCACTAATGAAGCTGCAGACCTTACTGGTGAGTGTTACAGCACTTAAAGATGTTATGTCCAGAGTTTGTTCCTTCAGATGTGTCCAGGGTTTCTGTCTTCTGGCAGGTTCATGTTATGGCTCACTTCAAGAATGAAGCTGCAGACCTTAGTGGTGAGAGTTACAGCACTTAAAGGTGTTATGTCCAGAGTTTTTTCCTTCAGATGTGTCCAGCGTTTCTTCCTTCTGGCAGGTTCATAGTCTTGCTCACTTCAAGAATGAAGCTGCAGACCTTACTGTTGAGTGTTAAGGCACTTAAAGGTGTTATGTCCAGAGTTTGTTCCTTCAGACGTGTCCAGAGTTTCTTCCTTCTGGCAGGTTCGTGGTGTTGCTCACTTCCAGAATGAAGCTGCAGACCTTAGTGTTGAGTGTTACAACACTTAAAGGTGTTATGTCCAGAGTTTTTTCCTTCAGATATATCCAGCGCTTCTTCCTTCTGGCAGGTTCATGGTCTTGCACACTTCAAGAATGAAGCTGCAGACCTTACTGTTGAGTTTTAAAGCACTTAAATTTGTTATGTCCAGAGTTTGTTCCTTCAGATGTGTCCAGAGGTTCTTCCTTCTGGCAGGTTCATGGTGTTGCTCACTTCAAGAATGAAGCTGCAGACCTTAGTGGTGAGTGTTACAGCACTTAAAGGTGTTATGTCCTGAGTTTGTTCCTTCAGATGTGTCAAGAGTTTCTTCCTTCTTGCAGGTTCGTGGTCTTGCTCACTTCCTTAATGAAGCTGCAGACCTTACTGGTGAATGTTACAGCACTTAAAGGTGTTATGTCCAGAGTTTGTTCCTCCAGATGTGTCCAGGGTTTCTGTCTTCTGGCAGTTTCATGGTGTTGCTCACTTCAAGAATGAAGCTGCAGTCCTTAGTGTTGAGTGTTACAGCACTTAAAGGTGTTATGTCCAGAGTTTGTTCCTTCAGATGATTCCAGAGTTTCTTCCTTCTTGCAGGTTCGTGGTCTTGCTCACTTCCTTAATGAAGCTGCAGACCTTACTGGTGAGTGTTACAGCACTTAAAGGTTTTAGGTCCAGAGTTTGTTCCTTCAGATGTGTCCAGTGTTTCTTCCTTCTGGCAGGTTCATGGTCTTGCTCACTTCAAGAATGAAGCTGCAGACTTTGTGGTGAGTGTTACAGCAGTTAAAGTTGTTATGTCCAGAATTTGTTCCTTCAGATGTGTCCAGTGTTTCTTCCTTCTGGCAGGTTCATGGTCTTGCTCACTTCAAGAATGAAGCTGCAGGCCTTGCTGCTGAGTGTTACAGCACTTAAAGCTCATATGTCCAGAGTTTGTTCCTTCAGATGTTTCCAGAGTTTCTTCCTTCTGGCACGTTCGTGGTCTTGCTCACTTCTTTAATGAAGCTGCAGACCTTACTTGTGAGTGTTACAGCACTTAAATGTGTTATGTCCAGAGTTTGTTTCTTCAGATGTGTCCAGAGTTTCTTCTTTCTGGCAGTTTCGTGGTCTTCCTCACTTCAAGAATGAAGCTGCAGACCTTACTGGTGAGTGTTACAGCACTTAAAGTTGTTATGTCCAGAGTTTGTTCCTTCAGATGTGTCCAGGGTTTCTATCTTCTGGCAGGTTCATGGTGTTGCTCACTTCAAGAATGAATCTGCCGACCTTAGTGGTGAGTTTTACAGCACTTAAAGGTGTTATGTCCAGAGTTTTTTCCTTCAGATATGTCCAGCGTTTCTTCCTTCTGGCAGGTTCATGGTCTTGCTCATTTCAAGAATGAAGCTGCAGACTTTTACGGTGAGTGTTACAGCACTTAAAGGTGTTTTGTCCAGAGTTTGTTGCTTCAGATGTGTCCAGAGTTTCTTTCTTCTGGCAGGTTCATGGTGTTGCTCACTTCAAGAATGAAGCTGCAGACCTTACTGGTGAGTGTTACAGCACTTAAAGCTGTTATGTCCAGAGTTTGTTCCTTCATATGTTTCCAGAGTTTCTTCCTTCTGGCAGGTTCGTGGTCTTGCTCACTTCTTTAATGAAGCTGCAGACCTTACTGGTGAGTGTTACAGCACTTAAAGTTGTTATGTCCAGAGTTTGTTTCTTCAGATGTGTCCAGAGATTCTTCCTTCTGGCAGTTTCCTGGTCTTCCTCACTTCAAGAATGAAGCTGCCGACCTTAGTGGTGAGTGTTACAGCACTTGAAGGTGTTATGTCCAGAATTCTTTCCTTCAGATGTGTCCAGCGTTTCTTCCTTCTGGCAGGTTCATGGTCTTCCTCACTTCAAGAATGAAGCTGCAGACCTTACTGTTGAGTGTTACAGCAATTAAAGTTGTTATATCCAGAGTTTGTTCCTTCAGATGTTTCCAGAGTTTCTTCCTTCTGGCAGGTTCGTGGTCTTGCTCACATCTTTAATGAAGCTGCAGACCTTACTGGTGAGTCTTACAGCACTTAAAGGTGTTATGTCCAGATTTTGTTTCTTCAGATGTGTCCAGAGTTTCTTCCTTCTTGCAGTTTCGTGGTCTTCCTCACTTCAAGAATGAAGCTGCAGACCTTACTGGTGAGTGTTACAGCACTTTAAGGTGTTATGTCCAGAGTTTGTTCCTTCAGTTGTGTCCAGAGTGTCTTCCTTCTGGCAGGTCATGGTCTTGCCTCATCCAAGAATGAAGCTGCAGACCTTACTGGTGAGTGTTACAGCACTTAAAGGTGTTATGTCCAGAGTTTGTTACTTCACATGTGTCCAGGGTTTCTGTCTTATGGCAGGTACATGGTCTTGCTCACTTCAAGAATGAAGCTGCAGAGCTTACTAGTGAGTGTTACAGCACTTGAAGGTGTTATGTGCAGAGTTTTTTCCTTCAGATGTGTCCAGAGTTTCTTCCTTCTTGCAGGTTCGTGGTCTTGCTCACTTCCTTAATGAAGCTGCAGACCTTACTGGTGAGTGTTACAGCACTTAAAGGTTTTAGGTCCAGAGTTTGTTCCTTCAGATGTGTCCAGTGTTTCTTCCTTCTGGCAGGTTCATGGTCTTGCTCACTTCAAGAATGAAGCTGCAGACTTTTGTGGTGAGTGTTACAGCAGTTAAAGTTGTTATGTCCAGAATTTGTTCCTTAAGATGTGTCCAGTGTTTCTTCCTTCTGGCAGGTTCATGGTCTCGCTCACTTCAAGAATGAAGCTGCAGGCCTTACTGGTGAGTGTTACAGCACTTAAAGGTGTTATGTCCAGAGTTTGTTCCTTCACATTTGTCCAGGGTTTCTGTCGTATTGCAGGTACATGGTCTTGCTCACTTCAAGAATGAAGCTGCCGAACTTAGGGGTGAGTGTTACAGTACTTAAAGGTGTTATGTCCAGAGTTTTTTCTTTCAGATGCGTCCAGCGTTTCTTCCTTCTGGCAGGTACATGGTCTTGCTCACTTCAAGAATGAAGCTGCAGACATTACTGTTTAGTGTTAAAGCACTTAAAGGTGTTATGTCCAGAGTTTGTTCCTTCAGATTTGTCCAGAGTTTCTTCCTTCTGGCAGGTTCATGGTGTTGCTCACTTCAACAATGAAGCTGCAGACCTTAGTGTTGAGTGTTACAGCACTTAAAAGTGTTATGTCCAGAGTTTGTTCCTTCAGATGTGTCCAGAGTTTTTTCCTTCTGGCAGGTTCGTGGTCTTGCTCACTTCCTTAATGAAGCTGCAGACCTTACTGGTGAGTGTTACAGCACTTAAAGGTGTTATGTCCAGAGTTTGTTCCTTCAGATATGTCCAGTGTTTCTTCCTTCTGGCAGGTTCATGGTGTTGCTCACTTTAAGAATGAAGCTGCAGACCTTAATGGTGAGTGTTACAGCACTTGAAGGTGTTATGTGCAGAGTTTTTTCCTTCAGATGTGTCCAGAGTTTCTTCCTTCTTGCAGGTTCGTGGTCTTGCTCACTTCCTTAATGAAGCTGCAGACCTTAATGGTGAGTGTTACAGCACTTAAAGGTGTTATGTCCAGAGTTTTTTTCCTTCAGATGTGTCCTGAGTGTCTTCCTTCTGGCAGGTTCATGGTCTTGCTCACTTCACTAATGAAGCTGCAGACCTTACTGGTGAGTTTTACAGCACTTAAAGGTGTTATGTCCAGAGTTTGTTCCTCCAGATGTGTCCAGGGTTTCTGTCTTCTGGCAGGTACATGGTCTTGCTCACTTCAAGAATGAAGCTGCCGAACTTAGTGGTGATTGTTACAGTACTTAAAGGTGTTATGTCCAGAGTTTTTTCCTTCAGATGTGTCCAGCGTTTCTTCCTTCTGGAAGGTTCATAGTCTTGCTCACTTGAAGAATGAAGCTGCAGACCATACTCTTTAGTGTTAAAGCACTTCAAGGTGTTATGTCCAGAGTTTGTTCCTTCAGATGTGTCCAGAGTTTCTTCCTTCTGGCATGTTCATGGTGTTGCTCACTTCAAGAATGAAGCTGCAGACTTTAGTGTTGAGTGTTACAGCACTTATAGGTGTTATGTCCAGTGTTTGTTCCTTCAGATGTGCCCAGAGTTTCTTCCTTCTTGCAGGTTCGTGTTCTTGCTCACTTCCTTAATGAAGCTGCAGACCTTACTGGTGAGTGTTACAGCACTTAAAGGTGTTATGTCCAGAGTTTGTTCCTTCAGATGTGTCCAGTGTTTCTTCCTTCTGGCAGGTTCATGGTCTTGCTCACTTCAAGAATGAAGCTGCAGACTTTTGTGGTGAGTGTTACAGCATTTAAAGTTGTTATGTCCACAATTTGTTCCTTCAGATGTGTCCAGTGTTTCTTCCTTCTGGCAGGTTCATGGTCTTGCTCACTTCAAGAATGAAGTTGCAGACCTTACTGGTGACTGTTACAGTACTTAAAGCTGTTATGTCCAGAGTTTGATCCTTCAGATATTTCCAGAGTTTCTTCCTTCTGGCAGGTTCGTGTTCTTGCTCACTTCTTTAATGAAGCTGCAGAACTTACTGGTGAGTATTACAGCACTTAAATGTGTTATGTCCAGAGATTGTTTCTCCAGATGTGTCCAGAGTTTCTTCCTTCTGGCAGTTTCGTGGTCTTCCTCACTTCAAGAATGAAGCTGCAGACCTTAGTGGTGAGTGTTACAGCACGTAAAGGTGTTATGTCCAGAGTTTGTTCCTTCAGATGTGTCCAGAGTTACTTCCTTCTGGCAGGTTCATGGTGTTGCTCACTTCAAGAATCAAGCTGCAGACCTTACTGTTGAGTGTTACAGCACTTAAAGCTATTATGTCCAGAGTTTGTTCCTTCAGATGTTTCCAGAGTTTCTTCCTTCTGGCAGGTTCGTGGTCTTGCTCACTTCTTTAATGAAGCTGCAGACCTTACTGGTGAGTGTTACATCACTTAAAGGTGTTATGTCCAGAGTTTGTTCCTTCAGATGTGTCCAGATTGTCTTCCTTCTGGCAGGTTCATGGTCTTGCTCACTTCACTAATGAAGCTGCAGTCCTTACTGGTGAGTGTTACAGCACTTAAAGGTGTTATGTCCAGAGTTTGTTCCTTCAGATGTGTCCAGGGTTTCTGTCTTCTGGCAGGTTCATGGTCTTCCTCACTTCAAGAATGAAGCTGCCGACCTTAGTGGTGAGTGTTACAGCACTTGAAGGTGTTATGTCCAGAGTTCTTTCCTTCAGATGTGTCCAGCGTTTCTTCCTTCTGGCAGGTTCATGGTCTTCCTCACTTCAAGAATGAAGCTGCAGACCTTTCTGTTGAGTGTTACAGCAATTAAAGTTGTTATATCCAGAGTTTGTTCCTTCAGATGTTTCCAGAGTTTCTTCCTTCTGGCAGGTTCGTGGTCTTGCTCACATCTTTAATGAAGCTGCAGACCTTACTGGTGAGTCTTACAGCACTTAAAGGTGTTATGTCCAGAGATTGTTTCTTCAGATGTGTCCAGAGTTTCTTCCTTCTGGCAGTTTCGTGGTCTTCCTCACTTCAAGAATGAAGCCGCAGACCTTAGTGTTGAGTGTTACAGCACGTAAAGGTGTTATGTCCAGAGTTTGTTCCTTCAGATGTGTCCAGAGTGTCTTCCTTCTGGCAGGTTCATGGTCTTGCTCACTTCAAGAATGAAGCTGCAGACCTTACTGGTGAGTGTTACAGCACTTAAAGCTGTTATGTCCAGAGTTTGTTTCTTCAGATGTGTCCAGAATTTCTTCCTTCCGGCAGTTTCGTGGTCTTCCTCACTTCAAGAATGAAGCTGCAGACCTTAGTGTTGAGTGTTACAGCACTTAAATGTGTTATGTCCAGAGTTTTTTCCTTCAGATATGTCCAGCGTTTCTTCCTTCTGGCAGGTTCATGGTGTTGCTCACTTCAAGAGTGAAGCTGCAGACCTTACTGTTGAGTTTTAAAGCACTTAAAGCTGTTATGTCCAGAGTTTGTTCCTTCAGATGTGTCCAGAGTTTCTTCCTTCTGGCAGGTTCATGGTCTTGCTCACTTCACTAATGAAGCTGCAGACCTTACTGGTGAGGGTGGCAGCACTTAAAGGTGTTATGACCAGAGTTTGTTCCTTCAGGTGTGTCCAGGGTTTCTGTCTTCTGGCAGGTTCATCGTCTTGCTCACTTCAAGAATGAAGCTGCCGACCTTTGTGGTGAGTGTTACAGCATTTGGAGTTGTTATGTCCAGAGTTTTTTCCTTCAGATGTGTCCAGCGTTTCTTCCTACTGGCAGGTTCATGGTCTTGCTCACTTCAAGAATGAAGCTGCAGACCTTACTATTGAGTGTTAAAGCACTTAAAGGTGTTATATCCAGAGTTTGATCCTTCAGATGTGTCCAGAGTTTCTTCCTTCTGGCAGGTTCCTGGTCTTGCTCACTTCTTTAATGAAGCTGCAGACCTTACTGGTGAGTATTACAGCACTTAAAGGTGTTATGTCCAGAGATTGTTTCTCCAGATGTGTCCAGAGTTTCTTCCTTCTGGCAGTTTCGTGGTCTTCCTCACTTCAAGAATGAAGCTGCAGACCTTAGTGTTGAGTGTTATAGCACGTAAAGGTGTTATGTCCAGAGTTTGTTCCTTCAGATGTGTCCAGAGTTACTTCCTTCTGGCAGGTTCATGGTGTTGCTCACTTCAAGAATCAAGCTGCAGACCTTACTGGTGAGTGTTACAGCACTTAAAGCTGTTATGTCCAGAGTTTGTTCCTTCAGATGTTTCCAGAGTTTCTTCCTTCTGGCAGGTACGTGGTCTTGCTCACTTCTTTAATGAAGCTGCAGACCTTACTGGTGAGTGTTTCAGCACTTAAAGGTGTTATGTCCAGAGTTTGTTCCTTCAGATGTGTCCAGAGTGTCTTCCTTCTGGCAGGTTCATGGTCTTGCTCACTTCACTAATGAAGCTGCAGACCTTACAGGTGAGTGTTACAGCACTTAAAGGTGTTATGTCCAGAGTTTGTTCCTTCAGATGTGTCCAGGGTTTCTGTCTTCTGGCAGGTTCATGGACTTCCTCACTTCAAGAATGAAGCTGCCGACCTTAGTGGTGAGTGTTACAGCACTTGAAGTTGTTATGTCCAGAGTTCTTTCCTTCAGATGTGTCCAGCGTTTCTTCCTTTTAGCAGGTTCATGGTCTTCCTCACTTCAAGAATGAAGCTGCAGACCTTACTGGTGAGTGTTACCGCAATTAAAGTTGTTATATCCAGAGTTTGTTCCTTCAGATGTTTCCAGAGTTTCTTCCTTCTGTCAGGTTCGTGGTGTTGCTCACTTCTTTAATGAAGCTGCAGACCTTACTGGTGAGTGTTACAGCACTTAAAGGTGTTATGTCCAGAGTTTGTTTCTTCAGATGTGTCCAGAGTTTCTTCCTTCTGGCAGTTTCGTGGTCTTCCTCACTTCAAGAATGAAGCTGCAGACCTTACTGGTGAGTGTTACAGCACTTTAAGGTGTTATGTCCAGAGTTTGTTCCTTCAGATGTGTCCAGAGTGTCTTCCTTCTGGCAGGTTCATGGTCTTGCTCACTTCAAGAATGAAGCTGCACACCTTACTGGTGAGTGTTACAGCACTTAAAGGTGTTATGTCCAGAGATTTTTCCTTCAGATGTGTCCAGGGTTTCTGTCTTCTGGCAGGTTCATGGTCTTGCTCACTTCAAGAATGAAGCTGCAGACTTTAGTGGTGAGTGTTACAGCACTTAAAGGTGTTATGTCCAGAGTTTGTTCCTTCAGATGTGTCCAGAGTTGCTTCCTTCTGGCAGGTTCGTGGTCTTGCTCACTTCCTTAATGAAGCTGCAGACCTTACTGGTGAGTGTTACAGCACTTAAAGGTGTTATGTCCAGAGTTTGTTCCTTCAGATGTGTCCAGTGTTTCTTCCTTCTGGCAGGTTCATGGTGTTGCTCACTTGAAGAATGAAGCTGCAGACCTTCCTGGTGAGTGTTACAGTACTTGATGGTGTTATGTGCAGAGTTTTTTCCTTCAGATGTTTCCAGAGTTTCTTCCTTCTTGCAGGTTCGTGGTCTTGCTCACTTCCTTAATGAAGCTGCAGACCTTAATGGTGAGTGTTACAGCACTTAAAGATGTTATGTCCAGAGTTTGTTCCTTCAGATGTGTCCTGAGTGTCTTCCTTCTGGCAGGTTCATGGTCTTGCTCACTTCACTAATTAAGCTGCAGACCTTACTGGTGAGTGTTACAGCACTTAAAGGTGTTATGTCCAGAGTTTGTTCCTTCACCTGTGTCCAGGGTTTCTGTCTTATGGCACGTACATGGTCTTGCTCACTTCAAGAATGAAGCTGCCGAACTTAGTGGTGAGTGTTACAGTACTTAAAGGTGTTATGTCTAGAGTTTTTTCCTTCAGATGCGTCCAGCGTTTCTTCCTTCTGGCATGTTCATGGTCTTGCTCACTTCAAGAATGAAGTTGCAGACCTTACTGTTTAGTGTTAAAGCACTTAAAGGTGTTATGTCCAGAGTTTGTTCCTTCAGATGTGTCCAGAGTTTCTTCCTTCTGGCATGTTCATGGTGTTGCTCACTTCAAGAATGAAGCTGCAGACCTTAGTGTTGAGTGTTACAGCACTTAAAGGTGTTATGTCCAGTGTTTGTTCCTTCAGATGTGTCCAGAGTTTCTTCCTTCTTGCAGGTTCGTGGTCTTGCTCACTTCCTTAATGAAGCTGCAGACCGTACTGGTGAATGTTACAGCACTTAAAGGTGTTATGTCCAGAGTTTGTTCCTTCAGATGTGTCCAGTGTTTCTTCCTTCTGGCAGGTTCATGGTCTTGCTCACTTCAAGAATGAAGCTGCAGACTTTGTGGTGAGTGTTACAGCAGTTAAAGATGTTATGTCCACAATTTGTTCCTTCAGATGTGTCCAGTGTTTCTTCCTTCTGGCAGGTTCATGGTCTTGCTCACTTCAAGAATGAAGCTGCAGACCTTACTGGTGAGTGTTGCAGTACTTAAAGCTGTTATGTCCAGAGTTTGATCCTTCAGATGTTTCCAGAGTTTCTTCCTTCTGGCAGGTTCGTGGTCTTGCTCACTTCTTTAATGAAGCTGCAGACCATACTGGTGAGTGTTACAGCACTTAAAGGTGTTATGTCCAGAGATTGTTTCTTCAGATGTGTCCAGAGTTTCTTCCTTCTGGCAGTTTCGTGGTCTTCCTCACTTCAAGAATGAAGCTGCAGACCTTAGTGTTGAGTGTTACAGCACGTAAAGGTGTTATGTCCAGAGTTTGTTCCTTCAGATGTGTCCAGAGTGTCTTCCTTCTGGCAGGTTCATGGTCTTGCTCACTTCACTAATGAAGCTGCAGACCTTACTGGGGAGTGTTACAGCACTTTAAGGTGTTTTGTGCAGAGTTTCTTCCTTCAGATGTGTCCAGAGTTTCTTCCTTCTGGCAGTTTCATGGTGTTGCTCACTTCAAGAATGAAGCTGCAGACCTTACTGTTGAGTGTTACAGCACTTAAAGGTGTTATGTCCAGAGTTTGTTCCTTCAGATGTGTCCAGAGTGTCTTTCTTCTGGCAGGTTCATGGTCTTGCTCACTTCAAGAATGAAGCTGCAGACCTTACTGGTGAGTGTTACAGCACTTAAAGGTGTTATGTCCAGAGATTTTTCCTTCAGATGTGTCCAGGGTTTCTGTCTTCTGGCAGGTTCATGGTCTTGCTCACTTCCAGAATGAAGCTGCAGACTTTAGTGGTGAGTGTTACAGCACTTAAAGTTGTTATGTCCAGAGTTTTTTCCTTCAGATGTGTCCAGCGTTTCTTCCTTCTGGCAGGTTCATGGTCTTGCTCACTTCAAGAATGAAGCTGCAGACCTTACTGTTGAGTGTTAAAGCACTTAAAGGTGTTATATCCAGATTTTGTTCCTTCAGATGTGTACAGAGTTTCTTCCTTCTGGCAGGTTCATGGTGTTGCTCACTTCAACAATGAAGCTGCAGACCTTACTGTTGAGTGTTACAGCACTTAAAAGTGTTATGTCCAGAGTTTGTTCCTTCAGATGTGTCCAGAGTTTCTTCCTTCTGGCAGGTTCGTGGTCTTGCTCACTTCCTTAATGAAGCTGCAGACCTTACTGGTGAGTGTTACAGCACTTAAAGGTGTTATGTCCAGAGTTTGTTCCTTCAGATGTGTCCAGTGTTTCTTCCTTCTGGCAGGTTCATGGTGTTGCTCACTTCAAGAATGAAGCTGCAGACCTTACTGGTGAGTGTTACAGCACTTGAATGTGTGATGTGCAGAGTTTTTTCCTTCAGATGTGTCCAGAGTTTCTTCCTTCTTGCAGGTTCGTGGTCTTGCTCACTTCCTTAATGAAGCTGTAGACCTTAATGGTGAGTGTTACAGCACTTCAAGGTGTTATGTCCAGAGTTTTTTCCTTCAGATGTGTCCTGAGTGTCTTCCTTCTGGCAGGTTCATGGTCTTGCTCACTTCACTAACGAAGCTGCAGACCTTACTGGTGAGTGTTACAGCACTTAAAGGTGTTATGTCCACAGTTTGTTCCTTCAGATGTGTCCAGGGTTTCTGTCTTCTGGCAGGTACATGGTCTTGCTCACTTCAAGAATGAAGCTGCCGAACTTAGTGGTGAGTGTTACAGCACTTAAAGGTGTTATGTCCAGTGTTTGTTCCTTCAGATGTGTCCAGAGTTTCTTCCTTCTTGCAGGTTCGTGGTCTGGCTCACTTCCTTAATGAAGCTGCAGACCTTAATGGTGAGTGTTACAGCACTTAAAGGTGTTATGTCCAGAGTTTTTTTCCTTCAGATGTGTCCTGAGTGTCTTCCTTCTGGCAGGTTCATGGTCTTGCTCACTTCACTAATGAAGCTGCAGACCTTACTGGTGAGTGTTACAGCACTTAAAGGTGTTATGTCCAGAGTTTGTTCCTTCAGATGTGTCCAGGGTTTCTGTCTTCTGGCAGGTACATGGTCTTGCTCACTTCAAGAATGAAGCTGCCGAACTTAGTGGTGAGTGTTACAGTACTTAAAGGTGTTATGTCCAGAGTTTTTTCCTTCAGATGTGTCCAGCGTTTCTTCCTTCTGGCAGGTTCATGGTCTTGCTCACTTCAAGAATGAAGCTGCAGACCATACTCTTTAGTGTTAAAGCACTTCAAGGTGTTATGTCCAGAGTTTGTTCCTTCAGATGTGTCCAGAGTTTCTTCCTTCTGGCATGTTCATGGTGTTGCTCACTTCAAGAATGAAGCTGCAGACCTTAGTGTTGAGTGTTACAGCACTTAAACGTGTTATGTCCAGTGTTTGTTCCTTCAGATGTGTCCAGAGTTTCTTCCTTCTTGCAGGTTCGTGGTCTTGCTCACTTCCTTAATGAAGCTGCAGACCTTACTGGTGAGTGTTACAGCACTTAAAGGATTTTAGGTCCAGAGTTTGTTCCTTCAGATGTGTCCAGTGTTTCTTCCTTCTGGCAGGTTCATGGTCTTGCTCACTTCAAGAATGAAGCTGCAGACTTTTGTGGTGAGTGTTACAGCACTTAAAGTTGTTATGTCCAGAATTTTTTCCTTCAGATGTGTCCAGTGTTTCTTCCTTCTGGCAGGTTCATGGTCTTGCTCACTTCAAGAATGAAGCTGCAGGCCTTACTGGTGAGTGTTACAGCACTTAAAGCTGATATGTCCAGAGTTTGTTCCTTCAGATGTTTCCAGAGTTTCTTCCTTCTAGCAGGTTCGTGGTCTTGCTCACTTCTTTAATGAAGCTGCAGACCTTACTTGTGAGTGTTACAGCACTTAAATGTGTTATGTCCAGAGTTTGTTTCTTCAGATGTGTCCAGAGTTTCTTCTTTCTGGGAGTTTCGTGGTCTTCCTCACTTCAAGAATGAAGCTGCAGACCTTACTGGTGAGTGTTACAGCACTTAAAGGTGTTATGTCCAGAGTTTGTTCCTTCAGATGTGTCCAGGGTTTCTGTCTTCTGGCAGGTTCATGGTGTTGCTCACTTCAAGAATGAAGCTACCGACCTTAGTGGTGAGTTTTACAGCACTTAAAGGTGTTATGCCCAGAGTTTTTTCCTTCAGATATGTCCAGCGTTTCTTCCTTCTGGCAGGTTCATGGTCTTGCTCATTTCAAGAATGAAGCTGCAGACTTTTACGGTGAGTGTTACAGCACTTAAAGTTGTTTTGTCCAGAGTTTGTTGCTTCAGATGTGTCCAGAGTTTCTTTCTTCTGGCAGGTTCATGGTCTTGCTCACTTCAAGAATGAAGCTGCAGACCTTACTGGTGAGTGTTACAGCACTTAAAGCTGTTATGTCCAGAGTTTGTTCCTTCAGATGTTTCCAGAGTTTCTTCCTTCTGGCAGGTTCGTGGTCTTGCTCACTTCTTTAATGAAGCTGCACACATTAATGGTGAGTGTTACAGCACTTAAAGTTGTTATGTCCAGAGTTTTTTTCTTCAGATGTGTCCAGAGATTCTTCCTTCTGGCAGTTTCCTGGTCTTCCTCACTTCAAGAATGAAGCTGCAGACTTTACTGGTGAGTGTTACAGCACTTAAAGTTGTTATGTCCAGAGTTTGTTCCTTCAGATGTGTCCAGAGTGTCTTCATTCTGGCATGTTCACGGTCTTGCTCACTTCACTAATGAAGCTGCAGACCTTACTGGTGAGGGTTACAGCACTTAAAGGTGTTATGTCCAGAGTTTGTTCCTTCAGATGTGTCCAGGGTTTCTGTCTTCTGGCAGGTTCATGGTCTTGCTCAGTTCAAGAATGAAGCTGCCGAAATTAGTGGTGAGTGTTACAGCACTTAAAGTTGTTATGTCCAGAGTTTTTTCCTTCAGATGTGTCCGACGTTTCTTCCTTCTGGCAGGTTCATGGTCTTGCTCACTTCAAGAATGAAGCTGCAGACCTTACTATTCAGTGTTAAAGCACTTAGAGGTGTTATATCCAGAGTTTGATCCTTCAGATGTGTCCAGAGTTTCTTCCTTCTTGCAGGTTCATGGTGTTGCTCACTTCAAGAATGAAGCTGCAGACCTTAGTGTTGAGTGTTACAGCACTTAAAGGTGTTATGTCCAGAGTTTGTTCCTTCAGATGTGTCCAGAGTTTATTCCTTCTTGCAGGTTCGTGGTCTTGCTCACTTCCTTAATGAAGCTGCAGACCTTACCGGTGAGTGTTATAGCACTTAAAGGTGTTATGTCCAGAGTTCGTTCCCTCAGATGTGTCCAGGGTTTGTGTCTTCTGGCAGGTTCATGGTCTTGCTCACTTCAAGAATGAAGCTGCCGACCTTAGTGGTGAGTGTTACAGCATTTAAAGTTGTTATGTCCAGACTTTGTTCCTTCAGATATGTCCGGAGTTTCTTCCTTCTGGCAGGTTCATTGTCTTGCTCATTTCAAGAATGAAACTGCAGACCTTAGTGGTGAGTGTTACAGCACTTAAAGGTGTTATGTCCAGAGTTTGTTCCTTCTGATGTGTCCAGAGTGTCTTCCTTCTGGCAGCTTCATGGTCTTGCTCACTTCACTAATGAAGCTGCAGACCTTACTGGTGAGTGTTACAGCACTTAAAGGTGTTATGTCCAGAGTTTGTTCCTTCTGATGTGTCCAGGGTTTCTGTCTTCTGGCAGGTTCATGTTCTTGCTCACTTCAAGAATGAAGCTGCAGACCTTAGTGGTGACTGTTACAGCACTTAAAAGTGTTATGTCCAGAGTTTTTCCTTCAGATGTGTCCAGCGTTTCTTCCTTCTGGCAGGTTCATGGTCTTGCTCACTTCAAGAATGAAGCTGCAGACCTTACTATTCAGTGTTAAAGCACTTAAAGGTGTTATATCCAGAGTTTGATCCTTCAGATGTGTCCAGAGTTTCTTCCTTCTTGCAGTTTCATGGTGTTGCTCACTTCAAGAATGAAGCTGCAGACCTTAGTGTTGAGTGTTACAGCACTTAAAGGTGTTAGGTCCAGAGTTTGTTCCTTCAGATGTGTCCAGAGTTTATTCCTTCTTGCAGGTTCTTGGTCTTGCTCACTTCCTTAATGAAGCTGCAGACCTTACCGGTGAGTGTTGCAGCACTTAAAGGTGTTATGTCCAGAGTTTGTTCCTTCAGATGTGTCCAGGGTTTCTGTCTTCTGGCAGTTTCATGGTCTTGCTCACTTCAAGAATGAAGCTGCCGACCTTAGTGGTGAGTGTTACCGCATTTAAAGGTGTTATGTCCAGACTTTGTTCCTTCAGATATGTCCGGAGTTTCTTCCTTCTGGCAGGTTCATTGTCTTTCTCATTTCAAGAATGAAACTGCAGACCTTAGTGTTGAGTGTTTCATCACTTAAAGGTGTTATGTCCAGAGTTTGTTCCTTCAGATGTGTCCAGAGTTTCTTCCTTCTTGCAGGTTCGTGGTCTTGCTCACTTCCTTAATGAAGCTGCAGACCTTACCGGTGAGTGTTACAGCACTTAAAGGTGTTATGTCCAGAGTTTGTTCCTTCATATGTGTCCAGTGTTTCTTCCTTCTGGCAGGTTCATGGTCTTGCTCACTTCAAGAATGAAGCTGCAGACTTTTGTGGTGAGTGTTACAGCAGTTAAAGTTGTTATGTCCAGAATTTGTTCCTTCAGATGTGTCCAGTGTTTCTTCCTTCTGGCAGGTTGATTGTCTTGCTCACTTCAAGAATGAAGCTGCAGACCTTACTGGTGAGTGTTACAGCACTTAAAGCTGTTATGTCCAGAGTTTGTTCCTTCAGATGTTTCCAGAGTTTCTTCCTTCTGGCAGGTTCGTGATCTTGCTCACTTCTTTAATGAAGCTGCAGACCTTACTGGTGAGTGTTACAGCACTTAAAGGTGTTATGTCCAGAGTTTGTTTCTTCAGATGTTTCCAGAGTTTCTTCTTTCTGGCAGTTTCTTGGTCTTCCTCACTTCAAGAATGAAGCTGCAGACATTACTGGTGAGTGTTACAGCACTTAAAGGTGTTATGTCCAGAGTTTGTTCCGTCAGATGTGTCCAGAGTGTCTTCCTTCTGGCAGGTTCATGGTCTTGCTCACTTCACTAATGAAGCTGCAGACCTTACTGGGGAGTGTTACAGTACTTAAAGGTGTTTTGTCCAGAGTTTGTTCCTTGAGATGTGTCCAGAGTTTCTTCCTTCTAGCAGGTTCATTGTCTTGCTCATTTCAAGAATTAAGCTGCAGACCTTAGTGGTGAGTGTTACACCACTTAAAGTTGTTATGTCCAGAGTTTGTTCCTTCTCGTGTTTCCAGAGTTTCTTCCTTCTGGCAGGTTCGTGGTCTTGCTCACTTCTTTAATGAAGCTGCAGACCTTACTGGTGAGTGTTACAGCACTTAAAGGTGTTATGTCCAGAGTTTGTTTCTTCAGATGTGTCCAGAGTTTCTTCCTTCTGGCAGTTTCGTGGTCTTCCTCACTTCAAGAATGAAGCTGCAGACCTTACTGGTGAGTGTTACAGCACTTATAGTTGTTATGTCCAGAGTTTGTTCCTTCGGATGTGTCCAGAGTGTCTTCCTTCTGGCAGGTTCATGGTCTTCCTCACTTCACTAATGAAGCTGCAGACCTTACTGGTGAGTGTTACAGCACTTAAAGGTGTTATGTCCAGAGTTTGTTCCTTCAGATGTGTCCAGGGTTTCTGTCTTCTGGCAGGTTCATGGTCTTGCTCACTTCAAGAATGAAGCTGCCGACCTTAGTGGTGAGTGTTACAGCACTTAAAGGTGTTATGTCCAGAGTTTTTTCCTTCAGATATGTCCAGCGTTTCTTCCTTGTGGCAGGTTCATGGTCTTGCTCACTTCAAGAATGAAGCTGCAGACCTTACTGTTGAGTGTTAAAGCACTTAAAGGTGTTATATCCAGAGTTTGTTCCTTCAGATGTGTCCAGAGTTTCTTCCTTCTGGCAGGTTCATGGTGTTGCTCACTTCAAGAATGAAGCTGCAGACCTTAGTGTTGAGTGTTACAGCACTTACAGGTGTTGTGTCCAGAGTTTGTTCCTTCAGATGTGTCTAGAGTTTCTTCCTTCTTTCAGGTTCGTGGTCTTGCTCACTTCCTTAATGAAGCTGCAGACCTTACCGGTGAGTGTTACAGCACTTAAAGGTGTTATGTCCAGAGTTTGTTCCTTCAGATGTGTCCAGTGTTTCTTCCTTCTGGCAGGTTCATGGTCTTGCTCACTTCAAGAATGAAGCTGCAGACCTTACTGGTGAGTGTTACAGCACTTAAAGCTGTTATGTCCAGAGTTTGTTCCTTCGGATGTTTCCAGAGTTTCTTCCTTCTGGCAGGTTCGTGGTCTTGCTCACTTCTTTAATGAAGCTGCAGACCTTAATGGTGAGTGTTACAGCACTTAAAGGTGTTATGTCCAGAGTTTGTTTCTTCAGATGTGTCCAGAGTTTCTTCTTTCTGGCAGTTTCGTGGTCTTCCTCACTTCAAGAATGAAGCTGCAGACATTACTGGTGAGTGTTACAGCACTTAAATGTGTTATGTCCAGAGTTTGTTCCCTCAGATGTGTCCAGAGTGTCTTCCTTCTGGCAGGTTCATGGTCTTGCTCACTTCACTAATGAAGCTGCAGGCCTTACTGGGGAGTGTTACAGTACTTAAAGGTGTTTTGTCCAGAGTTTGTTCCTTCAGATGTGTCCAGAGTTTCTTCCTTCTAGCAGGTTCATTGTCTTGCTCATTTCAAGAATTATGCTGCAGACCTTAGTTCTGAGTGTTATAGCACTTAAAGGTGTTATGTCCAGAGTTTGTTCCTTCAGATGTGTCCAGAGTTTCTTCCTTCTGGCAGGTTCATGGTGTTGCTCACTTCAAGAATGAAGCTGCAGACCTTACTGGTGAGTGTTACAGCACTTAAAGCTGTTATGTCCAGAGTTTGTTCCTTCAGGTATTTCCAGAGTTTCTTCCTTCTGGCAGGTTCGTGGTCTTCCTCACTTCTTTAATGAAGCTGCCGACCTTACTGGTGAGTGTTACAGCACTTAAAGGTGTTATGTCCAGAGTTTGTTTCTTCAGATGTGTCCAGAGTTTCTTCCTTCTGGCAGTTTCGTGGTCTTCCTCACTTCAAGAATGAAGCTGCAGACCTTACTGGTGAGTGTTACAGCACTTAAAGTTGTTATGTCCACAGTTTGTTCCTTCGGATGTGTCCAGAGTGTCTTCCTTCTGGCAGGTTCATGGTCTTGCTCACTTCACTAATGAAGCTGCAGACCTTACTGGTGAGTGTTACAGCACTTAAAGGTGTTATGTCCAGAGTTTGTTCCTTCAGATGTGTCCAGGGTTTCTGTCTTCTGGCATGTTCATGGTCTTGCTCACTTCAAGAATGAAGCTGCCGACCTTAGTGGTGAGTGTTACAGCACTTAAAGGTGTTATGTCCAGAGTTTTTTCCTTCAGATATGTCCAGCGTTTCTTCCTTCTGGCAGATTCATGGTCTTGCTCACTTCAAGAATGAAGCTGCAGACCTTACTGTTGAGTGTTAAAGCACTTAAAGGTGTTATATCCAGAGTTTGTTCCTTCGGATGTGTCCAGAGTTTCTTCCTTCTGGCAGGTTCATGGTGTTACTCACTTCAAGAATGAAGCTGCAGACCTTAGTGTTGAGTGTTACAGCACTTAAAGTTGTTATGTCCAGAGTTTGTTCCTTCAGATGTGTCCAGAGTTTCTTCCTTCTTGCAGGTTCGTGGTCTTGCTCACTTCCTTAATGAAGCTGCAGACCTTACCGGTGAGTGTTACAGCACTTAAAGGTGTTATGTCCAGAGGTTGTTCCTTCAGATGTGTCCAGTGTTTCTTCCTTCTGGCAGGTTCATGGTCTTGCTCACTTCAAGAATGAAGCTGCAGACTTTTGTGGTGAGTGTTACAGCAGTTAAAGTTGTTATGTCCAGAATTTGTTCCTTCAGATGTGTCCAGTCTTTCTTCCTTCTGGCAGGTTCATGGTCTTGCTCACTTCAAGAATGAAGCTGCAGACCTTACTGGTGAGTGTTACAGCACTTAAAACTGTTATGTCCAGAGTTTGTTCCTTCAGATGTTTCCAGAGTTTCTTCCTTCTGGCAGGTTCGTGGTCTTGCTCACTTCTTTAATGAAGCTGCAGACCTTACTGGTGAGTGTTACAGCACTTAAAGGTGTTATGTCCAGAGTTTGTTTTTTCAGATGTGTCCAGAGTTTCTTCTTTCTGGCAGTTTCGTGGTCTTCCTCACTTCAAGAATGAAGCTGCAGACATTACTGGTGAGTGTTACAGCACTTAAAGGTGTTATGTCCAGAGTTTGTTCCCTCAGATGTGTCCAGAGTGTCTTCCTTCTGGCAGGTTCATGGTCTTGCTCACTTCACTAATGAAGCTGCAGACCTTACTGGGGAGTGTTACAGTACTTAAAGGTGTTATGTCCAGAGTTTGTTCCTTCAGATGCGTCCAGAGTTTCTTCCTTCTGGCAGGTTCATGGTGTTGCTCACTTCAAGAATGAAGCTGCAGACCTTACTGGTGAGTGTTACAGCACTTAAAGGTGTTATGTCCAGAGTTTGTTCCTTCAGGTTTTTCCAGAGTTTCTTCCTTCTGGCAGGTTCGTGGTCTTGCTCACTTCTTTAATGAAGCTGCAGACCTTACTGGTGAGTGTTACAGCACTTAAAGGTGTTATGTCCAGCGTTTGTTCCTTCAGATGTGTCAAGAGTTTCTTCCTTCTGGCAGTTTCGTGGTCTTCCTCACTTCAAGAATGAAGCTGCAGACCTTACTGGTGAGTGTTACAGCACTTAAAGGTGTTATGTCCAGAGTTTGTTCCTTCAGATATGTCCAGAGTGTCTTCCTTCTGGCAGGTTCATGGTCTTGCTCACTTCACTAATGAAGGTGCAGACCTTACTGGTGAGTGTTACAGCACTTAACGGTGTTATGTCCAGAGTTTTTTCCTTCAGATGTCTCCAGAGTTTCTTCCTTCTGGCAGGTTCGTGGTCTTGCTCACTTCAAGAATGATGCTGCAGACCTTAGTGGTGAGTGTTTCAACACTAAAAGGTGTTATGTCCAGAGTTTGTTCCTTCAGAAGTATCCAGGGTTTCTTCCTTCTGGCAGGTTCATGGTCTTGCTCACTTTAAGAATGAAGCTGCAGACCTTACTGGTGAGTGTTATAGCACTTAAAGTTGTTATGTCCAGAGTTTGTTCCTTCAGATGTGTCCAGAGTTTCTTCCTTCTGGCAGGTTCATGGTCTTGTTCACTTCAAGAATGAAGCTGCAGACCTTAGTGGTGAGTGTTACAGCACTTAAAGGTGTTATGTCCAGAGTTTGTTCCTTCAGATGTGTCCAGAATTTCTTCCTTCTGGAAGGTTCGTGGTCTTAGCTCACCTCCTTAATGAAGCTGCAGACCTTACTCGTGAGTGTTACAGCAGTTAAAGGTGTTATGTCCAGAGTTTGTTTCTGCAGATGTGTCCAGAGTTTCTTCCTTCTGGCAGGTTCATGGTCTTTCTCACTTCAAGAATGAAGCTGCAGACCTTACTGGTGAGTGTTGCAGCACTTAAATGTGTTATGTCCAGGGTTTGTTCCTTCATATGTGTCCATAGTTTCTTCCTTCTGGCTGGTTCATGGTCTTGCTCACTTCAAGAATGAAGCTGCAGACCTTAGTGGTGAGTGTCTGCTAAAAACAATGTAAAAATATGTGTCTGCTAAAAACAGTTTAAAAGTGTTCCTCTTTCTCCACAGCCTTGCCAGCATCAGTTGTTTCCTGACCTTTTAATAATCTCCACTATGACTGGTGTGAGATGATCTCTCATCGTCGTTTTGATTTGCATTTCTCTGATGGTTGGTGATGTTGGGCTTTTTTCCATATGTTTGTTGGCTGCACAAATGTCTTATTTTAAGAAGTGTCTGTTTATATCCTTTGCTCACTTTTTAGTGGGTTTGTTTTTTTTTATTTTTGTAAATATGTTATTTTCCTTGTAAATTCTGGATATTAGACCTCTCTCAGATGGGTAAATTGCAACAATTTTCTCCCATTCTGTAGGTAGCCTGTTCACTCTAATAATAGTTTTGCTGTGCAGAAGCTTTTTTCTTTAATTAGATTCCATTCTTCAATTTTGGCTTCTGTTGCAATTCCATATGGTATTAGGTCTTCTGATTCTCCGCTAGTTTGGTAAGGATAATTGCCTACAGCTCCCTAGAGGCAATTATCTCAATTTTCTCAAAGGACATTATCTCCTTTTTTTATGTTTGCATATTATTCTGCAGAAAATTTGTTATCACAGTTTCTTCATCTATTCTATCATCAATGGTCCTTTAGGTTGATTCAATGTATTTGTTATTGCAAAACAAAAAAAATTGTATTTCACCTTACTAAGCTTCATAAATAAAAGTCTAAGAAAAAGTAAATTATTTTCAGACAAGCAAGCACTAAGGGTTCTTGCTACAATCAGACCACCCTTACAAAAGTTATTTAAGGCGTGCTAAGCATGGAAACAAAACATAAAAACCTAACACTTTGAGAATACTATTATGCACATAGCCCACGAACTATGTAAAACATTATATAAGCAAGTCTACAAGACAAACTGCCAACAACATGAGGACAGAATCAAAAGCTTATACATGAATATACATCCTGAATGTTAATTATCTAGATGTTCTCATTTAGAGGCATATTGTGGCAATCTGGACAAAAAGACAAAACTCGGCTGTCTGCAGTCTTCAGGAGATAAATCTTACATGAAATAAAACCCACAGGCTCAAATGAAAGAGATGGAGAAATGTATATCAGCTAAAGGGAAAATAGAAAAGAGTGGGTGGTCTCTGTTATGTCAGATGAAGCAGATTTTAAACAAATAACAATCAGGAAGGACACAGAAGAGTAGTACTGAATGATAACAGGTTCAATTTTTTTTAAAAAGCCTTAACTATACTAAATATTCATTTTCTCAACAAAGTAGCACTTAGATTCACAAAACAAGTTCTTCTTAATCTACGACAAGACTTATACAGTCACACAATAATTGTAGAGAAATTTAATATTCCACAGACAGTGTTACATTGCTCATCAAGGCAAAACACTATTAAAGAAATTCTGTACTTAAATTTGACACTTGAAAAATATGACCTAATAGTCACCAGTAGATTAGTCACCCAATCACTATAGAATATACATTCTTCTCATCTGCACATATAACTTGTTTTAGGGCTGACCAGGTTCTCAGCCATAAAGCAAGTATAAATAAATTTTAAAAAATGAAATTGTGCCAAGCACTCTTGGAACATAGTGCAATAAAAATAAAATAAATACAAATACATATCTTAAAACTACACAAAAACATGCAAATTTAAAAATATGCTTCTCAATAACTATTGAGTAAACAATAATATGGACAGAAATGGAAACGAATCTCTGAAATTAATAAATATAGAGACACAACTTACCAAAACTTTGGGGATGCAACTAAAACAGTTTTAAGAGAAACATTTATAGTACTAAATATGTCAAATCAACAACCTAACATCACAATGAGAGGAACTAGAAAACAATAACAATCTCACCCCAAAGCTATTAGAATTTTAAAAAAAACTAAAATTGAAGAATTGAACAAAACTGAGACCCAAAAACTCACACAGAAAATTAATAAAACTGTGTTTTATTATTATTTAGAGAATTATTATTTAGAGAATAAGACTGATAGACTGTTAGATACACTAAAAAATAAAAAAAATGAAGATCCAAATATGCACACAATCATAAATGACAAAGATCACATTAAGCCAATCCCACAGAAATAAAAAAGATCCTCAGAGGCTATTATTAGTACTTCTATAAAGAAAATTAGAAAATATAGAGGAAATGAATACATTCCTAGAAATACATAATGTCCCAAGATAGAAGCAGGAAAAAAGTGAAAACCTGAACAGACCAATAATAAATTTGGAAACCAAATCAATAATAATAATAGTTATTGTTATTAATAATATATTATGTTAACATATAATAAATTATTATACCTAATATATAGTAAATATAATATGTAATATTAATATAATATTAAAATAATATATTACATGTAATATATTATTGTTATATAATTAATATATAATATCAATATAATAACAATAAAACTATGAACAAAAAGCACTGACCAGATTGATTCACAGCCAAATTCTTGATACCAATCCTATTGAAAGGTTTCCAAAAAATTAAGGAAGAAAGAGTTTTTATAAATGCTTTCTTTTTTAAATTATTTTGTTTTTCTGAGATGGAGTCTGGCCCTGTCACCCAGAATGGAGTACAGTAGTGCGATCCTGGATCACTGTAACCTCTTACTCCCAGGTTCACGTGATTCTACTTGCCTCAGACACTTGAGTATCTGGGACTACAGGCGTGCACCACCATACCCAGCTAATTTTTGTATTTTTAGTAGAGACAGTTTTTACCATGATGGCTAGGCTAGTTATTAACACATTCTTACAAAGCCAACATCATTCTGACAAAATCTTACAAAGACACAACAACAAAAGCTTCAGGCGAATATTGGTAAGTATAGATGCAACAACAAATCTATAAACATAAAAGCAAAAATCCTCAACAAAATACTACAAAACTGAATCAGGCAGAACTTCCAAAAGATAATTCACCACCATCAAACAGATTTTATTTTTGAAATGCAAGATTGATTTAACATACACAAATCAGTAAGTATAACTCACCACATAAAAATAATTCAGAATGAAAACCATATTTCAAATGATGCAGAAAAAGTTTTGATAAAATCCAACATCCCTTATTGATAAAAGCCCTCAGCAGTTTAGGCACTGAAGGAACACAACTCAAAATAATAAGCACTATGTATGAAACTCACATGCAAAAATTCACTATATATAAAACCAACCTCAGACTGAAAGAGAAAAGTGAAATTGTATCCTTTGAGAACTGGGGAATTATACGGATGCTACATTCACCACTTCTATTCAACAAAGTATTATACATCCTAGAAAAAGCAGCGAAGAAAAATAAATAAATAAATAAATCCAAATAGGAAATTAAGTTGAATTATCTTTTTTTCTGACAGTATAATTTTATTACCCACCCCCCAAAGAAAACCTCTAAAGAGTTTCCAAAATGGTTCCTGGAACAGATGTAAAAGTTAATAAATTTCAGAATATAAAATTATATTACAATAATCAATAGTAAGTTTACACATCAATACAATTTTAAGTAACAACCAAATTTAAAACAATTTTATTTATGGAAGCCACACACAAATAAACACAAAATACATAGGAATAATTTAGCCAATTAAGTGAAAGGTATCTATAAAGAGAACTTTAAACCAGTCTTGGAAGAAGTCAGGGATGACACAAATAACAAAAAAAAAATATTACATGCTCATGAATTGGGAGAATAATGAGTTAAAATCTCTACACTGCACTAAGAAGTTTGTAGAAACAATGCTAACAGTGTCTACCTATGTAAATTTTCACAGAATTAGAAAACTCTATTGCAAAATTTATTTGAAACCAAAAATGGCCCAAACAACCTATGCAATTGTAAGCAAGGAGAATAAAGCTGGAGGCATCACACTGACCACGTTTAAACTGTACTGTATGGCACAAACAAAATTTTTTGTAAAATATAAACAGACCTATAGACAAATGGAAAAGAGGAGTGAACATATAGATAAATCTGCACATCTAAAACTATCTGATCTTGGACAAAATCAGAACAAAACTAAAGGCATCACACTACCTGACTTCAAATTATACTAAGTCTATAGTTTATATATACACAAGTCTATAGTAACTAAAACTTCATGGTACTGCTACCAAAACAGATATATAGATTAATGGAGCAGAACAGAGGCCTCAGAAATAACACCACACATCTACAACCATCTGATTGTGACCAAAAAAAGCAATGGGGGAAGGATTCCCTCTTCAATAAATGGTGTTAGGAAAACTGACTAGCCATGTGCAGAAAACAGAAACTGAACCCCTTCCTTACACTTTATTAAGAAATTAACTCAAGATGGCTTAAAGACTTAAACGTAAAACCCCAAACCTAGGCAATACCATTCAGAATATAGGCATGGGAAAAGCCTTCATATCTAAAACAGCAAAAGCAATTGCAACAACAACAAAAAAAAAAAAACAGAATTGTCAAAGTGGATCTAATTAAACTAAAAGTCTTCTGCTCAGGAAAAGAAATTATCATCAGACTGAACAGGCATCCTACAACATGGGAGAAAGTTTTTGCAGTCTATCCATTTAACAAACGGCTAATAATCAGAATCTACAAGGAACTTAAACAAATTTACAAGAAAAAAAAACAACCCCATCAAAAAGTGGATGAAGGAGATGAACAGACACTTCTCAAAAGAAGACATTCATGGCCAGGTGTGGAGGCTCACACCTGTAATCACAGCACTTTGGGAGGTCGAGAAGGGCATATCAGGAGGTCAGGAGTTTGAGACCAGCCTGGCAAATATGGTGAAACCCTGTCTCTACTAAAAAGTACAAAAATTAGCCAGGCATGGTGGTGCACACCTGTAGTTCCAGCTAATTGAGAGGCTCAGACAGAAGAATTTCTTGAACCTAGGAGGCGGAGGTTACAGTGAGCCAAGATTGGGCCACTGCACTCAAGCCTGGGCAACAAGCGAGACCCCATCTCAAAGAAAAAATAAAGAGAAGACATTCATGCAGTCGACAAACATATGAAAAAAAGCTCATCATCACTGCTCATTATAGAAATGAAAATCAAAACCACAATGAGATAGCATCTCACACCAGTTAGAATGGCGATTATTAAAAAGTCTGGAAACAACAGATGTTGGCTAGGATGTAGAGAAATAGGAATGCTTTTATACTGTTGGTGGGAATGTAAATTTGTTCAGCCATTTTGGAAGACATAATGGCAATTCCTCAAGGATCTAGAACCAGAAATACCATTTGACTCAGCAATCCCATTACTGGGTATATACCCAAAGGATTATAAATCATTCTACTATGAAGAAACATGCACATGTATGTTTATTGCAGCACAATTTACAATAGCAAAGAGTTGAAATCAACCCAAATGCCCACCAATGATAGACTGGATAAATAAAATGTGTCACATATACATCATGGAATACTACGCAGCCATAAAAAAGAATGAGTTCATGTCCTTTGCAGGAACATGAATGAAGCTGGAAACCATCATTCTCAGCAAACTAACACAAGAACAGAAAACTAAACAACACATGTTCTTACTCGGAAGTGGGAGTTGAACAATGAGAACACACAGATGCAGGGAGAGGGGTTGGCGTTAAGGGGAGGGAGATCATTAGGACAGATACCTAATACATGAGGGTTTTAAAACCTAGATGATGGGTTGATAGTTGCAGCAAACCAACATGGTGCATGTATATACATAACAAACCTGCATGTATAAATTCATAACAAACTTGCATATTCAGGACATGTATCCCAGAATTTAAAGTAAAAAAAAAAAAAAGTAAAGACAGAAAAAGGTAAAGAAATAGCAGATGTTTGCAAGGATGCTGAGTAATGTGAAATATTATGTACTCTTGGTGGGAATGCAAACTAGTTCAATAACTGTGGAATGCAGTCTATTATTCTAAAAAAAGTATGTATATATTCACACACATATATTATTTCTCATATATACATATATATGAGAAATATATAATATGTATATATGAGAAAGATATATGTGTGTGTGTATATGTGTGTATATATATGTGTATATGTATATATCCTGTATATATATGTATATATGTGTATATACATATATACATATATTATGTGTGTGTTCATATATATGTGGGTATATATATGAGAGAGAGTGAGAGAGAGAGGCCTTTATTCTACTTCATGTAATGCAAAAACAGAAAAACAAATACCATATGTTGTCACTTATAGATGGAAGATAAAAATTGAATATACATAAATAAAAGGTTGGATAAAATAGGCACGGGGCAACTAGTCGGGGGAGTAAAGGAGAAGAAATAGACTAAAGAACCACCTTTTGGGTACTTTGCTTACTGCTTGGTTATGGAGCCATTGGTACCTCAGCATCACATAGTTTACCCATGTTGCAAACCTACATTTGTACACTTTAATCTATAATAAAACCTCAAAAAAAAAAACTCTTTTTAGAGTAACGCCTGTGTTACTACCTTAGTTATTTCTAGAGTGTTTCTTCCAATATATATTTAGATGTGGGACTTTTTTTTCCAGTATAAACTCTTTGGTGTTTTCTAAGGTGTATGTTGTGGGCAAAGTTCCCACCACATTTCTTATATATGTAGCGGTTCACTTCTATAGAAATTCTCTATTGAGTAATATATAGGTGGCAGTTAAAGCTTTTTCTAACTTCTTTACATTTGTAAAATTTCTCTTCAATATAAATAACATGGTGTTCTCTAAGGCATATATTTTGAATAATAGTTTTTCCAAGATCATTACCTGTTTAGGTTTTTATATAACGCCAGATTCTAACTTTGAATAATATGTGAGCATTAGTTCTCACATTTGCCTTTCTTTACACTTGCAGAGTTTCTAAATAGTATGAATTATCTTGATTTTAGTAAGCTCTGAAAACTGGGTTAGAGCTTTCCAGGATTATTCACATGTGTATAGATTTTCTAAACGGCATAGTTTGAATGCCAATTAAAGGCTTTGCTCCATTTTTTATAATTGCAGGATATCTCTCCAAAATGGATTCCCAAATGCTGTGTAAGGGTCGAATAGTAGTTAAAGAATTTGCCACATTCTTTACACTTGAATTTTTAGGATAAATTTTCATTTGAACTGAGATGTAATAATTGACTAAAATTTTTTTCACGTTTATTACATTTATTTGAGTTTTCTTTAACATGAATTTCTTCATTTTTTGCAAGTCCTGAGAACTGGTTAAAAATTTACCATATTTATTTTATTCAAAATGCTTCTCTTGAATATGAATACCAGATGAACAATAAATTTTGAGAATTGATGAAAGACTTTCACCATTCTCTTGTATTTGTAATGATTCTTTAGAAAATGAGTAATCTCATGTTTACTAAAATTTTTGACATGGATAAAGTTTTTATTATCTTCATTACAAAAGGCATATTTTAGAAATTGGTGTTGATATGTTCTCTCACATATTTTGAGGTCAGGAGTTTGAGACCAGCCTGACAAATACGGTGAAACGGAGTCTCTGCACAGTTCTGTGGAAATAGCTGACACAGCTGTGCATGGTGGCTCACGTCTGCAATCCCAGCACTTTGGGAGGCCAAGGCGGGCAGATCATGAGGTCAGGAGATCGAGACCATCTTGGCTAACACGGTGAAACCCCGTCTCTACTAAAAAATACAGAAAATTAGCCGGGCGTGGTGGCTGGGGCCTACAGTCCCAGCTTCTTGGGAGGCTGAGGCAGGAGAATGGTGTGAACCGGCCAGGCGGAGCTTGCAGTGAGCCGAGACCGCACCACTGCACTCCAGACTGGGCGACAGCGTGAGACTCCGTCTCAAAAAAAAAAAAAAAAAAAAAAAGAAAGAAAAAGAAATAGCTGACACAAATGAAGGTTTCTTTTGAAATATTCCATATTCTTGATCTTGTTGGCAATTTCATTTTTGTAATGAGTAGTTGTCACACATTAGCTGTATACTTTATGTAACTACATTCTTTCTGCCCTTCACCTTCATGTATATTTTCAATACTAGGTTTTATTTATTCTATTTTTCATATCCATTAACAATGCTCACTTCGCTCCAAACCCCCACCATCCTTTTCAGAATCTGGTAATCGTCCTTTAATTTTCTATCTTCCTGAGTGCAATTGTTTTCATTTTAGCTCTCACAATTATTTGAGAACAAATGAAGTTTGCCTTTGTATGCCTAACTTATCTCACTTACTATAATAACCTTCAGTTTTATTGATGTTATTACAAATGACAGAATCTCATTTCTTTTTGTATCTGAATAATACCCATGTAATATATGTACAATTTTCTTGATACATTTGTCTGTTTTTGATGGACACTTGGATTGTGTTCAAATATTGGCTATTGTGAATGGTGTTGCAACCAATAGGGGAGCTCAGATATTCCTTTGATATTAGGATGTCCTTTCTTTTGAATATATGCCAAGCAGTGGGATTGCTGTCACACTATCCCTAGAAGCTATAAATTGTTTTCTATAGTGGTTTTACTAATTTACATTTTCATAGTGTACAGGAGCTCTCTTTCGTTTACATCTTCACCAGGATTTGGTATTGTCTATGTTTTGGATAAAAGTCTTTTTTTATTGGGATGAGAAAAACAAATAAGCAAATAATAAGAATAATAAGGAAAAATGTATACTTTCACTTATCTCCCCATTTTTTAACTCTTTCTATTTATATTTTATTGCAATTTCTATGACTCAAAAAGATATTGTAGTGATAATTTTTATAAGTTTACCTTTTTATCTTTTGATTTAAGATGAGTTATTTTCACACAAGAATTAAAATGTTATTACTTTCTGTTTTTCTGTGTAGTACTGCTAGTGAGTTTTGTACCTACAGATTATTTTTTATTTCTCATGAACATCCTTTTTTTCAGATTAAAAATTATTTTTGGCATTTCTTGTAGAACAAGTTTACTGTTGATGAAACCTTCAACTTTAGTTTGTTTGTAAAAGTATTTTTTTCACCTTCCTATTGGAAAAAATATACTATTCTAGAATAAAAGATTTTTTTTTGTTTTGTGTTGTTTGTTTTTCTTCAGCACTTTAAATACATCATGCCTCTCTTTCCTGTCCTGTAAGATTTTCACTGAAAAGTCTGCTACCAAACATTGGAGTTTTGTCGTATGTCACTTTTTCTGCTTATGCTTTTAAGATATTTGCTTTATTCTTGACCTTTGGAAGTTTGATTATTACATCACTTGAGGTAGTCTTCCTTGGGTTAAATCTGCTTTGTGTTCCATAACTTTTTGTACTTCAATGTTGATTCTTTCTGTAGGTTTAGAGTTAATCTGTTTTAACCATTTGAATAAATGTTGTATTCTTAATCACGCTCTCCACTTCTTGTTTAAGGTCAATAATTTTTAGATATTTTCTTTTGTGGTCATTTTTCAGATCTTGTCAGCATTTTATTTTATTTGTTTGCTTTTTCTGACTGTGTATTTTCAAATAGCCTGTCTTCAAGCTAATTATTTTTTTCTGCTTGTTTAATTCTGCTATTGAAAGAAGTGGATACATTCTTTAGTATATTGGACTAACGTATTGTTTAATAACAGCAATAATGTTAGTACAAGTAACACGAAGACATTCTCCAGTCAGTTACATTTTTACACTCCAAATTTGAGGCTCGACTTTTTCATTATTTAATTTTTTTGGTAAGTGTATTTGATAAGATTTTAGGCTGGGCGCAGTGGCCCATGCCCTTAATTCCAGAACTTTGGGAGGCTGAGGCAGGTGGATCACCAGGTCAAGAGATCGAGACCGTCCTGGCCAACATGGTGAAACCTTGTTTCTACTAAAAATACAAAAGTTAGCTGGGCCATGGTGGCTCATGCCTGTAGTCCCAGCCACTCAAGTGGCTGAGGCAGGAGAATCACTGGAAGCCAGGATGTGGGAGTTGCAGTGAACTGAAATCACACCACTGCCCTGCAGCCTGGCAACAGAACGAGACTTTGTTTCAAACAAACAAACAAACAGTTTAAATTTCTTCTGTTTTATCTTGAATTTGAGTTTCTGCAAAACAGCTATTTTGAATTCTCTGTGTGAAAAGAAATATATCTCTGTCTCCCTGGATTTGGCTTCTGGTACCTTACTTAGTTTACTTAGTGAGATCATGGTTTCCTGAATATTCTTGATGCTTGTGAATATTTGTTGATATCTGGGCATCAAATAGTTAATTATCTTTGTTCTTTTTACAGATTGGGCTTATTCCTACCTGTTCTTTTTGAGAAAGCTAGGATATCTAACTCAATAGTTTTTATTGCCCTATAGATTCATAGGGATTATCTTTTACTTCTCGCTACTCTATGTCAATCACACACACACAAAGTAACACACACACAGAGAAACACACACTCGCATAAATTCACACACAACACACAAAAAACTTTGTTGATTGTCAGACCTGGTACAGTCAACATGCTACATGTTATAGACTGTCAGGCATCAGACATCTTATATTGATATTCAATTAATGACACCTCTTTTGATGTAATGCGTCATAAAATTCTAGTTTCTAAAGAAATAGAAGCTACATAGTAACAACAGAAATACATTGGAATTACAGGTCACTTTGTTTCCTTTCACAAAGAGAAGCAGTCTTCCCTGACCATGAAAGGAGGTTTCTTTTCTGGTCAATAAGAGACTTGTGCAAGAGAACCTCATTTTGAATTTTACCAAGTTAACTAGAAGGAACCAGATTAAGTTTTCACATTTGCAGAAAGTGATCAGAGATGGAAATTTACTTTAATTAATACAACAACTTACATTATACACATCTGATTTGTGGACAATGAAAAATATCCAAGTCTCTTTTAATTGATATGCTTTGTCTTTTATTTTTGACATTTTTTTAAAAAAAATCAAATTTCTTTTCTATGAAGTTTCTCACCGTCTGAATTTTATTAATGCAGCCCTAAGAATGTTGGATATGTTTTGTTTTCTCTGTATTTCCTAAATTGTTAATTAGATCTGGATATTGGATCAGATTCAGGTTGATATTATTTCCCAAATACACAGTCGCAATTGTGTACCTTTATAAGAAGAAATATAATGTTTAGTTTTGGTTTTTTAGTAGTCCAAATATTGCCTTATTGACATATTATATCCAAAAACTGAATACTGCATACACTTTTTCAATATACATGAAATATTTAACAAAATCAAACAAATGCTGAACCTTAGAGCAAATGTCAATACATTTTAAAGGATAGAATCATGCAGAGTGTATTGTAGAAAATATACTAGAAACCAACAATAGGAAGATATCTAAATATTCCTCAAATATTTAGAAATTCACTTTTAAATATTTAATAAGTCAAAGGAGAAATCAAATGGAAATGAGAAAATACATCAAACTAAATAATAACACAACATATCAAAACTGATGAATAAAACTAATAAAAGTGTTTAGAGGAAACTATATAGCATTAAGTGTACCTACTTAAAAAGATGGAAAATCACCTATTATTCCTGAGCTAAAAAAGAAAACAAATAGCAGAATCTAGACAAATATAAGTCAAAAAATAATAAAGAAACAAAAATGAATAAAATACAAAGCAAATGTATAACAAAAAATTAACACAACTTAGTTTGTTAGGTGAGAACACCCATAAAAATGATAAACCCCTAGCAAGTCTGCAGAGTTAGAAGCAATGCACAAATTTCCTCCACAAGCATATCACAATATATCTGAAAGATAGTAAAGAAGAATTATGAAATTTTTGTCCTGTATCATGTTAATGTATGCTAATATTGTATTTAGATAAAAATTGACATGTATTTTTTCTACTTTACAGAATAGTTTGCATAAAAGTGATTCTGGAGGTATGTACAAAAGTGTTTTTAATTACAGATTAAATTTTTAAAATACTTATATTACTAATCAGATTTTCTAAGTGGAACAAAAAGAAACCAGAAACCTGAAGAAATAATCAAAACATGTTTATCATAAGATATTTACCAAAGTAGAAATAAACAGAAAGACAGTTTCTTCATTTAATATGAGGTAGTTTTATTACACGCTGTTAGTTTTCCAAGGTTGCTATAACAAGGTACTACAAAATGAGTGGCTTCAAACAAAAACAAAATCTAATCCCTCATACTTCTTGACAATCAAAGTTGGAAATCAAGTTATCAGCAATACACTCCTTTTGAAGCCTCTGAGGAAAAAAAAGAAAAAAACTATTTCATACCTCTTTCTTAGCCTTTAGTAACTCATGCATATCATTTTTTTCTGACTTTCAAATATATTACTTTTATTGCTGCCTCAGATTTCACATGGCATTCTCATTGTGTTATTCCATGTCCAATTTTTTCTGTTCTTTTGTTACAGTATATATATTAGTGTTCACCTCAGTCCAATATTATATTACTTTGATTATATCTGCAAAGATTCTCTTCCAAAATAAGGTCACATTCAGTTACTGGAATTTAGGATTTTGACATCTTTGGGGGGAAAGACAATTAACTCCAAAATAATCTCAAAAGTAAAATATTGAAAAGGTTTCTCTCTAGATCAGAAATGAGGCAAAGGTGTCCATGATTTTGCTACTATTCAATAATTTATTGCATTTACAGTGCAATAAGGCAAAAAAGTAAATCAGTTGGATAAATATCAAAAAGAAAAAGCAATCAGTGTTAGGTTTTATGTACAATAGTTATGTACATATAAAATACAAAATAATTTATAAACTATTAGTGAATTAAGTAAAGCCATTAAGAACAGGTTAATATATAAAATAAATTATGTTTCTAAGTGGTTACAACAAAAATCAGAAAAACACATAAGGTTTAAGAGCCTAAAAAAGTTTTAACAAAAGAAATGTACAACTTTTTCATTAAAAAAATTCTGAAAAAAATTCTAAATGACCTCAGTATAAAATCATATATACTCCCTTCTCAATGACACTCAATATTTTAGAATATCTCTAAATTGATCCAAATAATGATAAAATGTCAAAGTTCCAGAGTATTTTTTTTTGCTCAAATACATAAGCTATTTTAAAATTTATAAATTCATAGCTAACAATATCCAAAAATTGGATGACACATCACCGTATATCAAGATTTATTTCTATTTAAACACATAGTATAGTAATTTATACCATATAATATTGGTGCAAAGACAAAGAAACTAGAAGGAAACATGCATGTTAGAAAGATAGGTACAGAAAAAATATTTTCTGTTACTTGCTCTGTAACAGAAAAAGCCACTCTAATACATTTGAAAAACAACTGCCTTTTAAATAAATTATGTTGAATTAATAGCCTATTTACAAAAAGATTTAAACCATGATATATTCGCACACTATGAACAAATATCGTATACTTACAAGAATCAAAAAAACAAAGATTCAAAAAGAGAAGATTTTTATGAAATTGGGATTAGTAAACATTTTCTAAAGAAAGATACAAAAGTAACAATTTTAAGATAAATAATAATTTAAATTATATTAAAATTACAATTTTTTTAGTCAAAGAAACACACAAATAAGTTAAGCCAGTGATGTAGTGGATAAAGATATTTCTTATACATGTATCTGACAAACAAAAACAAACTAATAAACAAAAACAGATGGGCAATTCAATAGAAAACCAGAAAAAAAATACTTCATAGAACAGGGCATCAAAATGTCCACAAGCAAATTAAAGATGGTCAACATTATCTGATAAATAAAATTTAAAGTCACAATGAGCCATTGCAACATGTCTATCAGAAAAAATAAAATTAAAGTCTGAGAGTACAACACAAATTTATACATAATGCACACACATATGTGTGCAGCAATAGAAACATCCATGGATATTTTTGAGAGCAACTTTTTAATATTTAAAATCTACAAACAATGCACATGAAAAATAAAACTAGTAAATAAAATATGGCACATTTTTAAAATAAAATACTATTAGGCAATGGAAAAGAACCAATCACAAGTATACACACAAATGAGTCTCAGACACATTTTAAGCAAAACAAGGCAGATGTAAATGAATGTATACTGTGTGATTCACATTATATAAAATGTAAAGAGAGAAAAACTACTCTATAGCAAAAAAAAGTTAAAAAGTAATGAATGTGTGGCTCAGGCCTGTAATCCCAGCACTTTGGGAGGCCGAGGTTGATGGATCACAGCATCAAGAGATCAAGACCATTCTGGCCAACATAGTGAGTGAAACCCCATGTCTACTAAAAACACAAAAATTAGCTGGGTGTTGTGGTCCATGCCTGTAGTCCCAGCTATTTGGGAGACTGAGGCAGGAGAATCACTTGAACCTGGGAGGCAGAGGTTGCAATGAGCTGAGATCGTGCCACTGAACTCCAGCCTGTAACTGAGGGAGACTCCATCTCAAAAAATAAAAACAAACAAAAAAAACCAAATAGTGGAATGTACAGTAGATATACAATAACTGTGAGTGGCCACAAAGGAGTTTCTTTGTGGTGATAATGTTGTGGTTAACATAGTGGTTCAAGAATGTTTTCATTTTGCAAAATTCATGGAGCTATAAATTGAAAAATGTTGCATTTTACACTATATATTATATTTCAATTAAAATGAAAATTATAATTAAATATTATACCTTAAAATATTCATAGGTGAGAGTAAATTTTAGGAGCATTAGAACAGAGGTAATATTACTGACAAATTTTGGTGTAAAAATGACTAACAAAATACTAGCAAACTGAATTCAATAAAACCTTACAAAGATCATTTATCATGACCAAATGATATCTATCCCAGGGATACAAATATATATATTTTTAATTATCTCTGTGTGGTTCCACAAACCTGTGGTCCCAACTGCTTGAGAGGCTGAGGTAGAAGAATCACTAGAAAACATGAGATCAAAGCTGCAGTGAGGAGTGGTTGCACCACTCCATTCCAGACTGAGTTGCAGAACAAGACCCTGCCTTCAGAAAACAAACCCAGCAACAACAAAAACAAAATAAAATGATGAAAAATAAACATGAATTCATAGAAATGGAGAAAAATGAAGACAAAGTAAAAGAAGTGAAGTGGGAAAAGAAAACTACATAAAATAAAATAAGGAATAATACAAAATAAAATATAATAATATATATCATTAATATAAAATATAGATACATAAATAAAAATAATGTAAAGTATAATGAAATATAAATTAAAATAACATAAAGAATAATAAAATAAAATAAATTAAATGTAAAGATAAATAACAAAACATCAAGGAATAAAGAGAAAGTTAAATATATCAAAAGAAATAAAATTAAATTAAAATATAAAATGAAAAATAAAAACAAGAGAGACAAAAAATAAAGGGAAATAAAATATTTTTATTAAAAGTACGAAATGATAAATAAAATGAAATGTGTAGATACAAAATAAAATAAAAAGAAAGTAAATGCAATGAAATGAGGAGAAATGGAACAAAATGAAGAGATGTATAAAGAAATACAAAATGACAAACAAAATGAAATAAAACAAAAGAAATATGAGAAAATAGAGAAAAATAACCCTACCATTTGACTCTGCAATCCAATATACCCACAGAAAAATAAATCATTATAGCAAAAAGACACATGCACACTCATATGTTCATCAAAATAGTATTCACAATAGCAAAGTCATGAAATCAGCTTTAGATGCCCATCAATGATAAACTGGATAAAGAGAATATACACTATGCACTATGACATCTTACACAGCCATAAAATTTATAAAATTATGTCCTTTGCAGCAACATGAATTGAGCCGAAATCACAATCCTAAGTAAATTAACACAGGAACAGAAAAATCAAATGTCGCATGGTCTTAGTTATAAGTGGGAGCTAAACACTGGACTGATATAAATATAAATATGGGAATAATCTGAACTGTAGACTACTAGTCAGGATAATGAGGAAGAATGGAATAAGGGGGAAAAATTACCTATCGGGTTCTATGCATAAATCTTTCCTGCAATATACCCAGGTAACAAACTTGCACATAGAACTCCTGTATCTAAAATAAAAATTTAAAAATAATTACATATTAGTGATGAATAATTTACATTATAGTATTGCTTTAAGAGAAGAATTCTAAAAAACAAAGAAATGAAAGAAAAACATTGAAAATACACTACCAGTAAAACTGAAAGAAATCGATTAAGAATTTAGGGTAAAATTATGAAATCTAAAGCTAATTATCTTAATTTTCTTTTGTTACCTGAGCAAAAAGAAAAATCTTTAATGGAAATCTACAATTGCATTTTAATTACCAATCTAGTGTTCAAAAAGTTCTGCAAGAATGTAATGCAACAAAAATCATTAATTCATCATAAAAATCTTCTATGCTTCAAGATGCAGTTGGTTTATTAAAAGACACTGCTAAAAATAAACAAAAATAAAACAGAGTAATAAGGCTGGTCACAGTGGCTCAGGCCTGTAATCCCAGGACTGTGGGAGACCTAAGTGGGTGTATCACATGAGGTCAGCAGTTGGAGACCAACCTGGCCAACATGCTGAAACCTCCTCTGTACTAAAAATACACAGATTAACCGGTGTGGTGTTGCGTGCCTGTAATCCCAGCTGCTTGGGAGGCTGAGGCAGGAGAATCACTTCAGCAGGTGTAGCAGAGGTTGCAGTGAACCGAGATCATACCACTGCAATCCAGCATGGGAGACAGGTGAGACTCTGTCTCAAAAAACAGATAACAACAAAAGAAGTAAGAAGAAAAATTAGCAGAAATAAAAATAGAAAAAAATACAATAAAGAGAAATATATGAAGAATAAATCAAATAAAGTAAAATAACATAAGAGGAAATGAGAAAAAGCAAACTGAAGTGAAATGAAAGGAGTGAAAATGTAATGAAGAGATCTGAAGATTCATGAAGAGAAATAAAATAAAAAGAAATAAGATGTAATATAAAAACAAATGAAGGGGGGGGGCCAAGATGGCCGAATAGGAACAGCTCTCATCTACAGCTCCCAGCGTGAGCGACGCAGAAGATGGGTGATTTCTGCATTTCCATCTGAGGTACCGGGTTCATCTCACTAGGGAGTGCCAGACAGTGGGCGCAGGCCAGTGGGTGGGCGCACTGGGCGCGAGCCGAAGCAGGGCGAGGCATTGCCTCACCTGGGAAGCCCAAGGGGTCAGGGAGTTCCCTTTCTGAGTCAAAGAAAGGGGTGACAGATGCACCTGGAAAATCGGGTCACTCCCACCCGAATATTGCGCTTTTCCGACGGGCTTAAAAAACGGAGCACCACGAGATATATCCCACCCCTGGCTCAGAGGGTCCTACACCCACGGAGTCTTGCTGATTGCTAGCACAGCAGTCTGAAAACAAACTGCAAGGCAGCAGCGAGGCTGGGGGAGGGGCGCCCGCCATTGCCCAGGCTTGCTTAGGTAAACAAAGCAGCCGGGAAGCTCCAACTGGGTGGAGCCCACCACAGCTCAAGGAGGCCTGCCTGCCTCTGTAGGCTCCACCTCTGGGGGCAGGGCACAGACAAACAAAAAGACAGCAGTAACCTCTGCAGACTTAAATGTCCCTGTCTGACAGCTTTGAAGACAGCAGTGGTTCTCCTAGCACGCAGCTGGAGATTTGAGAACGGGTGGACTGCCTCCTCAAGTGGGTCCCTGACCCCTGACCCCCGAGCAGCCTAACTGGGAGGCACCCCCCAGCAGGGGCACACTGACACCTCACACGGCAGGGTATTCCAACAGACCTGCAGCTGAGGGTGCTGTCTGTTAGAAGGAAAACTAACAAACAGAAAGGACATCCACACTGAAAACCCGTCTGTACATCACCATCATCAAAGACCAAAAGTAGATAAAACCACAAAGACAGGGAAAAAACAGAACAGAAAAACTGGAAACTCTAAAACGCAGAGTGCCTCTCCTCCTCCAAGAAACGCAGTTCCTCACCAGCAATGGAACAAAGCTGGATGGAGAATGACTTTGACGAGCTGAGAGAAGAAGGCTACAGACGATCAAATTACTCTGAGCTACGGGAGGACATTCAAACCAAAGGCAAAGAAGTTGAAAACTTTGAAAAAAATTTAGAAGAATGTGTAACTAGAATAACCAATACAGAGAAGTGCTTAAAGGAGCTGATAGAGCTGAAAACCAAGGCTCGAGAACTACATGAAGAATGCAGAAGCCTCAGGAGCCGATGCGATCAACTGGAAGAAAGGGTATCAGCAATGGAAGATGAAATGAATGATATGAAGCGAGAAGGGAAGGTTAGAGAAAAAAGAATAAAAAGAAATGAGCAAAGCCTCCAAGAAATATGGGACTATGTGAAAAGACCAAATCTACGTCTGATTGGTGTACCTGAAAGTGATGCGGAGAATGGAACCAAGTTGGAAAACACTCTACAGGATATTATCCAGGAGAACTTCCCCAATCTAGCAAAGCAGGCCAACGTTCAGATTCAGGAAATACAGAGAACGCCACAAAGATACTCCTCGAGAAGAGCAACTCCAAGACACATAATTCTCAGATTCACCAAAGTTGAAATGAAGGAAAAAATGTTAAGGGCAGCCAGAGAGAAAGGTTGGGTTACCCTCAAAGGGAAGCCCATCAGACTAACAGCGGATCTCTCGGCAGAAACCCTACAAGCCAGAAGAGAGTGGGGACCAATATTCAACATTCTTAAAGAAAAGAATTTTCAACCCAGAATTTCATATCCAGCCAAACTAAGCTTCATAAGTGAAGGAGAAATAAAATACTTTACAGACAAGCAAATGCTGAGAGATTTTGTCACCACCAGGCCTGCCCTAAAAGAGCTCCTGAAGGAAGCGCTAAACATGGAAAGGAACAACCAGTACCAGCCGCTGCAAAATCATGCCAAAATGTAAAGACCATCAAGACCAGGAAGAAACTGCATCAACTAACGACAAAATCACCAGCTAACAACATAATGACAGGATCAAATTCACACATAACAATATTAACTTTAAATGTAAATGGACTAAATGCTCCAATTAAAAGACACAGACTGGCAAGTTGGATAAAGAGTCAAGACCCATCAGTGTGCTGTATTCAGGAAACCCATCTCACGTGCAGAGACACACATAGGCTCAAAATAAAAGGATGGAGGAAGATCTACCAAGCCAATGGAAAACAAAAAAAGGCAGGGGTTGCAATCCTAGTCTCTGATAAAACAGACTTTAAACCAACAAACATCAAAAGAGACAAAGAAGGCCATTACATAATGGTAAAGGGATCAATTAAACAAGAGGAGCTAACTATCCTAAATATATATGCACCCAATACAGGAGCACCCAGATTCATAAAGCAAGTCCTGAGTGACCTATAAAGAGACTTAGACTCCCACACATTAATAATGGGAGACTTTAACACCCCACTGTCAACATTAGACAGATCAATGAGACAGAAAGTCCACAAGGATACCCAGGAATTGAACTCAGCTCTGTACCAAGTGGACCTAATAGACATCTACAGAACTCTCCACCCCAAATCAACAGAATATACATTTTTTTCAGCACCACACCACACCTATTCCAAAACTGACCACATACTGGGAAGTAAAGCTCTCCTCAGCAGATGTAAAAGAACACAAATTATAACAAACTATCTCTCAGACCACAGTGCAATCAAACTAGAACTCAGGATTAAGAATCTCACTCAAAGCCACTCAACTACATGGAAACTGAACAACTTGCTCCTGAATGACTACTGGGTACATAATGAAATGAAGGCAGAAATAAAGATGTTCTTTGAAACAAACGAGAACAAAGACACAACATACCAGAATCTCTGGGACACATTCAAAGCAGTGTGTAGAGGAAAATTTATAGCACTGAATGCCCACAAGAGAAAGCAGGAAAGATCCAAAATTGACACCCTAACATCACAATTAAAATAACTAGAAAAGCAAGAGCAAACACATTCAAAAGCTAGCAGAAGGCAAGAAATAACTAAAATCAGAGCAGAACTGAAGGAAATAGAGACACAAAAAACCCTTCAAAAAATCAATGAATCCAGGAGCTGGTTTTCTGAAAGGATCAACAAAATTGATAGGCCACTAGCAAGACTAATAAAGAAAAAAAGAGAGAAGAATCAAATAGACACAATAAAAAATGACAAAGGGGATATCACCACTGATCCCACAGAAATACAAACTACCATCAGAGAATACTACAAACAACTCTACGCAAATAAACTAGAAAATCTAGAAGAAATGGATACATTCCTCAACACATACACTCTCCCAAGACTAAACCAGGAAGAAGTTGAATCTCTGAATAGACCAATAACAGGAGCTGAAATTGGGGCAATAATCAATAGTTTACCAACCAAAAAGAGTCCAGGACCAGATGGATTCACAGCCGAATTCTACCAGAGGTACAAGGAGGAACTGGTACCATTCCTTCTGAAACTATTCCAATCAATAGAAAAAGAGGGAATCCTCCCTAACTCATTTTATGAGGCCAGCATCATTCTGATACCAAAGCCGGGCAGAGACACAACCAAAAAAGAGAATTTTAGACCAATATCCTTGATGAACATTGATGCAAAAATCCTCAATAAAATACTGGCAAAACGAATCCAGCAGCACATCAAAAAGCTTATCCACCATGATCAAGTGGGCTTCATCCCTGGGATGCAAGGCTGGTTCAATATATGCAAATCAATAAATGTAATCCGGCATATAAACAGAGCCAAAGACAAAAACCACATGATTATCTCAACAGATGCAGAAAAAGCCTTTGACAAAATTCAACAACCCTTCATGTTAAAAACTCTCAAAAAATTAGGTATTGATGGGACGTATTTCAAAATAATAAGAGCTATCTATGACAAACCCACAGCCAATATCATACTGAATGGGCAAAAACTGGAAGCATTCCCTTTGAAAACTGGCACAAGACAGGGATGCCCTCACTCACCGCTCCTATTCAACATAGTGTTGGAAGTTCTGGCCAGGGCAATCAGGCAAGAGAAGGAAATAAAGGGTATTCAATTAGGAAAAGAGGAAGTCAAATTGTCCCTGTTTGCAGATGACATGACTGTTTATCTAGAAAACCCCATTGTCTCAGCCCAAAATCTCCTTAAGCTGATAAGCAAATTCAGCAAAATCTCAGGATACAAAATCAATGTACAAAAATCACAAGCATTCTTATACACCAGCAACAGACAAAAAGAGAGCCAAATCATGAGTGAACTCCCATTCACAATTGCTTCAAAGAGAATAAAATACCTAGGAATCCAACTTACAAGGGATGTGAAGGACCTCTTCAAGGAGAACTACAAACCACTGCTCAAGGAAATAAAAGAGGATACAAACAAATGGAAGAACATTCCATGCTCATGGGTAGGAAGAATCAATATCGTGAAAATGGCCATACTGCCCAAGGTAATTTACAGATTCAATGCCATCCCCATCAAACTACCAATGACTTTCTTCACAGAATTGGAAAAAACTACTTTAAAGTTCATATGGAACCAAAAACGAGCCCACATCGCCAAGTCAATCCTAAGCCAAAAGAACAAAGCTGAAGGCATCACACTACCTGACTTCAAACTATATTACAAGGCTACAGTAACCAAAACAGCATGGTACTTGTACCAAAACAGAGATATAGATCAATGGAACAGAACAGAGCCCTCAGAAATAATGCCGCATATCTACAAGTATCTGATCTTTGACCAACCTGAGAAAAACAAGCAATGGGGAAAGGATTCCCTGTTTAATAAATGGTGCTGGGAAAACTGGCTAGCCATATGTAGAAAGCTGAAAATGGATCCCTTCCTTACACCTTATACAAAAATCAATTCAAGATGGATTAAAGATTTAAACGTTAGACCTAAAACCATAAAAACCCTAGAAGAAAACCTAGGCATTACCATTCAGGACATAGGCATGGGCAAGGACTTCATGTCCAAAACACCAAAAGCAATGGCAACAAAAGCCAAAATTGACAAATTGGATCTAATTAAACTAAAGAGCTTATGCACAGCAAAAGAAACTACCATCAGAGTGAACAGGCAACCTACAACGTGGGAGAAAATTTTCGCAACCTACTCATCTGACAAAGGACTAATATCCAGAATCTACAATGAACTCAAACAAATTTGCAAGAAAAAAACAAACAACCCCATCAAAAAGTGGGTGAAGGACATGAACAGACACTTCTCAAAAGAAGACATTTATGCAGCCAAAAAACACATGAAAAAATGCTCATCATCACTGGCCATCAGAGAAATGCAAATCAAAACCACTATGAGATATCATCTCACACCAGTTAGAGTGGCAATCATTAAAAAGTCAGGAAACAACAGGTGCTGGAGAGGATGTGGAGAAATAGGAACACTTTTACACTGTTTGTGGGACTGTAAACTAGTTCAACCATTGTGGAAGTCAGTGTGGTGATTCCTCAGGGATCTAGAACTAGAAATACCATTTGACCCAGCCATCCCATTACTGGGTATATACCCAAAGGACTATAAATCATGCTGCTATAAAGACACATGCACACGTATGTTTATTGCGGCATTATTCACAATAGCAAAGACTTGGAACCAACCCAAATGTCCAACAATGATAGACTGGATTAAGAAAATGTGGCAGATATACACCATGGAATACTATGCAGCCATAAAAATGATGAGTTCATGTCCTTTGTAGGGACATGGATGAAATTGGAAATCATCATTTTCAGTAAACTATCGCAAGAACAAAAAACCAAACACCGCATATTCTCACTCATAGGTGGGAATTGAACAATGAGATCACGTGGACACATGAAGGGGAATATCACACTCTGGGGACTGTGGTGGGGTGGGGGGAGCGGGGAGGGATAGCATTGGGAGATATACCTAAGGCTAGATGACGAGTTAGTGGGTGTATCGCACCAGCATGGCACATGTATACATATGTAACTAACCTGCACAATGTGCACATGTACCCTAAAACTTAAAGTATAATAAAAAAAAAAAATGAAGAGATATAAAGTCAACTGAAAAGAAATAACAGAAATAATGTCAAACTACGTAAAATTAAAAACTAAAAGGGAAATAAAAAAGTAACTAAATAAAATGAAAGTGAGTACACTGATAGAGAAATGAACAGAAAAAATAGAAATATAAAATAATAATAGCTATGTCTGTAATTCCAACACTTTCAGAGGCTGTAATTTTAGCTACTTGAGAAAGTGAGATAGAGAAACTGACACAGAAGAAAAATGAGCTTGAAAAATGGAGGCTGCACTAAGTTTCAATTGCACTGATACACTCCAGCCAAGATAACAGAGTAAGGCCTTGTCTCAAACAGTACAAATAAAATAAAATAACACAAAAAGAACTAAACAAATAAATAAAAACGAATACAAAAGAAGTGAAAAAAAAGAAAATGAAAAAATAAAATAATATAAAATAGTAAAAATAAATTACATAAAATTAGCAAAAACAAGATGAAATAAAAAGAAGTTAAAAAACAAAAGCAAGAAATGATAATTATTAAAATAATTAAATTAAAATTTTAAAATAAGGCAATACAAGAAAATTAACAATAAACAAAATAAAATAAATAAAGCAAAATAAAATAAAATGAAATAGAATAAAAATAGGAACTAAAAAACTTTACAAACTATTATAAAACAAGAAAAATAAATATAAAATAATAATAAATAAGAAATACAAAAATATATAAAAATAAGAAAAAGTAAAAAAATTAATGTTATGAAAAAATAAGATATATGGAGAATGTAATATAGAAATTAAGAAGAAAATTAAATTGAATCAAGGCAAAGAAAATAAAAAATTCATTAAAAGAATAAGTAATTTAATAAAAAATATAAAAATAAATATAATTTTAAAAACAATATAGTTCCATAAGAAATACATAGAATAATAAAATATGAAAAAATTAAAATAAAGGAAAAAAGAAATTTAAAAATAAATAAAAATAAGATAATAAAGTAACATTAAAATAAAATAAATAGAAATAAAAGTCCAAAATGTAGATATAAAATTCATAAAAAATAGAATGTAGCGAGGGAAACAAAATAAAACAGAACTAAAAAAAAAAAAAAAAGGAACAGCAACTTGGCCACGGTGGCTCACATATGTAATCCCAGCACTTTGGGAGGGGGAAGCAGGTAGATCATGATGTCAGGAGTTTGAGAACAGCCTGACCAACATGGTGAAACCCCGTCTCCACTAAAAATATGAAAATTACCTGGGTGTGGTGGCACATGCCTGTAATCCCAGCCACTCAGGAGGCTGAGGCAGGAGAATTGCTTGAACCCAGGATGCAGAGGTTGCAGTTAGCTGAGATCTAGCCACTGTACTCCAACCTAAGTGACAAAGCAAAAAAAAAAAAAAAGAAAAAAGTAACACCAAATTAAAACAAAGAAAATTAGACAAAATTTAAAATGAAATAAAAATAAATAAAATTCAAAAAAATAAGCAAAATATATATAAATGAATTTTAAATAAAATTTATAAAATTGAAATAAAATTAAGGAAAATTTCAATAAAATAGAATGTGAATTTAAAATCATTATATAATAAATTTAAAATAAAAATGTAAACAAAAAGAAAAATGAAAATAATATAAAGGAAATGAAATGAGAGAAACAATTATGGTAATATAAAGAAAAATAAAATTTAAAAGGCAGTCAGCAGAAAAAATAAAATTAAAAAATAAGAAATTAAATAGTAAAAAATTAAAACCTAAAATAAACAAAACAGTATAAAAAACAAACAAAATAAAACTACAGTAAAGAGAAATACATTAATACAATAAAATAGAGATAAAAAGAAAAATCATTAATATAAAATATAATACAATAAAATTAATTGAAGATAATACATGGAAATAAAAAGAAATGGGAATTATAAGCTATAAAGACAATATAAATAAAATAAATAATGGAAAGTATTTTACCAAAAGAAACTAAAATCCTGCATAGATAAAAAGAAGATGGTAAATATAAAATTATAATATAAATGAAAATAAAGTAAAATAAAGAAAAATAGAATGAACAGCAGTGAAATACAAAAGGTGAAAGCAAATAGAAATAAAATAATAAAATATATCTAAATTTAAGAAATGGAGAAAGACTAAAGTAAAATTTAGAATAAAGATCACATAAAAAATGGAAAATATTCATGAAATTAAAAGTAGAAAGAAATGATATGAGAGCAACAAATATAACAAATATAAAAAAACAAAAACATTAATAAAACATAAGAGAAATAAAAAGAAAAGAAAAATGAGGTTAATTTTATTATATAAAAATCAAGATAATTTTTTAAATGATACAATAACACGAAATAATGTGAAAAAATAAAATGACTGATGTTGAATACATCACTAATACAGACATGGTGATCATAAAAAAATAAAATGAAGACAAAGGAAAATCTGTAATAACAAGAAAGAAGTAGATATAATAGAAAACACAGCATTATTATAAAATAAAAAATAAATTATAATAAAATAACTTGGAGTAAAAAAACAAAACTATGTAAACAGGACATTAAATAGAAAAGCAGTAATTGCTAATAAAATAATTTCACATTAAAAGAAATAGAACAAAATAAAATGAAGTAAAATAAAGAGAAGTGAAATGAAAAGAAGTAAATTACAGAGAAATGAATACACTTTTCTGCTGAGTATTAAAAATAAATAAAATAAAATGCTGAGAAATAATACAGCAAAAATGTAAAATGAGGAGGAGAAATAACATAAACCTGAAGAGAAAAAAAAACTGAAAAGAAGAAATAAAATGAAATGAAACAATTAAAAAAAGCTGTTATTTGCCTAAAGGTGCTATGGTGGAGATTCTGATTGTTGGGCCTGGCAGTGTTTGAAATTGAAAGACCTTTCTTTAAAATTTTTTTTTTCTGTTTTTGGTTTTCTTTCTGTCTTTCTTTCTTTTCTTTCAATTTTGAAGATGCATTTCTGTATGCCCTGTTAACAAAATTTGAGACATACTCTTCTCATTCTTGCACGTTTGACTAAGCCTTTTTCATGGTCTCTGGTCTTGCTGTTTGTAAAGGTCATGGCTGACATTTGAAACCATTATACTTCTCAGTGGAGTTTCGTTTGTTTTCAGATGCAGTTCTAGCTTTTTACTGACTTGTGACTTGCAGGCTGGAATTATGGCCTTTTAGCCTTTTATGGTTCATAGAGTACCAGAGTTCTGAGAATAAAAGTATTGGACATGAAATACAAATTCTGCCCTGAAAAAGTCACCTCATAAAGTTATCTCAGTGAGTTGCCCTAACAGCTTTTCTAGGGAACCCTATGGTAACTGCAGTCATGTGTCCAGCATAAGGATAGGTAGAGGAATAAGTGATTGCTATGACATGACAGATTTGTAACTTCACCGAAGCAAGGAGCAGCACTACCTCTGGCATTTACTATTTCCTCTTTGGTCTCAAGAAGAGACCTCCAGTAAACACCAGTAGAAAGAATCTGAGCCCAATTCTGAGGGTTTGATGTTGGCTTTATGTGTCTATTTTCCATTGACATTGTTTGCATAAAGGATAATGTAAACCATCCCACTGAGTTTCGGTGGGGTGAATTTATATTGCTACTTTCTGAAATAGAAAAAAAAGATGCTCCAGGATAGTCAGTGAATATTCTGACCAGAAAAATTCTCTTACCAAATATCAGTAATCTGTGTCATTTGTCAAGTAAAACATAAGTGACTTCTTTGTTAACTATCCTTCCTGTGGATTCAAGGTAAGTAAAAGAGAGATTGAGTGGCTACTTTAAAAAGGAAGAGCACTGGGATGTGCTTGCATTAGTGTATTCTGACTTCCATTATAAATCATCATTCTATTGGAAGACTTACCCAACGGAATTCTTTTTATAATGCTGGAGAAAAGGGAAGAAGAATTATAATGTTGACTGGTTTTGTTTCTTTGTGAGATGTCTCTCAAATTTGAGGTGGCAGCATACTTGCTGTGTCTTTAAATGGCTATTCCTCTTCTTTTGTTGTTTGAATCTTCTTCTTCTATTCTCAAAGATTGCAGTAGTGTTGGGTTAGGTCTCATCCATATGACATCATTTTGCTTTAATTCCCTGAGATCTATCAGTAAACAAAGTAACATTCAGTGATTCCAGGTTGACAAAAAAAAAATTGGTAGAAAACACAATTTAGCTCATACCATGTTTCTGTTTTCCTGCATACTTAGTAGTTCTATATCATTGTCTCTATTTTAGCAGACATCACTACATCAAAAGCTTCTGCTTAACCAAAAATGCAGGTGTTAATGAAAGTGATCTGATTCTTGTCAAATGTATTTATAATAATATCTCCTGCTAATTCAGGAAACTCTCCACAAGAATACTGAATTAAAAACAGTTTTAATATTAAATAAGAAACAAATCATAACAGGACTCACATCACTGGTAATGCATTATTGAAATGAAAAAGTACATTTATGATGTCAATAGACAGTAATAAGAAAGTACCGGCCACGCGCGGTTGTTCACGCCTGTATTCCCAGCACTTTGGGAGAATGAGGTGGGTGGATCACAAGGTCAGGAGATCAAGACCATCCTGGCTAATGCAGTGAAACCCATCTCTACCAAAAATATATATACATATATATGTGTATATATATATATATATATATATATATATATATACATATACACATATATGTATATATGTAAAAATTAATATCTGAGTGTGGTGGGACACGCCTGTAGTTCCAGTTACTCAAGAGGCTGAGGCAGGAGAATCACTTGAATCCAGGAGGTGGAGTTTGCGGTGAGCCGTGATCATGCCAATGCACTCCAGCCTGGGTGACAGAGTGAGTATCCATCTCAAAAAGAAAGAGAAAAAGAGAAGGGAAGGGAAGAAAACAAATATTTTTAAGGTAAAAACCACTGGTTTTCAAATAAGTAGTCCTCACAAGGAAGTTTCTCACATGGAGTTTAGTTTCTATTATCCTGGTATTGAGAGGTGACAACGTGCTGGCTGCCCTTGCTCACTCTCAGCACCTCCTTGGCCTCAGTGTCTGCTCTGGCCATGCTTGAGGAGCACTTCAGCCAACCGCTGCACTGTGGGAGCCCCTCTCTGGGCTGGTTGAGGCTGGAGCCAGCTCCCTCAGCTTGCAGGGAGATGTGGAGGGAGAGGCATGGGTGGGAATCAGGGCTGTGCGCAATAAACATATATGTGCATGTGTCTTTATAGCAGCATGATTTATAGTCCTTTGGGTATATACCCAGTAATGAGATGGCTGGGTCAAATGGTATTTCTAGTTCTAGATCCCTGAGGAATTGCCACATTGACTTCCACAATGGTTGAACTAGTTTACAGTCCCACCAATAGTGTAAAAGTGTGCCTATTTCTCCACATCCTCTCCAGTACCTGTTGTTTCCTGACTTTTTAATGATTGCCATTCTAACTGGTGTGAAATGGTATCTCATTGTGGTTTTGATTTGCATTTCTCTGATGGCCAGTGATGGTGAGCATTTTTTCATGTGTCTGTTGGCTGCATAAATGTCTTCTTTTGAGAAGTGTCTGTTCTTGTCCTTTGCCCACTTTTTGTTGGGGTTGTTTGTTTTTTTTCTTGTAAATTTGTTTGAGTTCATTGTAGATTCTGGATATTAGCCCTTTGTCAGATGAGTAGGTTGTGAAAATTTTCTCCCATGTTGTAGGTTGCCTGTTCACTCTGATGGTAGTTTCTTTTGCTGTGCAGAAGCTTTTTAGTTTAATTTGATCCCATTTTCAATTTTGGCTTTTGTTGCCATTGCTTTTGGTGTTTTAGACATGAAGTCCTTGCCCATGCCTATGCCCTGAATGGTAATGCCTATGTTTTCTTTTAGGGTTTTTAAGGTTTTAGGTCTAACATTGAAGTCTTTAATCCATCTTGAATTAATTTTTGTATAAGGTGTAAGGAAGAGATCCAGTTTCAGCTTTCTACATATGGCTGGCTATTTTCCCAGCACCATTTATTAAATAGGGAATCCTTTCCCCATTGCTTGTTTTTCTCAGGTTGGTCAAAGATCAGATACTTGTAGATATGTGGCATTATTTCTGAGGACTCTGTTCTGTTCCATTGATCTATATCTCTGTTTTGGTACCAGTACCATGCTGTTTTGGTTACCGTAGCATTGTAGTATACTTTGAAGTCAGGCAGCCGGATGCCTCCAGCTTTGTTCTTTGGGCTTAGGATTGACTTGGTGATGTGGGCTCGTTTTTGTTCCATATGAACTTTAAAGTAGTTTTTTCCAATTCTGTGAAGAAAGTCATTGGTAGCTTGATGAGGATGGCATTGAATCTATAAATTACCTTGGGCAGTATGGCCATTTTCACGACATTGATTCTTCCTACCCATGAGCATGGAATGTTCTTTCATTTCCTTTTTTTTATTTTTTTATTTTATTATTATTATACTTTAAGTTTTAGAGTACATGTGCACAATGTGCAGGTTAGTTACATATGTATACATGTGCCATGCTGGTGTGCTGCACCAATTAACTCGTCGTTTAGCATTAGGTATATCGCCTAAAGCTATCCCTCCCCCCTCTTCCCACCCCACAACAGTTCCCACAGTGTGATGTTCCCCTTCCTGTGTCCATGTGTTCTCATTGTTCAATTCCCACCTATGAGTGAGAATATGTGGTCTTCGGTTTTTTGTTCTTGCGATAGTTTACAGAGAATGATGATTTCCAATTTCATCCGTGTCCCTGCAAAGGACATGAACTCATCAGTTCTTATGGCTGCATACTATTCCATGGTGTATATGTGCCACATTTTCTTAATCCAGTCTATTATTGTTGGACATTTGGGTTGGTTCCAAGTCTTTGCTATTGTGAATAGTGCCGCAGTAAACATATGTGTGCAAGTGTCTTTATAGCAGAATGACTTATAGTCCTTTGGGTATATACCCAGTAATGGGATGGCTGGGTCAAATGGTATTTCTAGTTCTAGATACCTGAGGAATCGCCACACTGACTTCCACAACGGTTGAACTAGTTTACAGTCCCACCAACAGTGTAAAAGTGTTCCTATTTCTCCACATCCTCTCCAGCACCTGTTGTTTCCTGACTTTTTAATGATTGCCATTCTAACTGGTGTGAGATGGTATCTCATTGTGGTTTTGATTTGCATTGATCTGATGGCCAGTGATGGTGAGCATTTTTTCATGTGTTTTTTGGCTGCATAAATGTCTTCTTTTGAGAAGTGTCTGTTCATATCCTTCACCCACTTTTTGATTGGGTTGTTTGTTTTTTTCTTGTAAATTTGTTTGAGTTCATTGTAGATTCTGGATATTAGCCCTTTGTCAGATGAGTAAGTTGAGAAAACTTTCTCCCATTTTGTAGGTTGCCTGTTCACTCTGATGGTAGTTTCTTTTGCTGTCCAGAAGCTGTTTAGTTTAATTAGATCCCATTTGTCAATTTTGGCTTTTGTTGCCATTGCTTTTGGTGTTTTAGACATGAAGTCCTTGCCCACGCCTATGTCCTGAATGGTAATGCCTATGTTTTCTTCTAGGGTTTTTAAGGTTTTAGGTCTAACATTGAAGTCTTTAATCCATCTTGAATTAATTTTTGTATAAGATGTAAGGAAGAGATCCAGTTTCAGCTTTCTACATATGGCTAGCCAATTTTCCCAGCACCATTTATTAAATAGGGAATCCTTTCCCTATTGCTTGTTTTTCTCAGGTTGGTCAAAGATCAGATAGTTGTAGACATGTGGCATTATTTCTGAGGGCTCTGTTCTGTTCCATTGATCTATATCTCTGTTTTGGTATCAGTACCATGCTGTTTTGGTTACTGTAGCCTTGTAGTATAGTTTGAAGTCAGGTAGCATGATGCCTCCAGCTTTGTTCTTTTGGCTTAGGATTGACTTGGCAATGTGGGCTCTTTTTTGGTTCCATATGAACTTTAAAGTAGTTTTTCCAATTCTGTGAAGAAAGTCATTGTTAGCTTGATGGGGATGGCATTTAATCTTTAAATTACCTTAAGCAGTATGCCCATTTTCATGATATTGATTCTTCCTACCCATGAGCATGGAATGTTCTTCCGTTTGTTTGTATCCTCTTTTATTTTATTGAGCAGTGGTTTGTTGTTCTTGAAGAGGTCCTTCATGTCCCTTGTAAGTTGGATTCCTAGGTATCTTATTCTCTTTGAAGAAATTGTGAATGGGAGTTCACTCATGATTTGGCTCTATGTTTGTCTGTTATTGTTGTATAAGAATGCTTCTGAGTTTTGTACATTGATTTTGTATCCTAAGATTTTGCTGAGGTTGCGTATTCTAGGTATTTTATTCTCTTTGAAGCAATTGTGAATGGGAGTTCACTCATTATTTGGCTCTCTGTCTGTTATTGGTGTATAAGAATGCTTCTGAGTTTTGTACATTGATTTTGTATCCTGAGACTTTGCTGAAGTTGCTTATCAGCTTAGGGAGATTTTGGTCTGAGACCCTGGAGTTTTCTAGATATACAATCATAACGTCTGCAAACAGGGACAATTTGACTTCCTCTTTTCCTAATTGAATACCCTTTATTTCCTTCTCCTGCCTAATTGCCCTGGCCAGAACTTCCAACACTATGTTGAATAGGAGCGGTGAAAGAGGGCATCCCTGTCTTGTGCCAGTTTTCAAAGGGAATGCTTCCAGTTTTTGCCCATTCAGTATGATATTGGCTGTGGGTTTGTCAGAGATAGCTCTTATTATTTTGAGATACGTCCCATCAATACCTAATTTACTGAGAGTTTTTTGCATGAAGGGCTGTTGAATTTTGTCAAAGGCCTTTTCTGCAACTATTGAGATAATCATGAGGTTTTTGTCTTTGGTTCTGTTTATATGCTAGATTACATTTATTGATTTGCATTTATTGAACAAGCCTTGCATTCCAGGGATGAAGCCCACTTGATCAGAGTGGATAAGCTTTTTGATGTGCTTCTGGATTCAGTTTGCCAGTATTTTATTGAGGATTTTTGCATCAATGTTCATCAAGGATATTGGTCTAAAATTCTCTTTTTTGGTTGTGTCTCTGCCCAGCTTTCATATCAGGATGATGCTGGCCTCATAAAATGAGTTAGGGAGGATTCCCTGTTTTTCTATTGATTGGAATAATTTTAGAAGGAATGATACCAGTTCCTTCTTGTACCTCTGGTAGAATTCGGCTGTGAATCCATCTGGTCCTGGAGTCTTTTTGGTAGGTAAGTTACTGATTATTGCTACAATTTCAGAACATGTTATATGTCTGTTCAGAGAGCCAACTTCTTCCTGTTTTAGTCTTGGAGGGTGTATGTGTCGAGGAATTTATTCATTTCTTCTAGATTTTCTAGTTTATTTGCGTAGATGTGTTTGTAGTATTCTCTGATGGTAGTTTGTATTTCTGTGGGATCGGTGATGATATCCCCTTTGTCATTTTTTATTGCGTCTTTTGATTCTTCTCTCTTTTCTTCTTTATTAGTCTTGTTTGCGGTCTATCAATTTTATTGATCATTTCAAAAAACCAGCTCCTGCATTCATTAATTTTTGAAGGGCTCTTTGTGTCTCTATTTCCTTCAGTTCTGCTCTGATTTTAGTTATTTCTTGCCTTCTGCTAGCTTTTGAATGTGTTTGCTCTGGCTTTTCTAGTTATTTTAATTGTGATGTTAGGGTGTCAATTTTGGATCTTTCCTGCTTTGTCTTGCAGGCATTTAGTGCTGTAAATTTCCCTCTACACACTGCTTTGAATGTTTCCCAAAGATTCTGGTATGCTGTGTCTTTGTTCTCATTGGTTTCAAAGAACATCTTTATTTCTGCCTTCATTTCGTTATGTATCCAGTAGTCATTCAGGAGCAGGTTGTTCAGTTTCCATGTATTTGAGTGGTTTTGAGTGAGTTTCTTAATCCTGAGTTCTAGTTTGATTGCACTGTAGTCTGAGAGACAGTTTGTCATCATTTCTGATCTTTTACATTTGCTGAGGAGAGCTTTACTTCCAATTATGTGGTCAGTTTTGGAATAGGTGTGGTGTGGTGCTGAAAAAAATGTATATTCTGTTGATTTGGGGTGGAGAGTTCTGTAGATGTCTATTAAGTCCACTTGCTGCAGAGCTGAGTTCAATTCCTCGGTATCATTGTCAACTTTCTGTCTCATTGATCTGTCTAATGTTGACAGTGGGGTGTTAAAGTCTCCCACTATTATTGTGTGGGAGTCTAAGTCTCTTTGTAGGTCACTCAGGACTTGCTTTATGAATCTGGATGCTCCTGTATTGTGTGCATATATATTTAGGATAGTTAGCTCTTCTTGTTGAATTGATTCCTTTACCATTATATCATGGCCTTCTTTGTCTCTTTTGATCTTTGTTGGTTTAAAGTCTGTTTTATCAGAAACTAGGAATGCAACCCCTGCCTTTTTTTTTCCATTTGCTTGGTAGATATTCCTCCACCCTTTTATTTTGAGCCTATGTGTGTCTCTGCACATGAGATGGGTTTCCTGAATACAGCACACTGATGGGTCTTGCCTCTTTATCCAATTTGCCAGCCTGTGTCTTTTAATTGGAGCATTTAGTCCATTTACATTTAAAGTTAATATTGTTATGTGTGAATTTGATCCTGTCATTATGATGTTAGCTGGTTATTTTGCTCATTAGTTGATGCAGTTTCTTCCTAGCCTTGATGGTTTTTACAATTTGGCATGATTTTGCAGTGGCTGGTACTGGTTGTTCCTTTCCATATTTAGTGCTTCCTTCAGGAGCTCTTTTAGGGCAGGCCTGGTGGTGACAAAATCTCTCAGCATTTGCTTGTCTGTAATGGATTTTATTTCTCCTTCACTTATGGAGCTTAGTTTGGCTGGATATGAAATTCTGGTTTGAAATTCTTTTAAGAATGTTGAATATCGGTGCCCCCTCTCTTCTGGCTTGTAGAGTTTCTGCCAAGCAATCAGCTGTTAGTCTGATTGGCTTCCCTTTGTGGGTAACCTGACCTTTCTCTCTGGCTGCCCTTAACATTTTTTCCTTCATTTCAACTTTGGTGAATCTGACAATTATGTGTCTTGGAGTTTCTCTTCTCGAGGAGTATCTTTGTGGCGTTCTCTGTATTTCCTGAATCTGAATGTTGGCCTGCTTTGCTAGATTGGAGAAGTTCTCCTGGATAATATCCTGCAGAGTGTTTTCCAAGTTGGTTCCATTTTCCCCGTCACTTTCAGGTTCACCAATCAGATGTAGATTTGGTCTTTTCACATAGTCCCATATTTCTTGGAGGCTTTGTTCATTTCTTTTTATTCTTTTTTCTCTAAACTTCCCTTCTCACTTTATTTCATTGATTTCATCCTCCATCACTGATACCCTTTCTTCCAGTTGATCTCATTGGCTCCTGAGGCTTCTGCATTCTTCAAGAAGTTCTTGAGCCTTGGCTTTAAGCTCCATCAGCTCCTTTAAGCACTTCTCTGTATTGGTTATTCTAGTTATACATTCTTCTAAATTTTTTTCAAAGTTTTCAACTTCTTTGCCTTTGGTTTGAATTTCCTCCTGTAGCTCAGAGTAGTTTGATCGTCTGAAGCCTTCTTCTCTCAGCTCGTCAAAGTCATTCTCCATCCATCTTTGTTCCGTTGCTGGTGAGGAGCTGCATTCCTTTGGAGGAGGAGAGGAGCTCTGCTTTTTAGAGTTTCCAGTTTTTCTGCTCTGTTTTTTCCCTATCTTTGTGGTTTTATCTACTTTCGATCTTTGATGATGGTGATGTACAGATGGGTTTTTGGTGTGGGTGTCCTTTCTGTTTGTTAGTTTTCCTTCTAACAGACAGGACCCTCAGCTGCAGGTCAGTTGGAGTTTGCTAGAGGTCCACTCCAGACCCTGTTTGCCTGGGTATCAGCAGCGGTGGCTGCAGAACAGCAGATTTTCGTGAACTGGGAATGCTGCTGTCTGATCTTCCTCTGTAAGTTTTGTCTCAGAGGAGTACCTGGCCCTGTGATGTGTCAGTCTGCCCCTACTAGGGGGTGCCTCCCAATTAGGCTGCTCGGAGGTCAGGGGTCAGGGACCCACTTGAGGAGGCAGTCTGCCTGTTCTCAGATCTCCAGCTGCGTGCTGGGAGAACCACTGCTCTCTTCAAAGCTGTCAGACAGGGATATTTAAGTCTGCACAGGTTACTACTGTCTTTTTGTTTGTCTGTGCCCTGCCCCCAGAGGTGGAGCCTACAGAGGCAGGCAGGCCTCCTTGAGCTGTGGTGGGCTCCACCAAATTCCAGCTTCCCGGTTGCTTTGATTACCTAAGGGAGCCTCGGCAATGGCAGGCACCCCTCCCCCAGCCTGGCTGCCGCCTTGCAGTTTGATCTCAGACTGCTGTGCTAGCAATCAGTGAGACTCTGTGGGCATAGGACCCTCCGAGACAGGTGTGGGATATAATCTCTTGGTGTGCCGTTTTTTACACCCATTGGAAAAGCACTATATTAAGGTGGTAGTGTCCTGATTTTCCAGTTGCCATCTGTCACACCTTTCTTTGACTAGGAAAGGGAACTCCCTGATCCCTTGCACTTCTCAAGAGAGGCAATGCCTCACCCTGCTTCGGCTGGTGCACGGTGCACTGCACCCACTGTCCTGCACCCACTGTCTGGCACTCCCTAGTAAGATGAACCCTGTACCTCAGATGGAAATGCAGAAATCACCCATCTTCTGCATCACTCACGCTGGGAGCTGTAGGCCAGAGCTGTTCCTATTCAGCCATCTACTAATCCTGTTTTTACATATCGATATTTTCTTTATTGTTTCTTACTTTTGGGTTTTTGTTTTCTGTTTTTGTCTGACAGTACTTATTTAAAGAACCAGTATCTGAGCTCTGAAAACATTCCTCAGGGTGGCTTATTTTGCTGTTATTAGTAACACTTCTGCTTATAGTATAAAATACTTTTAGTAAGTTTTTGATGTCAAGAAGCTTACTGTACATCTTCTTAATATGGTATCTTCATTTTTCTCCCTATTTCTCATTTTACTTCCATTTGTATGTCTTTCACTGAATTTCATTGTTCTCCTCAAACTCAGTGAGGCTCACTGCTATTCAGATTGTGATTTCTGTATCTGACATTTCACAGAATTCAGATTGAATAAGAACCATAGGTGGGGAGCTAGTGTGCTCATTTAAAAATAAGAAGCCACTTTGGCTTCTTAAAAATCCTGAGTTTTGTGTTGGCTATTTTTAGCAAATTCAAATCAAAACCACAAAGTGATACCACTTCATACTAGTAAGAATGAATATTATTTTAAAAATAGAATCTAAGGAGTCCTCGGTGGGGCAGTCAGCAAGGGGAAAATGTTTGACCCTATATATATAATGTAAATTTATTCAGCCCCTGTAAAAAATAGTCTGGAGATATGTGGAAGTTGTTTAAACAGAGCTATCATGTAATCTAGCAATCTCATTGTTTGGTGTATGTCAAAAAATAAATGGTGGTACCAAAAAGATGCATGAATTTCTTTCTTTCTCCCTGTGGTATTTGCAATAGCAAATGCTTGCAGTCAACCCAGTTGTCCCTCAAATATATATTGGTAAAAAATTAAAATGAAAATAGTCATGCAAGATCATAAAATACTAAACAGCTACCAAAACTAAAATCATGTCTTCTGTAGCACAGGGATGAAGATGATGAATGTAACACTAATTAAATTAATTCAGGAAAATTAAATACTGTCAATTCTCACACAGAGATGAAAGCTAAGCAGTGAGTACACATGAGTGTAAATAAAAGAACCATAGCCTGTGGACTACGTGAGGGTGGAGGGACAACAGATGGATTACAGAGCTATGTATTAAGTAATATGCTTACCACCTGAATGATAAAATTTGCACTGCAAACTTCAGCATCAGAAGATATCACCAAGTAATAAATCTGCGTATGCATACATTCTGTTGTAAAATATTTGACAGCTTAGTATCTGTTAAATAAGCCATTTTCTACTTATAGAAAGAAGGTAGGCCATAAGTGGTGGCTCATGGCTGTAATCCTAGCACTTTGGAAGGCTGAGACAGATAGATCACTTGAGGTCAGAAGTTTGAGAGCAGCCTGACCAACATAAAAATACAAAAAAAAAACCCCAAAACAGCAACAACAACAAAAACAATTAGCCAGGCATGGTGGCACGCACCGGTGGTCCCAGCTACTTTGGAGAATCGCTTGAACCAGGGAGGTGAAGGTTGTAGTGAACAAAGATTGGACCACTGTACTCTAGCATGGGTGATGGAGCAAGACACTGTCTCAAAACAAATATATATATAAACACATATCATGTATTACATACATAATACCATATAATACAATATATTATAAGCTATTTGAATCCCTTAAATTTTTTATTTCATATTCTTCCCAGAATTTGAACAATATAGTTTCCAGGAAATTCATGCCCTTTAACCTATCTTTTTTTTAGATTACTCTCACAATTGGCATATCTGCACAAAGGATAGTGTCTTTAATAAGATGTTTTTACTTCCTGTTTCACTGTTTTTTGTTGTTATTCTTTTAATTGACTAAATTCATAAAATCTGCATCAGTGACGCCTAATTCTTCTACATGATCAGTTATGCTATGGCAATTTTGTATTGACATTTTCAATTCTGTGAGTATATTACACAGCTGTAGGTGTTCTGCTTTGTAATTTTTTTTACAGTAAACTTTTTTTACTGTATACTTTTTTACAGTAAACTTTGAATTGTGCTCATGCATTTTTTCTTCAACTTTTTCAGTTTCCTTTCTTGATGTTACTTGCATGCATATACTATTTTCACAACAATTATTGTTATTTATATTTCAGGCAATTCATAGATCTCTATTTTTTATATTTGTTTGAAGACTTGTTAAATTCTCTGGCTCATGTCAAAATGGTTGTGATTAGCAAATCTTGAGTTGTTTGTGTATTTGGAGAAGCAAAACCACACTTTAAGTTAGGATTAAAATGTTCTTCTGCTAAGCCTCTGTAATATTTTCTGGGGAATCAAAAGTGAGTATGCTTGACCAAGGTCTAGTAACTACTATACTACTGCTATTTTTATTTAATTAATTAATCCTCATATTCTAGCTAAGAGACACACCCATCAGAATATCCGAACACTGTTGCCAAACTCTTATCATTACCATATCCTCAAATGTCTTCACATATTATATGGTGCTATATATTTAATACATTATATGTGTGTATATAATGTACATAATACATAATACAAAATAATATTGTATTACATATATTATGTATATAATACATACTGTATTATATAATACAATATGTGTACCAATATTATATGGTATATATACATTATATACCATATATTATATATGTATTATATATGTGTATACAATATATGACTTATATAATACATATAATATTGAATTATGTTATATTATATACATATCTATGTATATGTGGATATAAAATGTGTATATTGTATGTAATATAATACCTGCATATTATAAACATGTATATAATACATATTATGCATGTCAATTTATATTACATATTACATATTATAAGTTATGATATAAATTTTATCTTATAATAAATTTATAATAAATAAATGTGTATATCATACATTATATACACATATATAATGTATTAAATATATAGCACCAAATATGTGGAGACATTTGAGGATATGGTAATTATAAGAGTTTGGCAACAGTGTTCTGATATTCTGATGGTGTGTCTCTTAGCTAGAATCTGAGGATTAATTAATTAAATAAAAATGGCAGTAGTATAGTAGTATAAATATAAATTTATATTTATATTTAAATAATATTTAAATATGATTATTTAAATATAAATATATATTATATATATGGCACCTCTACTAGTGCCTTAAATTTTTACTGTAACATCCAGAAAGGTACAGTATCTATGCAGATTTTCTGTGTCTTATATCTCTTCCCTAAGAGTTAGAGGACTCATTACGGGATATTAGTGTGTTAAAAGATACCTTATTGGATGTTTTGAGTCACTCGTGTTAAGTCAGAAATAGTTCCATTAAGTAATTTTACTTAGAGTCAAATTAAGGTCTCTGCCACTTGGCATATTTTACATTTTTTTTTCAGGGACTGGACACTGCTCAGTGAAAATTGTGTAGTGATGTGATGTTAGGAAACTACAGATACCTGTGGCGTAACTTGATGATGAAACTTTCTTTCAGAATTCCTAGTAAACCTGTGGATTTTGCTTCTGCTCTTAGTAGGTCTTTTGGGAGCTTCAGCTTTACATGAATAAATTTTAGTTTTTATTTTCAAAATAAGTAGGAGATGGCTAGTGTAAAAAAAAATCAAGATGTTTCATCTTGATAGAAATCTCTTTTACTGGGCTGATTTGTATATCTTTCACTCTAGATTAATAGGAACTCTAAAAATTATGCTGTACAAAATATTGGTACTCACTTCCTAAAGTTCATTTTTTATGAATTCTTTTTGATTTAGTAGTATAGGTAGTGGTAAAAGAATCCACAAATTAAAAATACTTTTTAAATAAAGAAACTGTCAGAAAACAAGATTTTGGAATAGAGTTTTCTATAATTACTGTGTTTTACACTAAGCACAGTACAAAATTGGTAACTAGAAAATTTTCATGAAGTGTCTTCTGAATTTATTCTAATAACACTCTGTTTCTAATGAGTTCACCATGTTAGATTTGACATCAAACCGAGAACACCTAGTATTTGTCTTGTGTCTGGCTTATTTAACTGAGCACGTTGTTTTCTAAGTCCATTGATGTTGTTGTAAATGGCTAGATATTCATCTTTTTATGGCTACATAATATTCTACTGTGCATATATAACATTTTATTTGTCATTCTTCTGTCAACAGATATTCAGGGTTTTTTTGTCTCCCTTGGCTGTTATAAATAATGCTGCAAAGAACACGAGGATGCAGATATTTTTAATCACGGTCCTTATTTTCTTTTTGGTTATGTGTCCAGAATCTGGATTGCTGGATTATATGATAGATTTATTTATACTTTACTTTTGAAAGAAGATCCATATTGGTTTTTGTGGTGACTCTACAAAGTTACATTTAACAAAGAGTGCACAGGTTTTCTTTTCTCCACACCCTCACCAATGCTTATTAAGTCTCTTCTTTTTGTTACTAAGCATCCTAACATATATGTGGTTGGTACCTCATCTTGCATTTGATTTACATTTGCCTGATGATTTGTAATTTTTATCAGTTTTGTATGTACTGCTTTGTTATTTGTGTGACTTCTTTGGATAAAACATCTATTCAGCCTGCTGTCTGTTTTCCAACTGAGTTATTATTGTCGTTAGTATTTTTTGCTTTGAATTGCATGCTTTATAAGTATGCATGTATAATTTATATATATGATATTAACATACAAAATATATGGTTTGCAAATGTTTCTTTTCTGCAGGTTTTTAAAAATATTTTGTTTTTTTCTTTGGTGTGAAGACACTTTTTCATTTGATGCAGTCCCACTTGTTTATATTTGCTTGTGTTGCTGTGCTTTTGTTGTCATACCTAAAAAAAATTTGCAAAGACCAACACCAAGAAAGTTTTGTCATGTATTTTGTTCTGATGAATTTTGAAATTTTATGTGTTACATCTGTCTTTATTTCATTTTAAGTTAATTTGTAGTATACCATAAGAAAATGGTCAAATTCATTTATTCTGTTTATGAATAGTTAGTTTTCCAAGGGTGTTAATTTCCACATTGTGTAGTTTTGGTGCCTTTATCAAAAATTAGTTGACTTTGTATGTATAGGTTTTATTCTGGGATGTTTATACAGTTCCACTAGTTTTGTGTGGGTTGTCTGGTCATATCGTATGATTTTCCTTAACAAAGCCTTTAAGTCACGTTTGAGATCAGGAACCATAGTGACCCCAGCTTGATTCCTTCTTAAGTCTGCTTAGACTATCTGGAGATGTTTGTGCTTCCATTCAAATCTATGAAATTGAAATACTTTTACTGGACTTTTGATTGGGATAACATTTAATCTGTAGATTTCTGTGGGCAATGTGGTGTTTATACTACTAAATACCTTAATTTATAAACATTGAATGTACTATTATTTATTTACATCTACTTCAAATTCTATATGTATCTGAATGCACAGATGTTTAATATTCTTCATTATATTTATTCCAAGGTTTTTTTATTTTTACAATATTGTAAACTGAATTTGTTTTTTCTTTCCCTTTTTAGACAGTTTATTGTTAGCATGCAGAAACACAACTATTTGTGTATTTATTTTGATTTTTACTATTTTACTGAATGTACTTATTAGTTCTAACAGTCTTTTTTTGGTGTATTCTTGGATCTTAAATATAAGATTGTGCCATCTACAAATAGTGACATTTGAATGTGTAATTTAATTACTAATTTGGATGGCTCTTTAATTTTTTTTCCTAATTGTTCTGATACAGACTTTGAGTAACATGTTGAGATGAAAACATTGCTAGTACGCACAATGTAGTCTTGATCTGGTGTCTGTGCATTTAAAAATGGTAACACCTCTTCCAGTATTTACAAATTTGTAAAGTGGAGATCTCTCATTGAGTGATAAGGCTGATGTGATTGCCTCTTGGATTGCAGAGAAATGGAGTTGCCTGTTCGTCACAAGTCTGCTGCTTGGTCGGCCTCTTGTGGTCCTGATACTAGGGGATTATGTAGTCATGGATTCTGTATGACCCTGAGATTGCAGATCCTTGAGTGCTTTTATCTATACGGCAGGCACTAGAATAGCATCATGCATTTGGGTCCATATACAGTGAATCTAATATCATCTGTGTAAATAGATTTCGTTCCCACTGAGTCCCTGAGATGGTTTTACACAGGTCGCTATATGGGTCCCTGAGTGTGTCAGACTGTTAATGAACTGTGATTGTGAAGGCTGGAACTCAGTCACAGGACTGCTTTGAGAACCACAGTGCTGCCCAAGATCTGCAGGCCTGCTACAGAGCTATGGCTGGCTGATTCTCCCTGCAGGTCTTTCAATGGGAAAAATCATTTCTGGACCATTGCTGAGAGGAGTTGAGGTAATTCATGTAAGTGGAATCATACAGTACATGTCATTTTGTCACTGTCATTTCACTTAATATAATGTCTTCAGCATTTTCTATTGTAAAATGTGACAATATATTCTTAATGGAGCCTGGAGAACATTTTAGTGTAGTACGTATAAGTCACATTTTTAAAATTGAGTTTTCTACTGAGAAGAATTTTTGTATCGTCCAACTATTGCTTTTGTAAATATTGTTGCAATTAACATAAGTGTACTGATATCCCTTCCAGGTCCTGCTTTGCACAGTTTGAATAGATGCCTGTAAGTAGAGTTGCTGAATTATGTGATAAATTTGTTTTAATTTTTGAGGAATTTCCACACTATCTTTTGTAGCAGAGACTGCCTCATCATTTTTGTCCTCCACCAGCACACAAGGATTTCAATGTTTTTTACATCCTTAACATTATTTTTTGATTTCTTGATAGTGGCCATTTGGATGAGTATAATATGGTATGTTATTTTGGTTTTTTTTTCATTTTTTTCTAAAAAGTGGTCATTTTTCAAATTAATGTTGACTATATGTTATTTTTGAAGAAATCTCTGCTCATTTTTTTGTCCATTTCTTTAAACATTGTTGTTCACTTGTTGTTGTTAAACTTTTTGCAGTTATTTACATATCCTAGATATTATCTCCTGTCAAACATATGGTTTTAAAATACTTTGTCCAATTCTTTGATGTAATTTTTATACCACTAAATGTTTCTTATGACAGGCACAAGTTTAAATTAATGTAGTACCATTTTAGTGTTCTCTTTGTTGCATATGAAGTTGATATCAAATCCAGAAAACATTGCCAAGATCTATATTATAACTTGTACCATATATTTTCTTTGAAAATTTGTAGAGTTTTAGTTGTTACATTTCACTGTGTAATCTATTAAAAACAGTTTTTCATATGTTTTGGAGACAAAGTCTAAACTCAAAATTTCCTAAGTAGAATATTGTTTCCCAACTTAATACACTGAAGAGAATTTCTTTTTCTTATTGTGTGATTACAGCAGCTCTGTGGAACATCATTTGATCATACACACAAGGGTTTATTTTTCTGGTTCTCTGTTCTGTTTCATCATCTACTTTGCTGGTCTTTCTGTCAGTACTGCATTGTTATATTATTTCTATAGCCTACTAATCTGTTCTGAAATAGGAAGCGTGGGGCTTCTAATTTTATTTTCTTTGGCTGTTTGGGCTACTCATAGTCCTTTGAGATTCTATATAAATTTAAAACTTGTTAAAATACTTCTGTAAATAACTCTCAGATTTTCATAGGGATTACATTGCATTTAAAAGACACCATGGATTGTATTTACATCTAAATAATATTAAATCTACTTACTCTTATTGAAGAGTGTGTTCAAGAGTTTAAGTTTCACATATGTATTAATTTGTCAGTATTGCTTTTGCTATTTTTACTAGTTTAATTTCATATGACCAGCGAAGACACATTGCATGATTTAGTCTTATTAAAAATAATTAGTATTTTTTAGTGTTATAACAGATTGTCCATGAAACCACAACTATTTATTTTCTCTTCTCTATGCACCTGACAGAGTCCAATCCACTTTCTTTTTCCAAAACTTTATTTCAGGTATCTTACATAAATGGAACCATATATAGTATTTATCACTTTCTGCCTATCTTTTCACATAGCACAATGACCTCAATACATATTTTTATTGTGAATATAACAAAAATTATTGCTCTCTAAAAGTTGAGTAATATTTAATTATTCATATATCTATATTTCTCAATATATTTTTCAAGAAAAGCTGGGTTCTTTCCACTTATTGATTTATGTGAATAATGCTACAATGAATACAGATGTGTAAATAACTTTATTTTACCCTATATACAAGAATTTATTTGCTGTATTATGTTTCATTGATGTATTTACCTGTCTTTATTTTAGTACCAAAGTATGTTGATTACTATAGCCTTATAATATGTTTTTAGACCAGGAATTATGATGCCTCCAATGATGTTTCCCTTTTTGACAATGGTTGAGTTCTGGTCTCTTCAGATTTAATAGAGTTTACATAATTGCTATTTATATTAATGCAAAAAGTGAATACCTGTTATTTAAAGTATACCACCCTTTCCTTAAGCACTCTGTCAGTGGAGACAAAAACCAATATTTGAGCATTTATCTAAAAACCAGAAATGTACATACACATACCACTTTTCTTTTTCTCTCCCTTGGAAGCAACATAGAGTTGGAAGTTTCTCTTAATTTCACCATGCTGTACTTGGAGGAGGTAAGGCTGTGTTAGGTATATGAGACTAACTTTTCTTTCTAAATGAAACATTTTGTTGTTTTATACCCTTTTGGTCTTGCAAATATTTATCTGCTTTTTAGAGTTTCTACAAAGACCATTAGATCAGTATAGAGTTAAGTTGATATACCTAAGATAAAATGAGAGCCACTTATTATATTTGTAAAGTATATTCAACTAAATCTGGTATGTGGGATTTATTTTTATTTTTATTACTTTTGGTTTTGTGTAATTTGTACAACCAAAGTCTTTCACCAAAGCTAGCCATAGAAGGTTAATTTCAAAAAGTAATACTGGGAAAATATGCAAGCTGTGGCCTCAAAAATTTACATTGTAAAAAACTGGGAAAGATTAGGTGAAGATGAAGAGAAGAAATAATACCATAATACATATTATCAATTTGTCCCAATTCTCATAACAAAAATTTAAGTGCCAAAGGATATCAGGAACACAGAATATTTTAGAAAAAAAACTCAATTTATTTTGGCTACTTTTAAAGAACCACGTGTTTCTATAAACATGTATCAACATCATTTTTGAAATACACCTATCATAATAAAATTAGCAAAAAAGGAAACCTTTATGGCTCAAACATTGATAAACACCAAAGTACTAATTTTCCAAAGAATTATTACAATTGCAATAATTCATAAAATTATTTTGTTAGATCTCAAAACTTATTATCTATCAGTGTATTCATCTTTAAGAGAAGCCTTAAAATAGTAATGAGTGATAAAAATTTTAACGGTCTTCAGAACATCTAAATTTCAAATAATTCATGTTAGAACATACACAGATGTAATAAATGCAGGAAAGCCTCTATTCACTTATTACTCAATAATTGAACCTTTAGTCAAATTATTATTAGAGAAAAATTCAAATGTAAAAAAAATTTGGCAATTATTTTAAAAAGCACTTAAACCCTACACAGCTTTACATCTCTTAATATTAGGCAGAAATTCAAATGCTAAAAAAATTGGCAAATCTTTTAACTGGCACTCAATCCTTAAACAACATCAAAAAATCCATATAGGTGAGAAATTACAAATGTAAAAAATGTTGCAGGTCTTTATCCAGTATGCTCACCTTACATGATGTCAGAGAATCTGTACTGGTAAGAAATGCTGCAAATTTACAGAACGTGGCAAAGCCTTTAACTGTTTCTTAAACCTTATATATAAGAGAATTTATGCTGGAAAGAAGCTCTACAAATGTAAAAAAGTATAGTAAAGCCTTCAACAACTTTTAAAATTCTAGTGTACATCAGAAAATTTGTAATGGAGAGAAACCACCCAAATGTAAAAATTGTGTCAAATATGCTAGCAGTATGCACACCTTACAGAACCTCAGAGAATGCATAGTACACCTTACACAGTATCAGAGAATGTATACAGGAGGAAAGCCCTATAAATGTGTATAAAGTTGCATAGCTTTTAACACACGTTCAAATTCTACTCAGAATCAGATAATTTATTTTAAAAAGAAATACAACAAATGTAATGAATGTGACATACCTTTCATTCATTTCTTTCTTTCTTTCTTTCTTTCCTTCTTATTTTTACTTTTGATTTTGAGACACATGTGCAGGGTGTGCCAGTTTGCTTCATAGGTAAATATGTGCCATGGTGGTTTGCTGTGTGTATCATCTGATCACATCATAGGTATTAGTGCTCAAACATTGTGCTACATAAGATAATGTATACTAAATTTAAACCCTGCACATATAAAGAATATGTCTCAGTCATTAACTTGTGCTTACACATTACTCAACAGTAGCATATCAATACTAAATAGAAATGCTATATCTGTAATAACTTTGAAAAGACCTCTGTTTCAAATCTACCTCTTATTGAGGACCATAGTATTTCTATTGAAAAAAATATATATGCAAATATAAAATAGGTAGTGAAGCCTTTAAGTGTTGCTCAAGTTTTACTTAAATAATTCCTATAGAAATAAACCATTATAAATGTGATAAAAATCAAGCCTACATATAAATTACATGAATCAAGCTAGAAATAAGACACTAGATATTACTCTAAATAACAACGTTTATTTTAAAGAATAGTTCAAAGTCCAAGTATTAGATAATTTGTTACAAAGCAGCAGAGATTGATGGATCAATAAAATATTCACATTCAATGTATATTCATTTTGTAGTGACATTATTTGAAATGATTTGTGTGAATATTATTGATATAATTAAAGTTATATTACTGAATAATACTTTATTTCTACTGTTTATGTAAAGCATGCAATTGATTGTTTATGTTAATCTCATCTATATTAGGTGAGCATCATTCCCATCATCTCTCCAATAGAATATTGAAGGCACTGGCCTGAACAATGTATCATGACAATCCAAATGGTAGTGCTGTTTTGCTTTATTTACAGAAGTGTTGTAAGTCATGCATAAATTAGGTGTTCAGAGAATCATTCTTCTGAATTAAAATAGGACACCAAAACAGCTTGACATTTAGAAATAAATATTTTTACCAACTGATCATTAAGAAAAATGTCTGGCCAGTCCATTAACATTCTGATTCATCTTCATATTGGTATAGAAACAATGAACAAATCTACACAAATATTAGATGAATATTCAGATAACTTCCCTCTCATAGGACATAGATTCATTGTATGTTTAGTATTGTAAGTACATAGCCTCAGCTTAAAAAAAAAGGCATATTTTTATATAGATCATGGTGGCAGTGGAACAAAAATACTTCTTTAGTGTTTGTAGGTCATTGAGAATAGAGTGGATTTTGAAATGCTTTACTTAGTGTAGCTTACATTTGATTTGATTAGAACTTAATTTGTTTTAATAAATAAAACTGATATTTTTAATTTATCAGCATGGCTTAATATTGAATGCTGTGTTATTCTATCAAAATTTTAACCGAATCCACCTTGCTCTAGGTTCTCATGCCATATAGTAATGACATATGATTGAGTAATATAGTCCAATGCTATGTTTATATTGTTTTTATTCTAAATGATGAGAAACCCAAAAGAATTTAGAGGACTTGGCCTGGGGCTAATAAGTGGCTGATGTGATGATTCATAGAGGCTGATTATCTTGGCCCAAGACCTATCAAGAGGTGAAGTGACAGCTTGTCCCAGGACCTTGGCCTAGGACCAGTTAGGGGCTTAAATGATGATTCATAGAGGCTGGACTCACAGTTTTAAAAAAGGGAAGAAATGTTTCCACCAGAACCCACCAGAGCTCACTGTACCCATGCCCACAAAAGAAAAAGCTTTTCTTCTGGGAGCTGACTGAGTGTACAAAGGACAAAGGTATTTCTATGACAGGCCTTCCTCTTTTATGTGTGTGAGCCAAAGGTTTCTGCAAAGTTTTATCTAAATAGGCCAGAGGTTTTTCTACCTGCACAGTCACAGGCATGTCTCCAGACACAACTCTTTGTGCCAGAAGTTCCCTTATTGGTGCCTGTAGCTTGTACTTTTTTTTCCAGGCTGATTTTTATTATGTGAGAATGAGGCACTGACCCATGGGTCAGAGGCTTTCTGGGCAAGCTAGCTTACTCTTTTGGGTCGCCCCTTAGAAGTGGAGACCCTAACTGCTTTTAGGGAGATCGAGCATTGATCTTTCTGCCTACTTCCTGATGAAGAAGGGGGTTGAGTAAAAAACAGCTGCTAAGATTCTTACTTAGGTTGGTTTAAGTGTCCTCAGAAGAAAGGTTCACTTATGCCATGGTTCTAGTTGCATTACCATTTAGATTTGGATAGTCTCTATTTGAAAAGAAACAATTTAAATACTTAGAGGGCATGTATTAAAATAAGAAAATGGGGATAAGGACAGCCTAAGAATTCTGAGGCTGCTGACATGCCTTGATAACTGGTGCCTACAGATATGCTTGTTAACATTTGAGTGCATGGGGCTTTGCTTTGGTTCCCTTCCTTGGTCTCAATCTTCCAAACAGAAAACTCTTGGTTATGGGCACCCTGTTTACTCCCATTACCTGGCAAGACATATAGGATAATTGCCCTAGTATTGGAGTTCTTATCCCATATTTTTACATTGCCCATTCCTTTCTGTCAACTCTGAGCTACAGCCAGAAATTGCTGGTTGGCTCACTGAAATAACCATGGTTAATCTAAAATGTAGGCAAACACTTAACAACAACTGAGACTAAAAGTCAATGACAGCTGTATGATAAGTTTTGAAACATAATCTCTCTCTTTCCAGTCCTATTTAAAAAAAAAAGAAAAACATAATAGCACTGAGCTTTTGTGAAATAGACTTTAGTCTTATACTTGGATTAATTATTTGCATAAAGTGCAGCAAGAACAATCACCTCCACACAGGCCTTTTTGATTGGCTTTGATGGAATTCTGTTTCATAAGAAATCTCAGATTGGACTTTGAAAAGCCAAGCCCAGCCATAGGTTTGTATCTTCAAATACCTGTGAGTTGAGTAAACTCTCCTCTTCTTTAGGTTTCAAGAGAATAGGTTTCCTGAGCCTACTAGAAAGTGACATTCTATGCTCACTGCAGGCCAGGAACTCTGTAAGGGGACTGTTTAGACAAGGTATGAGGCCAGTTTTTCCAGGAGGCTTTTATATTCTCTGCAACTTAAGCTTGATTCCTTAAAGAGAAACACATCCTTCCAGACAAAGCATTGGTAAAACAACCAGTTTTTTTTTTTTTCAATTGCATCGTGTTGTAAAAGAAAATGGATTCTTGTTGCACTGATGCAAACAACCATATTGTTTTAATTTAATAATATTCATAACTACTTTTCAAATTCTAGAGTAACTAGGCAGAGAAACAAACATGTCTCAATTTTTGTTCATATTTTTAAGACTTGCTCAAGTGTTAAAAGCTTTTAAGAAAGTTTACTTGATTGCTGAAAAATAAAATGAGGATCAGCAATATTTCAAGCAGAAGTCAAAAATCTTGCTTCAGTTTTGTACTTGTTTAGCTCATTCCATTAATGCTTGTTCTACTTCATATTCGTAAACATTTTAGCTTTTTATGAGTTCTGCATATTTTCTCTTATCAGAAACCTGCATTTGAGAGAACCTGTTAAATTTCCATGGCTGATTATAAACCATCTTTGGAAGGAAATTAAAATAAGACAACAGAGACCAGGCATGGTGGCTCACACCTGTAATCCCAGCACTTTGGGAGGCTATGGGGGGCAGATCATGAGGTCAGGAGATTGAGACTATCCTGGCTAACACGGTGAAACCCCGTCTCTGCTAAAAATACAAAAGAATTATCTGGGCATGGTGGTGGGTGCCTGTAGTCCTAGCTACTTGGGAGGATGAGTCAGGAGAATGGCATGAACGCTGGAGGCGGAACTTTCAGTGAGCCGAGATCACGCCACTCCACTCTAGCCTGGATGACACAACAAAACTCCATCTCAAATAAATAAATAAATAAATAAATAAATAAATAAATAAAGTAAGTAAGACAGACAACAACTGTGTGTAAGTGACAAAATGTCCAGGGTTGTTGAAGCCAGAAACATTATGAAAAAAGAAATTTGATTATTTCTGCAATTTATAATAATCCAACTTAATAACCTTAATTGTGATTGACAACAAACATTCAGGAAATAAAACCTAAGACATCCCAGACTTTTTGAAACACAGGGGACTTCTGTAGCAACCAAAAGCCAGCGGGCAGGAAATACAAACTTGACACTGAAGATTTATGTTGGAAAACCTGTAAAAGGTGTTAGAAATGTAAAACGCTTAATATTATAAAATAGAATTTCAAATTACTATGAGTTGTTGGCTTTGCCAAAATAAGTGAAAAAAAATTGAAAACACAAAAACATTTTGTATTCATCTGTTTTCATGCTGCTGACAAAACATACACAAGACTGGGCAGTTTACAAAACAAAAGATTAGAGGACTCAACAGTTCCACATAGCTGGGGAAGCCTCAAAAATCACGGTGGAAGTCAAGGCACATCTCACATGGAAACACATAACAGAAGAGAGTTCGTGCAGGGAAACTCCCACTTACAGAACCATCAAGACTCACTCCCATCATTCAATTACCTCCCACAGGATTTCTCCCACAACTAGTGGGAGTTCAAAATGAAATTTTGGTGGGAACAGAGCCAAATCATGTTATTCCGCCTTTGGCCAGTCCCAAATCTCTTGTCCTCATATTTCAAAACTAGTCATGCCTTCAGAAAAGTCCCCTAAAGTATTAACTCATTTCAACATTAACTTAAATGTCTACAGTCCAAAGTCTCCACTAGACAAGCCAACTCGCTTATACTTGTGATTCTATAAAATTAAAAGCAAGTTTGTTGCTTCCTAGATGTAATGGGGTAACAGGAATTGGGTAAACACAGCTATTCTAAATAGGATAAATTAGCCAAAACAAAGGGGCTACAGGCCTCAGGCAAGTCCAAAATCCAGTGGGGTAGTAAAATCTTAAAGCTTCAAACTAATCTCTTTGACTACATGTCTCATATCCAAGTCATGCTGATGCAAGAGGTGGGCTACCATGGCTTTGGGCAGCTGCACCCCTGTGGCACTGCAGAATATAGCCTCCCCCTGGCTGCTTTCATGAACTGGTATTTAGAGTCTGTGACTTTTCTAGGTGCACAAAGCAAGCTGTTGGTGAATGTACCATTCTGGGGCCTGGAGAATGGTGGCCCTCTTCTCACAGCTCCACGAGGTAGTGCCTCAGTAGGGACTATTTCTCAGGGATCCCTCCCCATATTTTCCTTCCATAACTGCGGTTGCAGAGGTTTTCCATGAGCACCACATCCCTGAAGCAAACTTCTGCCTAAACATGCTGGCATTTCCATATATCCTCTGAAATGTAGACTGAGGTTCCCAAATCTCAATTCTTTACTTCTGTGCTCTTGTGGGCTCAACACCACATGGAAGCTGTCAAGGATTGAGGCTTTCAATATCTGAAGCCACAGCTCAAGCTGTATCTTGGCCTCTTTTAGTCACAGCTGGAGTGGCTGGGATGCAGGACACCAAGTTCCTAGACTGCACACAGCAGAGGGACCCTGGGCCTCACACATGAAACCATTTTTTCCTGTTAGGTCTTTGAGTTTGTGATAGGAACAGCTGCCACAGTGGTCTCTGACATGGCCTGGAGACATTTACCTCATTGTGTTGGGGATTAACATTTGGCTCCTTACAACTTTCACTAAAAATACATTTTATTTTTGTGTAGTTTGCATTTAAATCTATTTTCAGTGCTTTTTATTACATATTATATTAGAAATTCATAGAAATTTTTTTCTTTTTTTATTATACTTTAAGTTCTAGGGTACGTGTGCACAACGTGCAGGTTTAACTAGGTATACGTGTGCCATGTTGGTTTGCTGCACCCTCAACTCGTCATTTACACTATGTATTTCTCTTAATGCTATCCCTCCCCCAACTTCCCACCCCCTGACAGGACCCAATGTGTGACGTTCCCCACCCTGTGTTCATGTGTTCTCATTGTTCGATTCCCCCTTATGAGTGAGAACATGCGCTGTTTCGTTTTCTGTCCTTATAATAGTTTGCAGAGAATTGTGGCTTCCAGCTTTGCCCATGTCCCTGCAAAGGACATGAGTTCATCCTTTTTTATGGCTGCATAGTATTCCATGATGCATATGTGCCACATTTTCTTAATCCAGTCTATGATTGATGGACATTTGGGTTGGTTCCAAGTCTTTGCTATTGTGAATAGTGCTGCAGTAGACATACGTATGCATGTGTCTTTATAGCAGCATGATTTTTAATCCTTTGGGTATATACCCAGTAATGAGATCTCTGGGTCAAATGGTATTTCTAGTTCTAGATCCTTGAGTAATTGCCATACTGTCTTCCACATGGTTGAACTAATTTACATTCCCACTAACAGTGTAAAAGCATTCCAATTACTCTACATCCTCTCCAGCATCTGTTGTTTCCCGACTTTTTAATGAGCACCATTTTAACTCGAATTAAAAACCTAGTAAGTTGTTTTTATTATGTGCTAGGTGCAGATACAGTCTTACTTCTTTCAGCATAGTTAGGATTGTGCTTACTTTTATATGTCCTCCAATGTTACTGGTAGTGAACGAGGCAAGGTGACAGTTTTTAAAAGTCAAAGAAGTAGTTTGAAATCTTAAAACTTTTAGCAACATAGCATCTGTCCTACATAATTTACACAATCTATTTAAATCTTGCAGACATTTGCATTTTAACAATAATCTTCAAAGGTGTTTTTACTTTACAAAAATTAAAGTCATATGGACTGAAAAGTACCACACCCTTTATCTTTCCTTTAAAATTATTTGATTTGAGCCCATATACTTTTTTAATTAACTAGAGCTCTTTTTAAATAGATATCACACACATAACACCTATATAACCACAGAGACCAGTAGAAGATTTTGTAGTTATACAATCTCTAGTTGGTCAGTTTCCCAACTGGATTATTGGCCTCCATGTGAAGTCCTTTAAGAACTGGGTGAGGAATAAAGTTACCAAGGTCTAGTAAACAAGCATAGCCCGAAGACAAAGAGATTTTGAGAGATAATTATTCATATGTAACTTCAGTCGTTTAAGAAGGCAAACAAGATTTGTGCTGCCTTTTCTGTTTTCTCAGGGAGCCACAGGCCACCAGAAGTGATCCCAGGGCCTTTATTCCAGGCATCAAGAGTGGCAAGATAAAGTGGAGGAAAGTAATTCTATCACCTGAGGAAAAATCCTTTTCCATAAAACAAGACCTATGAAGACAGAAAAATAAAGACCTTTTGAATATACCTATATATTAGATATCCACTTTTAGTTAAGCTGAATGCTATTTAAGAAAATCATTTTTCATTAATTGAACCTTACAGAGAATATAAACAGTGATTCTGATAATTTTATTTTCTGGTTTGCATCACTACCTGTTCAGAATCATGTTAAGTTTCTCCAGTTTCCTCTGGAAAAAAAGTGTTTGGGTTCAGGCAAGGGTAGGTTTTCAATTAGACTGAAGATACCTCTAATAACAAAGCTTGATATTTGAGGAGGGATTGCTAGCCAGAGGCTTCCCTTAAAGGACAGCAGTACTGCTATACTGGGTGGGATGCAAACAGTTAAGTTATTTTATGTGGTTAACACCATAGCCTCTGGCACCAGCAAAGCCACTGCTGTAATTTCTCAGAGGCAAGTTGCCCATACTTTAGCCATCAAGTCAACTTCCTCACTTAGATAACCCACTAGTTGAGCTATAACTCAAGGCTTAGTTAAAAATCCCTGGGCTATTCTTTTTTTTTCTGATACGTAGATATTAAATACATTTTCTGTCAGAAGATTGAAGGTTGACGCTTTAAGTAAGGTTTGCTTTAGCTAGCTAAAGGCTTTGAGTTTGGGGTTCATAAATGAATTTAGGGAGATAGTTTTAGCTGCTTGAGTTTATTTTATGAAGTAGTGTAAAAGATGAACTATTTTATTGTATTCCAGTACCCAAAATCTTCAAAATAAAATAATGCCTAAGAATCCTTCTAAAAGTTAAGAAAAATGAGCTCAATTGTTTCCTCCCCTGGTGCTCTGGTTCCTTCTGGTAAGACCAGATGCAGATACTTCACTGCAGCCTAACAGAGCTTAGGTTTAGATTTGGAGACACTAAATTCCCTTCCAACTAAGAAATTAAGAAGAGCTTTAGTGTCTTCTTGAGAAATCCATCACGATCATGCCTTGGAAAAACTGAAAGGCTGGATTAGGAAAAAAAAAGAGAGACAAGGTCTAATGTTTAGAAGAGTGTTTACTTTGCACCCTTTTACATGCAGAATCACTTGGGACTCCTGGATATTGATGGGTGTTAGAGTCCTTGGAGCCTGCCTATCAAGCTATGTGATACAATCGTCCTGCTGGACCATCAGAAAGACTGGCTTTGAACCTGGTGATTGACATTTCCTGGGACAGTTGTACTTCCAGTAGTCTTAACAGATGGGACAAGGCTGGGGTGGCTTCTTATTGCTGTTCTGGATATCCCATTTATAGTGCCCCCACTTGCCACACCAGTAACAATTAGCAGTTGCATGTTGATGATTCCAGGTCTCATTAACACGTGAAGTGGCAACTAGTGCTTTCTTTTTTCTCTTGTGCCTCCCCTTTTCTTCCTAGGTCTCCTTCTCCTGGTACATGTTGTAAAATATTGATGAGGCTAGACCTAGGAGGTTTTCTAGGTGCTATCTGGGCTCACACTCTACTTTTGTAATTTCCTTCCAAACCAGGGATTTCCTAGGTAGTAAACTTGTCTGTTAAGATTATGTGTCCCTCAATATGTATTAGGAGATAGAGAACTGGGCTTCACTAAAGTATACTTCTTTCCAAAGAAGCTGAGAGGTTTTCAACAGGATTTAATAAGGACAGTTAAAAGTAATTGAGAAGACTGGTTATGATTATTTGCAAGCCTTTTACTATACACATAAGAAAGTGTTTTTTTTTCACAGATCAATGGGATAACTAGGGATTCAATTAGGGTTTTTAATGGACAGTGCTTCTCTTATTAAAAATGGAGATTCTGTCTCTTTCTTACCCTCCTTCCCTTTTTGACTGGGTTTCTCTTTGACTGCCTGTAGGAGGTCTGTTGTGTGTCTCTGAATATCTCTGCTATCTGTAGAGGTGCCTGTTTCTCTGCAACAGTTAGGATTTAGCTTAGAAGTAGCATAACGTCTCTCCACATAAGATTCAATAGTTGGGTTAGATTTTGTAAAACCTCCATATATCTATCACAATCATTAGAGAAATTGCCTAGGTCCTCCTCTTTGTTAGAGGTTCTGCAATGAGAAGAAAACTGGAACCCTAGTAACACCATGTCCACTGAATGTTTCCCATGGGGTAAGAATGAAGGTTCGGGTCTCTTGCTTGGCAAAACAAGAGAATCTAATGATATCATTATAGGGTTCCCTGAATAAGGGAGGCAGGTAGGATACACATAATTTGCTTTTGAGGGTTTCCCAAAAGTTAGTCTCTCTGACTTTGGGGAATTATATTTTGTAGTCTTGCATGATAGGGATGCCAAGAGGGCAAGGTGAATTTGACTATGCTTACAGAAATCTGGGTTGCTTCATATAAGTAAAAAAATCTAGTTGTTGAATAGTATTAAAATTATTGCTTCCCTGAAGAGGCCAGGCCTCCTTTCCATAAGATGGCTGAGTCCCTCTGAAATAGAACATAAGCTGTGTGTTTTTTTTTTTTTTCTTCAGGGTCTGAGGGAAAAAAGAGTTAAAGAAGAATGCACTCAAGGGAAGTGTAGTCTTCAAATTGTGTGTTACCCATCTTGAAAAGTGAAGAGAAAAGGTGTCTCTCAGTCTTCTTATTTTTTTAGATTGACCCAGAATGGAGAGAAAAATAGAGGGGTGTCCCTCCTATTCTCTTTCTTTACCCTCTGGGTCCTGGCACATTAAGGGAAGTGTGACCTTCACCCATAGCTCTGGAGCAGCTCACCAGCAGGATTTGCCATGCTGACCTGCACAAAACCCTAGCTTTTTGTCCTACTGATTTCCTAGACTCACTCAACCCAAAAGGGTCTGGTGGTACTCCAGAGACCTGAGAGAAATTAGTTTCTAGTTAAATTTTAGCAAGATTCTTTAATGAAGATAGTGCTGAATTACCATCTCTGACTTTCCTTGTTATGGCTCCAAAAAACATCGGAATCTCAGAGAATGGGACCAGTTGACATAAAATATCTTGTTTATTTAATGCTGAATATACTTAGATGCAGATGACATGCCACAAGACAGCATAAGATGTGCCACAAAAGAGCTGTCATTTCTTTGATGGGGACAGCAAAAAGCTTAAAATCTGTCTTTTGAGGTAACATTCTCCTAATTGTTACAAGTGGATTTATCCTGCCCCCCAAATAGGGCATGGGACATGATCACTGATAAAGGGATGTAAGAGAGAAAGTACTTAGGGGACTATAAGTTTTGAACAAAGAGTAGGCAAGGCTCCACACAGAATAACATCCCATTTTACTAGGTGACATTGTGGGGTTAGAAATGCTAGGTAAAAACTTGGAGTTGAACTTTTTTTCAGATAAATGTTAGAAAGAGAGATTTGGGATTTCATAGGCTGTCCCTATAGTATGCTCCCTGCCAGAAGAAAATTAACTTGTTTCATAAATGAAATGTTTACATTCATTGAACAGTGCTGAGCTTTTACATGAAAAGACAACCCAAATGAAGAGGTCTCAGAGTGAAATATTCTCTCATCCAGTGCCTGTTATTAGGGGACTTAAAGACCCTTACTAGGTACAAATTTAGAGAGATCCTAATTTTTTCTGTTTCTAGGAAATCACAAAATGAAAAACACTTTGAGTTATATTTCCAATTACTAGGATACTGACTGACTTTACCCAGCAAGATTATATGTCTAGGTTGCAGAACACCTCCAATATTGCATATAAAGAAGGAATAGGAGATATGATAGCCATAAAAAGAAAGAAGCAAAAATTGATATAGAAAGACTGGAAGTCCTTGTGCCAAAGCCCTGATGGGCTTTCAGAAAAAAGAGTTAGTCCAAGGCCTTTAGGTAACACTGAGGTGTATCTCCAGCCAGAAACCTTCAGTTGCCCTAGGATCTTTTTTAAATCCCATGCAATGGCTAGGTTTTCTGGAAAGAAAACAGGGTCAATACAAAGCCAACATTCCCAAAGTTTCTCTTAAGAGAAAAAAACTGAGTGTAACAAGGCTCAGAAAGTAAAAAATAAAAATAAAAATAAATTAAAAATAAAGATTCTACTTCTACTCACTCTTCTAATTAATCCCTTTCTTCCTGGCCAATGTGCCAAAATATGTTGTAGTCTCACCAATGCAACAAGATGTTTCAGTTTCTTATTCTTCTGAAATAATACCTGGAGTTCTTTGTTTCATGTCCAAGATAATAAAGGAGCATGAACACAAGGGTGAGGTTGGAATAGAATAATAGTTTAATAATTGAAAGAAGAGAGTTCTCTGCCAGCAGAGAGGGCAGGCCTCAATAAATTGCCCACTCTGAGGCTGAGAATCAGGGATTCTATGGAAAAAGAAGGTTAAATAATGTGCTTAATTTGTTGACTGTCTTGGAAATATGACTCAGATTGACCCAGGGCCTTGGCCAAGGACCAGTCACACATTTTGCCTTAGACTGTGCCCAGTCCAATCAGGGGCTGAAGTGCTGATTTATAGGGACTGCTCATCTTACTGTGCTACCCATCAGGAGCTGAAGTGAAAGCTTGGCCTGGGAATATAGCCCAAAACTAATCAGCATCTGAAGTAATAATTCATAGAGGCTAGGCTCACAAACGAAAAGAAAAAGATAGCACCCACTGGAATCTACCAAAGCCCACTGTGTTCATGCCCACAAAAAGAGAAGAAACTTTTTCATGAGATGCTAATTATACAAAAGACAAAGGCATTTCTGTGTCACAGCTTGTTTCCTTATATGGGTGAGCCAGATGTTTGTGAAAGTTCTTGATTAAATGGGCTGGAGATTTCCCTGTCTGTGTAGCCATGAGCATATTTTCAGTTACAACACCCCTGTGCTATTTCCCTTATTACTGCCTGCAGCTTGATTATTTTTTCCCAGTCAGCTTTCTATGTTATGTGGAAATGAGACACTGACACATGGTTTGGGGACTCCCTGGGGGTCCTTCCTTTACTGTCTACCAAAGGCAGGCTATTTCTTTCCAGTGCATTTCTGAAATCAGACAGAGCTGAGCTTTTGATTGTTGGACCTATATTTCTTTTCAGCTAAGAAATTAAAAAGAGTGTTTTCCTTCCCAAGAAGTCTATCAGACTTATCCTATGAGAGGAGGGAAACCCTGAATTGGAAAGGAGAACAAAGAGACTAGCCCTGGACATTCACTTTCCTCCCTTCTAATTCCATAATCTCATGGGACTCCTGGACAGTAATGGCAGTTAGAGCTATCGGAGCTGTGGAATTGGCTCTGGGACCCATCAGTCCTGTTGGAATATTGAGGACACTTGCCCTTGACTCAGTGACCTACATCTCCAGGGAAAGTATGACTTCTAGTGGTCTCAACAATGGGTGGAAGAAGGTGGCTTCTTCTTGCTGCCTTGGCAATCCTTATTGAATACTCCCACTTGCCACATTGATAGCAATTATCAGGTGCACTTTGGGGATTCTGGATCTCATTAGCTTGCGAAGTGGCAACTAGTGCCTCTTTTTTCTCTTGTGCTATTCCTCTTTTTCCTGTGACTTCTCCTTGTCTCTCATATATAAGACCAAGAAGGCCAAACCCAGAAGGTTTTCCAAGGTGCTATCCAGGCTCACAATCTGCTTTTTTTCTGATATTAGTGGCTGCCTGAGTAATAAACTTGTCTTTTAAGATTATCTGTCCCTCAACTGAATTACGAGATACAGAGGTGTGTTTCACTAAAGTGTCTGTCAGCCTTTCAAAAAAGGCTGAGGGATTTTCATCTTGCTTCTGATATGAAAAAGGAGAGTTTAAAGTAAGTAAAAGTTTGGTTCAGGTTCTTTTCAAGCCTTACAATATGCAAATCAGAAAGTGTTTTCTTTTCCAGTGACCTATAGATCACTAGGTTTCCAAATATGGCTTCAAAGGGGCACAACCTTTCTTTCTATTAGAAATAGAAATTCTTCTCTTTTTTACCCTATTTCCACTTTCAACTGGGTCTATTTTTTGACTGACTAAAGGAGATCTGCTGTTTTTCTTCAAATCTCTCTGCTGCCTGTAGAGATGCCTATTTCTCAGCAGCAGTTAGAGTTTGGCTTAGGAGTAACAGAACATCTCCCCATGGGAGATCAAACACTTGCATTAGATTTTGGAAAGCCTTTTTATGTCTATCACAGTCATTATAAAACTTGTTTAGGTCTGTCTGATTTTTTATAAGGAGTTGTAATGAGAAGGAAACTTGGACTCTAGTGGTACCATGTCTATAGGACATTTAGTGTAGGAGCAAGAGTGAAGTTGGAGGTTTCTTGCATGCCACAACCGCAGGAGCTGATGATAGGACTATTGAGGGCCCTGGATAATAGAGGTAGGCAGAACACCCAGAAGTTGCCTTTGAGGGTTTCTCAATGGTTTGTCTTTCTGACTTTTGGGAATTATATTTTGTAGGCTTGCCTGATATGGCTGCAAAGAGGTCAGAGTGAATTTTACAATGCTTACAAAAATCTGGATTTCATTGGAGATTAAAAAGAAAAAAGCTAGTTCTTTAATGTCATTGAAATTAATGCTACCCTGAACAGTCTAGGCCTCCTTTCCCTAAGATGAACATACAAGCCCCATAAATAGAATATATACTGTGAAATGTAATATAAACTGCTTTTTCTTTAGGGTCTGAGTGTTAAGAGTTAAAGAAGAATGTGCTCAAGGAGAGTACAGACCACAGATGTTCTGTCACACATCTAGAAAAATGTGGAGAAAATGTGCTATCTTTCTCTTTTCTCTTTTCAGAATGACCCAGGGTGGAGAGAAAGTTAGAGGGGTATCCCATTATGCAAGCATATCCATCCTTGGATCCAGATGAGCTAGCTGGAAGGATTAGCCATGGTCACCTGCACAAAGCCCTAGATTTTTACCCGGCTGATTTCCTAGACTAACTTAACCCCAAAGGATCTCAAAGTACCCCAGAAGCCCAGGAGAAATTGGGTACTAGTTAAATTTTGGCAAGACTTATTAATGATGGGAGTCTCTTAATACAATTTCTGGCTCCCCCTGATATGACCCCAGGAAAACATTGGAATATCAGAGAATGGGACCAATTGACATGCAAATATAAAATATCTTGTTTAAATTCCAGTGTACCTGGATGCAAAACAGATGCCTCAAAAGAGCATTGAGGAGTGTATGGATTGAATGACTGTCGTTTCTATGATGGGGACAGCAAAAAGGCTAAAATATGTCCTTTAAGGGTGGCTTCCTCCCAACTATTACAAATGGAATTATCCTGCCTACAAATAGGCCATGAGACATGATTACTGACAAAGGGATGTAAGATAGAAGATAATTAGAAACTAGATGTTTTGGAGAAAGTGTAGACAAGGCTTCCCACAGAGAAAAAATCTAATTTTACTAGGTGGCCATTTGGGATTGAAATGCTAGGTAAAATTCTGACTTGAAATTTTTTTCAGGTAACTATTACAAAGAGAGGTCTGGGTTTTGATAGGGTGTCCCCATAACATGCCCCCAGTATAAAAAAAAATTTATAAAAAAATGTTTAGATTCATTGTACAGTTCTGGGCTTTTACAGCAAGTGAAGAAACAGCCCATATGAAGAGGAGGGTATTCACTCAGGGTAAACTATTATCTCATCCACTGCCATGAATGTTTATTATTGAGGGACAGAAAGGCCTGAACTATGTAAAACATTAGAGAAATCCTAATTTTTTTCTGTTGCTAGGAAATCACAAAAACAAAAATTCTTTGTTACATTCCTGATTACCAAGACATTGACTGACTTTATCAGACAAGTTTATGTCTCTAAATTGCAAAAACACACAGAACATTTCTTACAACAGAGGTATAGTAGACATAATAGCCACAAGAAGAAAGAAGGAAAATATGATAAAATGACTGGAAGTTATTGTGCTGGTGCTCCAATGGGCTCTTGGGAACTGGAATTAGTTGAAGGGCCTTCAGGTAACATTGAGTTGTAGGCTCAGTCCCAAGCCTCAGTTGCCCTAGGACCACTTTCTAATCCCATGTGATGGCTAGGCCTTCTGTGAAGGGAATCTGAATTATAATAGAGCCAAAATTCAAACATCTGGGAGTAATTGGGGAATTGATAAAGTCCTCTGCAGCAAGCTTTTCCCCTGAGTCTTAAGGCTGACATTGATGTTAATTATTTTTAAATGGCTGACATGGTTCCAGTGTTTTGTCAGCTCTGGAGATTAAAAACTTAGGACAAGAACCTCAGAAAGTGGAGTGTTAAAGATCCACTCCTAATCACCCTTCTGATAAATTCCTTCTTACCCAGACCATGCATCAAAGTATGTTGTAGTCTCACTAATGTACCAAGACAAAACAGTCTCTCATTGTCTGAGATAATACGCAGAGTTCTTTGTCCTATGACCAAGATAGCTAAGAAGCGGGGACACAAGGGTGAGGTTGGAGCAAATGTTTAATAAATGAAAGAAAAAATCTCTCCACCAGCAAAAAGTGGAGGACTGTATGGGTTTAAGCCATGGTGTCATGGTCTAGGGTTCTTATGGACTGGGAAGAAAAATGAATATGCTTTGTCTTCTGGATGTCTTGGAGACTTCATGGCTCAGCTTTGCATAAAATCAGAAAGCATGGGCCAGGACCAATCAGCAGCTGATGAAACAATTTATAGAGGCTGTTATTTTGGCCTGGGATTTATCTAGAGCTGAAGTTATAGCTTGGCCCAAAAACTTACTCCTGGACCAATCAAGAGCTGACATGAAAATTTATAGAGCCCAGCCTCACAATTCAAAAAGAAAAGAAAAGTTCCCACTGAAACTTACTGGAGTCCACTGTGTTCAAGCCAACAAAAGGAGAATAAACTTATTACTGGGAGCCAGCTGATTACACAAAGGACAAAAGCTTTTCTATGCCAGGCTTTTTAAATTTATCTGAGTTATCTTATTTATCTGGAGGCTTGTGCAAGTTTTTATGTGAATGGGCTGGAGATTCTCCTCTCTGTGCAGCCAGTGGCATGCCTACAGTAACAACCCATGTGCTAGTTAACCTATAAGTTCCTGAAGCTTGATTTCTTTTCCCTGGCTGCTTTTTGAGTTATGTAGGAATGAGGTCCTGTCGCATACATCAGGGGCCCTCTAGGAACCCCTCTCTTGGTTTCTACCTAATGCAAGTAACCCCTCTCAGCATAATGGTGACACTATTATATTCTACCCAATAATCAAATATTACATCTATTAATCTTTTGTCATGTGTTTCATATATTATTAAATAAAAATAAATAAATTAGTATCTGTTTTAAATTAAATTATTATATTGATTATATTGATTATATTGAATTATATTATTAAATTAAATTATTATATTGAATTATCTGTAATAAATTAAATTATTACATGAGCGTAACTAGCTTATGTGTAAAGTTATCAATGGAAGCACCGAAAGGAAGAAATATATTAAGATGCAAGAAGGCAATAAAGGCTATATTTTTTAGTCAGATTTTATTTAATTTACAGAAATGTTTATTAAATTTTCTGTCATGATTTTTACCTCAACACATGGCTTCTAATATAATTTACCTGTTAACTCATGGATAAACTGTTACTTCAGAATTGAAGAGCCTCTTTAATTTAGCATGTGCTTAAATTGCTGGCCCCATCCTGCATATTACTGATTCAGCTGCTGTGAACTTTGGTCAAAAAATATGTCTTTTTTTTTCCAAGTTCTCAGGTGTTTTCAATGCTGCTAGCCAATGGAAACCAGTTGCAGGACCAATGGCTGGGTGCATATTTATTGATTTCATCTGCAGTAAAAATATTGACCCAGAGGGTATGCAGTCAAATACACAAGAGACCATTTTTGATTTTAAGTGGACACAGGTCTTACTCATAGTAATGTAAAAGTGGGGCCAAATATATCAGAATTATTTAATTTTGATTTTGAGGGGTTGATAAAATCTGGTTTTATGTTGAAAGCCTGAATATTGTTCTTGGCCTACGTTAGTCAGTTAAATATTCAGTTGGGGCCTATGTATTTGGTCTGGGCTGGAACTGAAATTGTGAAGTTTTATGCACTGAATGTCTGGTCTGTGTGAACACATCTGGATGGGTCACTGAGAGTGCAATGGGTGAAATAATTCAATAATACAATTCTTTCTATAATTATAAATCCTTCTATTGCTGTGATGGTTACATGGGAGTGATGTGGGGATATGGTGGTGGAGACAATGAAGGTTTAGGAGCATAGAATCACACCCAGGCTTGGAAAAGATGTTACATCTCTGAACTCTGTTCTTTACTCCAGTGTAAGCCTCTTCAGGGTCCTCGTTATATAATTAGCAAAATCTCACAGAGGGGGCTGCAGATTTTGATATTACAGAAAAAAACATGCATCATAGAGTTGGCTCCACATATCCTTAGACCTTTTCTATTCTCTCTTGTTTTACTAGCTTTGAAATTTTCCTTCAGTTGACACTCTCAGTGTTATAGTATAAAATCTATGCTGCTTATTTATTAGGTGAAATTATATAAATGAACTACTCACATATGTAATTATATTTCTAACATTATAAATTGGTTTGAGAACTTTTAAATTTTAGGTCTTATTTGTTTCTATTTTAAATAATTTGACAATTTTTATTGATTTTTGATATACTAGAATATTTTTTAAATAAATTTTTCTCATACAATTAATTACAATACATACTCTGTATGTGATTTTGACTTTGCTTCTGTTAAAATTTTTGGAAAAAAACATTCAAATGTATCATTATTATTGTAAATATCTCTTAGGTATAATTTTACAGTTATTATAAAAGATTTCTCAATAATTCTCATGTAAGTCTATTGCTTCATTTTGGTAAATTCATAAAGAAATTTTCATTTGTTATTTATTTTTTCTATTTTTTAGTTTCCATAGCACATCAATAATTTATTCTTTGTGTTTCAAACGTTCAATTATACTTTCTTAGTTATTTTACAATGAACAATTAAATTGCCTTCACTACAGACACCATGTTGAGCTAGCAAATACTGGGTCTTACTTATTATTTAAATTTTTGCAGCCACTAGCCATCCACTCTTCCCTCTAACCCCACCAACTACTCTTACCAGCATCTGACAATCATCCTTTCTTTTTCTAACTCTCTTACTTCAATTGTTTCACTTGTTAGATCTCAGAAATAAGTGAGAACATACAATATTTGTCTTTCTCTACCTCTGTTATTTCACATAACATAATGATTTCCAGTTCTATCCATGTTGTTACAAATGACAGGATCATATTTTATTTTATGGCTTAATAGTACTCCACTGTATATATGCAACAGATTTTATTGATCAGTTCCTCAGTTAGTAGACATAGGTTTCTTCCAAATCTCAGTTATTGTTAATAGTGCTGCAATAAACATGAAAGTTCAGATATCACTTCAATATAATGACTTTATTTCTTTTGATTATATACCCAGCAGTGGGATTGTTGGCCATACAGTAGCTCTATTTTTAGTTTTTGAGAAAGTTTCAAACTGTTCCCCATAGAGGTTATACTGATTCACATTCTTACAGTGTTGGAGGGTTCCTTTTCTCCAAATCCTCAAGAGCATTTGTTATTGCCTGTGTTTTGGATAAAAGTCATTTTAAGTGGAGAGAGATAATAAGTAATTGTCATTTTGATTAACAGTTCTCTGATAATGATGTTGATGACCATTTCCCATGCCAGTTTTCCATTTGTACACCTTATGAGAAATTAGTATTCAAGTCTTTTGTCCATTTTATATGAGATTATTATATTTTTTCTATGAAGTTCTTTGAAATTCTTATATATTATGGCTATCAGTCCCTTGCCAGATGACTGGTTTTGAAATTGTTTTTCTAATTCTGTGGGGTTTTTTCCACTTTGTTGATTTTTTTATTTGCTTTGCAGAGCCTTTTAAACTTGATGTGATTTTGTTTGTTAATTTTTGCTTTGTTTTACTTTTCCTGTGTTGTATTGCTCGAGCAATTTTTGCTGAGTTCAATGACTGGGAGAGTTTTCCATATGTTTTCTTGTTTCACAGTTTCATAGTTTCAGGATTCAGATTTAAGTCTTTAGTACAGTCTGATTCGATTTTTATATATAGTGAGAGATAGGGGTCTGCTTTCATTCTTCTGCCTGTAGATATTCAGTTTTCATAGCACCACTTCTTGAAAAAAAAAAAAAAAAAAAAAAAAGCTCTTTTCCCAACGTATGTTCTCAGCACTTTTGTCCAAAATGATTTTTCTGTGAATGAATTGAGTTATTTCTGAGTCCTTTAATCTGTTCAAATGGTCTATGTGCCTGTTTATTTGCCTGTCAACCATGTCATTTTGGTTACTATAGCTCTATAACATAATTTGAAGTGATAATATGGTTTCTATAGATTTGTTCTTCTTGCTTAAGATAGCTTTGGCTATTCTAGGTTATTTGAGGATTTATACAAAATTTAGATTTTTTTATTTCTGTAAAAATATCTGATATTATGATAGGAATTACATTATCTCTGTAGATTCATTTAGGTAGTACACATTTTAAAAATATTCATTCTATCATTTCATAAACAAGGCATACCTTTCCATTTTTAGGTGTCTTCAATTTTTTACATAAGTGTTTTATAGTTTTTTCTATAGCGACTTTACACTTTATTAGCTAAGGTAAATTTTATGTATGTAATTTTATTTGTAGTATTGTAAGTAATATTGATTTCTTATTTTTTCTCAGCTTGTTCACTGTTAGCAGATATAAATATTACTAATATTTATATGTTTATTTTTTATTCTACAACTTTGCTAATCTTATCATTATTGATCTTATAGCTGTTTGGTGGATTCTTTAAGATATTTTTCAAATGTAAGATTATATCATCAGCAAACAATAATAATTTGACTTATTTTTTTGTTTGTTTTTCTTCTGATTGCTCTAGGTAGAATTTTCAGTACTACCTTGAATAACAGTGGTGATGCTGGACATCCACTAAAATGTAAAATATTTTATAGGAACTACTTTCCTTTTTTTCCATTTAGTACGATGCTAGAGTAAGGTCTCTCATATATGGCTTTTATTATGTTGAGGTATGTTCTTTTTTGGGGGGTGAGAAGGTTTGTTATGAAGCAATTTCAAAGAAAGTGTGCTTTTTCAGCATGAATTAAAATGATCATATGGTTTTATTATTTATTCTGTTGATATGATATATTCCATTGATTGATTTAGATATGTTGAACTCTTCTTGTATCTCTGGAATAAATGTCACTTGGTGATGATAAACAGTCTTCCTAATGTATGGTTGAATTCATTTTGCTAATATTTTCTTCCAGATTTTTTGTATTAATATTTATCAAAGATATTGGCCTGTAGTTGTTCTTTCAGGTATTTCTTTGCTTTTGGTATCAGAGTAATACTGGTCTTGTAGAATGAATTTGAAAGTGTTCCTTCTCCCTGTATTCTTCAAAATTTTTTGAGGAGGGCTGCTATTAGTTTCTCTTTAAATATTTAGTACGGGCTGGGGATGGTGGCTCAGGTCTATAATCCAAGCAATTTTGGAGGCTAAGCAAAGTAGATCACTTATGGTGAGGAATTTGAGTGCAGCCCAGATAATGAAACCCTGTCTCTACTAAAAATAAAAAATTAGTTAGGTTTGGTTCTACCGGCCTGTAATCCTAGCTAGCAGGGAGGCTGAGGCACAAGAATTGTTAAATCCAGGAAACAGAGGCTTCAGTGAGCCACGATTGTGGCACTTTCCTCCTGCCTTGGTGACAGAGAAAGTCTTTATATTAATATTAATAATAATAATAATTTGTGGAATCAGCAGTGAAGCCATCTGATCTCAGATATTTTTAGCTGAAAGTCTTTTTATTACAGCTTTGGCATATTTACTTGTTCTTGATTTTTTCAGGTTTGAATTTTTCATGGTTGAATATTGGCATGTTGTATGGTTCTAGAATTTTTTTTTAAGAATTCCCAATGTATTGGCATATAGTGACCTTAGTGGTCATTATCTTTTGAATTTCCGGCCCATCAGTTCTAATGTTTTCTTTTCATCTCTAATTTTTTAATTTGTGTTCTCTCTTTTAGTTTATCTTGAAAACTAAAAGGTTTATCAATTGTATTTAGTTTTTCAATAAACCAACCTTTATTTCATTGATTTTTTCTTTTGTTTTCATAATAATTTCATTTATTTTTGTTTTCATCTTTATTATTTATTTTCTCCTTTTAATTGTGGATTTGATTTGTTTTTGCCTTTCTAGTTCTTTAATATGTATCAATAAGTGTTTTTATATAAAAGTTAATCTTTTTTTTTTTTTTTTTTTGAGATGGAGTCTTGCTCTGTCACCAGGCTGGAGTTGCAGTGGCATGATCTTGGCTCACGGCAACCTCTGCCTCCCAAGTTCCAGCAATTCTCCTTCCTCAGCCCACCGAGTATCTGGGGCTATAGTGCAAGCCACCACGCCCAGCTAATTTTTGTATTTTTAGTAGAGATTGGGTTTCATCATATTGGCCAGGATTCTTTTTTTATGTAGGCACTTGTAACTATATACATCATTCATAACTGCTTTTACTGTATTCCATAAATTTTGGGATAAATTTGGAATGTGGTGTTTCCATTATTTGTTTCAGAATTTTTTTAAATTTTCTTTTGAAGGTCTTTTTTAATTCACTTGTCATTCAGGAACATATTCTATTTATCTTTATGTTGATCCTTAGTTTTATTTTATTGCGGTCAGAGAAGACCCTTGATACTGTTTCAATTTTTTGAATGTTTTCATACATTTTTTACCTACTATACATCTTTGAGAAACAACCATGTTTTAAGGAAAAAAAATGTGTATTTTGCAGCCATTTGATGAATGTTTTATAAATATCTATTAAGTTTGTTTGATCTATAGTGCAGATTTCATCTAATATTTCTGTGTTGATTTTCTGTTTGACAAATCTGTCCAGTGCTGAAAGTATAGTGTTGAAGTCTTCAGCTATTACTGTATTGAGCCTATATTTCTTATTAGCCTTAATAATATGTGCTTTCAGTGTGGGTGTTTACACACCTAAAATTATTATATCCTCCTGCTGAATTGACCTGTTTGTCATGATTCAGTGACCTTCTTCTTACAGTTTTTGTCTTGTAATGTGTCTAGCGTGATATAAGCATAAATACTTCTGCTTTTTTTTTTGGTTTCCATTGACAGAATATTTTTTCTATTTTTTAAATTTTCAGTCTATTTGAGCCTTATAAATAATGTATGTCTTTTTCAGGCAACAGATTATCGGGCCTTGTTTTCTTATGTATTCAACCACTGTATATTTTTTGTGTGGAGAATTTATTCTATTTCTATTCAATGTTATTATTGATAATCAGAAACAGTTTACATTTTTCTATTTGCTATTTTATCAAATTTAGTTTTCCCTTCTCTTTTTAATAAAGGTAATATTTTCAGTTATATAATTTAATTGCTTTTTATTTTCTGTGTATCTGTTGTATGTTTTCTGATTTGACCTTGCCATAAGATAGGAAGATACTACTTTACAACCAATTATTTTAAGCTGATAACAACCTTGTTTCAGCAGCAAACAAACAAATGAACAAGCAAGAATAAAACTAGTAAACATTTACAGCTTAACTTTGCACCCCTCATTTTTAACTTTTTTTTTGTTTCTATCTTTATCTTATGTTCTGAAAAATTGTAATAGTTGTCTGTCTGTGGACGTAGAAGTCTATGGTGTTTACTTTCAGTTTTGTTGTCTAAGTTTGTCTTGTTTTTCTTGGCAAACATTTCACATACTTAAAATGTCTTGAGTGTTGTAATCTAAGATGTATCTGCATCAGGGGACACTCAAAATCCAGTCATGTTTTGGTTCTAGCAGACTTATATTGGTACTATCTTAATAATTTGGGTCAAGGTCTAGAATTCTCTGAATTTTACTGCAGAAATTTTTGTCCTGTTTCTTACTTTTTCTTAAGAAACTCTCTGTTTTGAGCCACCTGGAGTGGAGTGACCCAAGAACCCCTGCTGCCACCACAATGAGGAATGTGCTGGGTTAGAATTGAAGCCAGGACAGCACTGTGTTCAGCCCAGGGCCTACTGTAACCAAACCCTGACTACTGCCTTTGTTTGCTCTACATGCTGGGGCTCTATGATAATCAGGTGGAAAAGTCAGTTAAGCCTATGTTCTTCCATATGGGTGGCAAAATTCTCTGGGTCCATGGTTGGTCCAGAGTTGTCATCTGGGAGCCAAGGACTAGAGTCAAATATTTTACATGTTGACCTCGGTCTTCTATTGCACTGTGCCTCAGCTGGCAAAGAAATTACAAGACACAGTCTTCCTACACTTTTCTCTCCTTTTCAAAGGCAGAGGAACCGCATTTCCTGGCCATTGTGAACTCAAGTCCAAAGGACATAGTGCCAATCAGCTGCTGATATTGCTTTAGGACCCAACAGTTATTTAGTCAGCTTGTGTTAAATTTTGCCTTTCTGGGGTCACTCTTCAGGGCAGTGGTTTCCCCACTGTCCCAGTGCAGGTCCAGGTGTGTCATTTAAGATCCAAGGCCTTTAATTGGGCTCCCCAGTGGCCAACTTTGTGTTTTATTTTGCTGTGGAAGAGCTAACACCTATGGTGCAAGCTTACTCCCCTTTATCTTTCTCCATGTTTTTCTCCAGCAGAAAACGTCTTCTTCTATAGCCACCACAACTGGAAGTGAGTTGTTTCTCACCTGAAGCCAACAAATCTCAGATTCTTACCCAAAGTTTATGACATACTACCTTGTTACTGTTGTTTATTCAGGGTCCAAGCATTCTTCAGTTAGAAGACAATAAATGCTGTCAGGATTGTGTTTATTATTCTTCAAGGTAGCAGCTTCCCTTTTAGTCCAAAGTATTTCTAGACATATCATCTTGTAACTCAGTCCTGTATAGATGGCCTCACAAATCTGACTGCTGGCCTATTCTGTTGTGGCTAAGCTGGTATTCAAGATACAAAACGAAGTCTTCCTCCACTCTTCCCATTCTTTTATTCTAGTGGAAGAAAAGGATCTCTTTTGAGCTGTAAGCTTTGCAGGCTCAAGGTAGAGTAAGAGTGGAACGAGCACTCCCTTACCTGCCCCAGTTGATTTCTTAGTAGGTAATGTGCCATACCAGTTTACCGGCTTTGAGCCCAGTGAAGTTTTAGGTCTTGCATGAGTTGCAGGCATTGTGGCCTAGAGTGTCTTTCAAGTTTGTGTGTGATCCCTTAGCACTCCAGCCTAAAGTGGTGAGACTTGTAGAAACTCGAATTCCATCCACTGAGATGAACAATTTTTCTCTGGCTAGGACTTTTTAAAATACTTTCACAGTTTATGGGTATTACCTGAATTTTGTCTGATTTTGCTTTCTGCTGTAATGAGGTATGAATAGGTTCAAAGCAAAGTCTCACAATTGATCTATTCTCCACAGAATCTCCCTCCATGTCACAGCTGATGGATGAGTAACAAGTAACATTTGCAATTCACAAGTGGATCTTCTGCCTTTTCAGTGCCTCTTTCACTAACATGGAGACAAAAATAGAAACTATGAGTGCTCACTTAATTTTGTTTTTTATGAAGATGCTTTTTCTGTAGATAGTTGTTAAATTGATATGCCTATTATGGTATTATAAGTGCAAACTTCTATTTGAACATCTTGATCTGTCCTTATTCTAAATCAACTTTCTTAAATGATTGTACGTTATTCTAAAATGTCTTTGCATTGTACATTATAAACGTTTGGACACATTTGGCATTCTGGTTGTACTGGCTCTGGATTTATGATTATAATAGTATTTTACTCTGTTAAACTCACTAAGCAAATATTGTATAAATAGAACATATAAAAAGTAAGCCCTTGATCTTTGCCATCTCAAGCATATATATTTAGCTGAAACATTACTGTTCTTTCACTGGAAAATTTACCTGCTTGAAAATATTCAAAATCAAATAACTAAAATCCAGAAATACAAATGCAGAGTCTAGCACCAAGAATATTCAAAAGAGTTTAAATCTCAAGAAACATAATGTTCTGGTATCATCCAAAATGTAAGCACCTCAAATAACCCAATTTTGGAAGATTACAAGATAATTTATGACTTGTTTCCATAGAGGTTCTCCTGAACAGAAACACTACTCTTGTCAAATAGATATCTCCAAGTAAAATTTCAAATTACATTTTTTTTATAGTTTAAAATATCCCACTTTAAGTCAAATAAATATCTGGAAAATTGTGTAATTTGATAATAAGCTGTCTTTCAGTTGAACTGGCTTCTTATTATTTTTGAGATAAAAGAATGAAGCAGGTGAACTCTCCTCCTCAATACAGGAATGATTGCACATTTAATGCCTCAGCATTTAATTAATTAATGTGTTAACTTATTAATTAATTAATTTTGAGATGGAGTCTCACTCTGTTGCACAGGCTGGCGTACAGTGGCATGATCTCAGCTCACTGCAACCTCCACCTGGGTTCAAGTAGTTCTCCTGCCTCAGGCTCCCCAGTAGCTAGGATTCCAAGCGCAGGTGCCCAGCTAATATTTTTGTATTTTTGGTGGAGATGGGGTTTCATCATGTTGGCCAGGCTTTTCTCTTAACTCCTGACCTTGTGATCTGCCTGCCTTGGCCTCCCAAAGTGCTGGGATTACAGGTGTGAGCCACCACGCCCGGCCCTCACCATTTATTTTAATCAAGATGCTAGAATAATGAAAACAGTTTTAACTTCAGTCAAAAGAAGTTTATCTTAAGTCACAAAGTTCACTAAAAGTTTCATTGCTTTATGCAGGATAATTCTCAGTAAATAGTGCTAATCAAGTCTAGCTTTCTAAAGCAGATGTTGGAAAACTTACAGTAAAAGAGCAGACAGTAAATAACAAAGACTGTACCATTTGGTGTCTGTTGTTTTTATTCACCTCAGGCCTTGAAGTGAAAGTGGCTGAAGCTGCAGGTAACAGAAAAGGGGTGGCCAGTAAAGCCCTAGTCAGCAAGCCTTGTGCCTCTTCTCATTCCACACAGAAAAAGAGCCACACAGGGGGAGAGCATGGCAGGCAGTCCTGGCTCATTGCCCTTGCTAAATAGCTTCCTGCAGATGAGGCCCAGTCCCAGCACTAATTTAAAATGGGTCTGCTTTTTCTACTGAGTAATACTGCCCCAGTAAAGGGTGCATCTGTGGACCCACCCCTATACACATCTGAGGTTCTGCTGCAGCCCCTGATAAGGACACTTGACAGGCTTTAGATGAGTTCAGGCAGAAGAACATGAATGTCTGAGGGATTTTAGCATATTTTCTAGTCACTGATTGTATCTTATTCCTGAAGGGACAAGGGTCAGCTGAGCTTCTTGGGCAGGGGCCTTTGATGTGCTGTCCTGGCAGGGCTTTTCTTGCCTGTCAGATGCATGGGGTTTTAAGATGTTTAAAATAGCACAAATTCTTAAACCTCCAAACTTAGAAGCAGAACCTCCTCTTCTCTATGTTACCATTCTGCCCAAGTACTTATTTATTCATGTTTAAGATTTTAAATTTAGAAAACACTTTGACCACTTTTTAATTAAAACTTCCACGAATTTATTAAATTCTTATGTTGTCAGGTAGTACTTTTGAGGCATTCCTAAAAATATATTATAGTTTCAACTTTTTTTGTGACTGTCTGCATAATTCATTTGTGATTAAAAAAACCAGTATTGTAAATCTGCCAGGTATGGCTTTTAGAAGACTTTGACCTATTAGTAGCATTTTCTGACTCTCAAAATTTATTGTAGAAAAAGGGATCATGTAAGTCTATCTTGGAGTCAGATTAATAACTTTGTGTCATGAAGAATTTAGTATCAAAATTTACAAAAATTATGCAAACAAGTTGATATGTCCTATGTCTTGTTAATCTGGGTTGCTACAATGAATTTCATAGACTGGGGAGTTTATAAACAACAGGAATTCATTTTGTGCGTTTATAGACCTGGTCCAAGATCATGGTTAGCATATTCTTTGTCTGGAAAGGGATAGCTTTCTGCTTAATAGATGGTTATCTTTTTCATAGTGTCCTTACATGACACTATGAATAAGAAAGCCCCCTGAGTTCTTTTTTATACAGGCATTAATCCAATTTATAAGGTCTCTTTCCTCATAACCTAGTTACTTCCCAAGCTTCGACTACAAGTACCATGATATAGCAAATTAGATTTTATCATATACATTTGATGGGAACAAAAATATTTGGCTTATAGCATCAGGTAACCCTGAGCCATATGCACTTAGAAGAGTTGTATACTACTCTGTAAATATTTTCTGGTATCCTCTGGTTTAGAAAAAAATGGTGATTTCTGATTTAGCTATATCTAAGTTCTAAATTCTACAGTCTCCTGCACAATTTGTTTAAGGGACAGAAGAAATGTTGTAGGCAAATTGCCATTCAGTTTTAAGACAGTTCTTAAGAAGGTATGTTATCTTAATAAGAATAGGAGGCAGGAAAATGACAAAGTGCAGAAATAGATAAATCATAATGAGAAATGGTAAAAGGAACTCAGAGACATGGAAGTAAACTAGAAGACAAAAGAGTAGCAGGTTTACTAAAAACATAAGACTCTCCTGTTGCTAAAATTAGCCACTTATTTACATTTGGCTAGATACAAATCTAATAAGACAATTTTTTAGAGACAATGCCTTGCTTTGTCACCCAGACTGGAGGGCATCATTTGGGGCACACTATAGCCCCAAATTCCAGAGCTCAAGCAATTTACCCATTCTTGTCTTTTAAATAGCTGGAACTACAAACGTGTGCCATCATGCCCATCTAATTTTCTTTTTTTTACTTAAAATCAACTGATTATAGATGTTAAACCTGTCTACAGAATACCTTCATAGCAACACCAATGTTAATGTTTGATTAAATAACTGGGTACTATGGCTTAATCACATTGACACTTAAAACTGACCATCACACCATAGTCAGCAATTACAAGGAGCAAACTATTGATATACATAACAAACTGGATGACTCTCCAGTGAATTTTGCTAAGCAAGAAAGCCATTTCTAAAAGGTTACATGTAAGTCATTTTACTATAAAGACACATGCACACATATTTTATTGCAGTACTATTTAGAGTAGCAAAGACTTAGAACCAACCCAAATGTTCATCAGTGATAGACTGGGTAAAGAAACTGTGGCATATACGCACCATGCAATACTACGCAGCCATAAAACAGAATGAGTTCACGTCCTTTTCAGGGACATGGATGAGGCTGGAAACCATCTTTCTTAGCAAACTAACACAGGAACAGAAAACCAAACACTGAATGTTCTCACTCATAAGTGGGAGTCGAACAATGAGAAAACACAGACACAGGGAGTAGAACATCACACACCACGGCCTGTCAAGGGCTGAGAGGAAAGAGGAGGGAGAGCATTAGGAAAAATACCTAATGCATGTTGGGCTTAAAACCTAGATGACAGGTTGATAGGTATAGCAAACCACTGTGGCACATGTATACCTACGTAAAAAATCTACATGTTCTGTACATGTGCCTATCTAATTTTTATATTTCTTTTAAAAAAGATCTCCCTAGGTTGCCCAATCTTTCACATAATCTTTCACATAATCTTTCACATAATCTCCCTAGGTTGCCTAATCTTTCACATAAAGTGATCCTCCTGCCTCAGTAAACCAAATGGGTAAATTACAGACTCTAGCCACTTCACTCAGACTAATTAAACAATTTTTAATTCAGAATATTATTTTAAAGTTTCTGTTCTGTGTATCATCCAAAACATTCTGCTCATTGGACAGGATAAATATTTTTTAAGGGAATCTCTCCAATGAGCATTGTTCAAATCAAATGTTCCCAGAGTGGTCACAAAAGAATCAATTCTTGATGGAGTGAGGTTGTTCAGAAAGACAGTGACAAGGCCTGGTATAATGGCTCATGCCTGTAATCCCAGTGCTTTGGGAGTCTGAGGCAGGCAGATCACCTGAGGCTGGGAGTTCAAGACCAGCCTGACCAACATGATGAAACCCTATCTCTACTAAAAATATAAAAAATTAACCAGGCATGGTCACAGGGCACCTGTAATCCCAGCTACTCAAGAGGCTGAGAGAGGAGAATCACTTGAACCTGGGAGATGGAGGTTGCAGTGACCTGAGATTGTGCCACTGCACTCCAACCCATGGAACAAGAGCAAAACTCCATCTCAAAAAAAAAAAAATATATAGTGACAAGAATGAGAATTGCAATTTAAAAGTACAAATAGGAAATCAATAGCTTTTTCTGAAAGTAGAGAAAATATGGCTGTAGACAACTTCAAAGGAGATAGTACCATTTAGTAAAAACAAATGCTATACATTTTGTGTCTTGAGCTCTCATCCAAGTAGTGGGTCACCTCTGAATAAAGACACAAAAATATCTGCCTCCAGGAGGTGTAAAGAAAAAAAGGCACTCTCTTGATCACAAAACAAATGCACAGAATTAGGGAAGAAGAAAGAAGAACTTATTCCAATTGTGCATTTTTCCCTCAGAAAATTGTGTCTAAATTGATGCCTGAGCAGTGAGAAATGTAGATTCACTAGTGTGTGAAGCTGGCTCAGAAAATAGCCAAATAGGACATATTACTATGCTTATATGTTTATTCTCTGATTCTTCTCCCTATGATAAAATTTTTGATGGCATAACTCTAAACAATTATATAAATATTCAAAAGTACCTGAGATACTCAATGTAAAGACAAGATAGCTCAGATCTAAATGTGACTTATGACATTAGTACTTATCTGACAATCATGAGCAGAGGGTGGCTCAGTGAGTGCTGGTCAAATAATGGAGTCTAAGGTGAAAGTAAACGCAGAGGTTACTTCAGTAATACCTCCAAAATAACAGTGGCACATAATGGAGACAAGACCACCCAAATAAAATTATGAAAAGGCAATATATTTCAGCTTTGTTCCAACAAGGAAATTAGCCACCTTCACTTTTGTTCAGTGAAAACTCAAAGGCAAGCACAGGGTTTAAAAGCCACTGTTTCTGCAATGTCAGCTGTCACAGTAGAGAAGGCGATTGAGGCATATTGATGGACACCTTGTGAAGATTATGGAATTGCCACATGGACTTTCCAATAGGCCAAGCTGAAGAAATGGGAGCAACAAAATAAATAAGAATAACATTAATTTATAACCAAGATAATAAAATAAATATTTATGAGGCCATACTGATATAAATTGAATAAGAAAGAGGAAAACAAGAAGTGTTGTAGTCTCAACAGTGGACCAAGATGTAACAGTCTCTGGTTTTATGAAATTTTTTTTGACTCTAAACAACAAAATGAGAATCAGCAATGTTCCAAGCAAAAGTAAAAAATACTGCTTTAGTTTTCTATTAGTTTACTTTCTTTTATTAACTATTGCTCTGCTTTACAATTATAAACATTTTAGCTTTTCATGAGCTCTGTGTGATTTTCAGTTATCAAAAACATGCATTTCAGAACACCTTTTAAAATTTCAAAGTTGATTATAAACCATATTTTAAAGACAATTAAAACCAGACAACAATTGTCTTTAAATGACAAAATCTCCAGAGTGAATACAATCAGGAACACAATGAGCAAAGAAATTCAGTTGTTTTGGGGGTTTACAATAACCCAACAAAATAACCTGAACTGTGATTGATAGTACATATTCAGACATTAGAGCCTTAGATGTTCCATATGGTTTTAAAAAGTACATTAATATAATTCACTAAACTATAGCATGAAGAAGATTAGACATCACTTCGGCAATCTCATAAACCTAAACATGTCAAATAATCCTGTTTACCCCTTTTCTGGATACTTCAGGGCCTCTATATAGTTCCGAAAAGCTGGGCAACAGGGAGGACAACATTGAAATTGAAATTTGATTTTGGAAGTCTGCCATACACCAGCTAAAATTGCTTATATTCATAAAACAGGCAATAACAAATACTGGTGAGGATTCGAATAAAATGGTATCTTTGTACACTGTTGGTGGGAATGTAAATTGGTACAAGCATTATGAAAAAAAATTTGAACATTCCACAAAAAACTAATAATTGAGCTACCATATGATTCAGCTACCATGTATCTTACTGCTAAGCATATATCCCAGAAAAAAAGAAGTGAATATATCAAAGAAATGTCCGTGATTTTATGTTTGTTGCAGCACTGTTTGCAATAGCTAAGATTTAAAAACAACTTAAGTGTCCATTCTTCCAGAAGAATGTATGAAGAAAATGTGAAACATACACACAAAAGAGTACAATATAGACAATAAAAATAAAATCCAGTCATTTGCAACACCATAGATGGAAATAAAGTTATTATATTTTGTGAAATAAGCCAAGTACAGAGAGACAATGAACACATGTTCACACTTATTTAGGAACCTAAAAATAAAAACATATTTATACATAGCGGATGGTTGCCAGTGTCTTGGAAAGGTATTGGGAGGGAGGGGAAGAGGTGGGAATGATTAATGGTTGCAAAAACATTAGAAATAATTAAAAATACTTAATACTTAATAGCATACCAGTGACCATAATAAAATAATTGTGCATTTTGAAATATCTTAAAGATATAATTATATTGTTTTCAACACAGTGGTTAAGTACATGAGATTATGGATACCCAATTCCCGTATTTCACATTGCATGCCTATACCATGACATCTTATGTCACCCATAAATATATATACTTATTATATACCCAAAAAGTTAAAATTTAAAAAATATACTCATAATAATGTTAAGCATAAAGAAAATAACACAAAAGTCAATTAGAGATGTTAATTATATCAAAAGCTAAACAAATCTGAGGAAGTTTCAGCCAGAATAAGAAAAAAAAGGAGACCCACATAAATAAAATCAGAAATTAAAAACTGGATATAAAATGATACTACAGAAATTCAAAGGATCAGATGAGTAGGTTGCAAAAGTTTTCTCCCATTCTGTAGGTTGCCTGTTCACTCTGATGGTAGTTTCTTTTGCCATGCAGAAGCTCACAACCTACTCATCTGACAAAGGGCTAATATCCAGAATCTACAATGAACTCAAACAAATATACAAGAAAAAACAAACAACCCCATCAAAAAGTGGGTGAAGTATATGAACAGACACTTCTCAAAAGAAGACATTTATGCAGCCAAAAAACACATGAGAAAATGCTCATCTTCACTGGCCATCAGAGAAATGCAGATCAAAACCACAATGAGATACCATCTCACACCAGTTAGAATGGCAATCATTAAAAAGTCAGGAAACAACAGGTGCTGGAGAGGATGTGGAGAAATAAAACACTTTTACACTGTTGGTGGGACTGTAAACTAGTTCAACCATTGTGGAAGTCAGTGTGGCGATTCCTCAGGGATCTAGAACTAGAAATACCATTTGACCCAGCCATCCCATTACTGGGTATATACCCAAAGGACTATAAATCATGCTGCTATAAAGACACATGCACACGTATGTTTATTGTGGCACTATTCACAATAGCAAAGACTTGGAACCAACTCAAATGTCCATCAATGATAGACAGGATTAAGAAAATGTGGCACATATACACCATGGAATACTATGCAGCCATAAAAAATGATGAGTTCATGTACTTTGCAGGAACATGGATGAAACTGGAAGCCATCATTCTCAGCAAACTATCACAAGGACAAAAAACTAAACACCGCATATTCTCACTCATAGGTGGGAACTGAACAATGAGAACACTTGGACACAGGAAGGGGAGCATCACACACTGGGGACTGTTGTGGGGTTGGGGGAGTGGGGAGGGATAGCATTAGGAGATATACCTAATGCTAAACAATGAGTTAATGGGTGCAGCACACCAACATGGCACACGTATACATATGTAACAAACCTGCACGTTGTGCACATGTACCTTAAAACTTAAAGTATAATAATAATAAAATTTAAAAAAAGAAATTCAAAGGATTACTACTTATGCAAAGAAATTGGAAAATTTAAGTTGTCACTATCCTAGGCAAATATAACCTACCAAAATTAAGCCTGGAATAAAGGCAAAACATAAACTGCCCAATAAGAATTAATGAGATCAAAGTTATAATATAAAGTATTTTCTTGCCTCCAGCTTTTTTCTTTTTGCTTAGGATTGTGTTGGCAATGCAGGCTCTTTTTTGGTTCCATATGAACTTTAAAGTAGTTTTTTCCAATTCTGCGCCTTTATAGCTTGATGGGGATAGCATTGAATCTACAAATTACCTTGGGCAGTATGGCCATTTTCATGATATTGATTCTTCCTATTCATGAGCATGGAATGTTCTTACATTTATTTGTGTCCTCTTTTATTTCATTGAGCAGTGGTTTGTAGTTTTCCTTGAAGAGGTCCTTCACATCCCTTGTAAGTTGGATTCCTAGGTATTTTATTCTCTTTGAAGCAATTGTGAATGGGAGTTCACTCATGATTTGGCTCTCTGTTTGTCTGTTATTGGTGCATACAAATGCTTGTGATTTTTGCACATTGATTTTGTATCCTTAGAATTTGCTGAATTTGCATATCAGCTTAAGGGGATTTTGGTCTGAGACGATGGGGTTTTCTAAATATACAATCATGTCATCTGCAAACAGGGACAATTTGATTTCCTCTTTTCCTAATAGAAGATGCTTTCTTTCTTTCTTCTGTCTGATTGCGCTGGACAGAACTTCCAACGCTATGTTGAACAGGAGTGATGAGAGAGGGCATCCCTGTCTTGTGCCAGTTTTCAAAGGGAATGCTTCCAGTTTTGCCCATTCAGTATGATATTGGCTGTAGGTGTGCCATAAATAGCTCTTATTATTTTGAGATATGTCCCATCAATACCTAGTTTATTGAGAGTTTTTAGCTGACTAAAAACTACTTAATAGCGTATCAGCACTACTTAATAGCATACCAGTGACTATAATAACATAATTGTGCATAATTGTAGCCTTCTACAGTAACCAAAATAGCATGGTACTGGTACCAAACAGAGATATAGACCAACTGAACAGACCTGAGCCCTCAGAAATAATACCACACATCTACAACCATCTGATCTTTGACAAACCTGAAAGAAACAAAAAATGGGGAAAGGATTCCCTATTTAATAAATGGTGCTGGGAAAACTGGCTAGCCATATGTAGAGAGCTGAAACTGGATCTCTTCTTTATACCTTATACAAAAATTAATTCAAGATGGATTAAAGACTTGCATGTTAGACCTAAAGCCATAAAAACCCTAGAAGAAAACCTAGTCAATACCATTCAGGACATAGGCATGGGAAAGGGCTTCATGACTAAAAGACCAAAAGCAATGGCAACAAAAGCCAAAATTGACAAATGGGATCTAATTAAACTAAAGAGCTTCTGCACAGCAAAAGAAACTACCATCAGAGTGAACAGGCAGCCTACAGAATGGAAGAAAATTTTGCAATCTACTCTTCTGACAAAGGGCTAATATCCAGAATCTACAAAGAACTCAAACGAATTTACAAGAAAAAAACAAACAACCCCATCAAAAAGTGGGCAAAGGATATGAACAGACACTCATCAAAAGAAGACATTTATGCAGCCAACAGACACATGAAAAAATGCTCATCTTCACTGGCCATCAGAGAAATGCAGATCAAAACCACAATGAGATACCATCTCACACCAGTTAGAATGGCAATCATTAAAAAGTCAGGAAACAACAGCTGCTGGAGAGGATGTGGAGAAATAGGAACACTTTTACACTGTTGGTGGGACTGTAAACTAGTTCAACCATTGCGGAAGAAGGTGTGGTGATTCCTCAGGGATCTAGAACTAGAAATAACATTTGACCCTGCCATTCCATTACTGGGTATATACCCAAAGGATTATAAAACATGCTGCTATGAAGACACATGCACATGTACATTTATTGCTGCACTATTCACAATAGCAAAGACTTGGAACCAACTCAAATGTCCATCAATGATAGACTGGATTAAGAAAATGTGGCACATATACACCATGGAATACTATGCAGCCATAAAAAAGGATGTGTTCGTGTCCTTTGTAGGGACATGGATGAAACTGGAAACCATCATTCTCAGCAAACTGTTGCAAGGATAAAAAACCAAACACCACACATTCTCACTCATAGGTAGGAACTGAACAAGGAGAACACTTGGACACAGGAAGGGGTACATCACACACGGGTGCCTATTGTGAGGTGGAGGATGGGGAGCGGGGTAGCATTAGGAGATATACCTAATGTAAATGATGAGGTAATGGGTGCAGCACACCAACATGGCACATATGTAACAAACCCGCACTTTGTGCACATGTACCCTAGAACTTAAATTATAAAAAAAAAATTGTCAGGAAAAAACAGGTGCTGGAGAGGATGTGGAGAAATAGGAATGCTTTTATACTGTTGGTGCAAGTGTAAACTAGTTTAACCATTGTGGAAGACAGTGTGGCGATTCCTCAAGGATCTAGAACTAGAAATATCCTTTGACCCAGCGATCCCATTACCGGGTATATACTGAAAAGATTATAAATCATGCTGCTATAAAGACATGAGCATGAGTATGTTTTTTGCAGCACTATTCACAATAGCAAAGACTTGGAACCAACTCAAATGTCTATCAATGATAGACTGGATTAAGAAACTGTGGCACATATACACCATGGAATACTATGCAGCCATAAAAAAGAATGAGTTCATGTCCTTTGTAGGGACATGGATGAGCTGGAAACCATCATTCTGAGCAAACTATTGCAAGGACAGAAAACCAAACACCACATGTTCTCACTCATAGGTGGGAATTAAACAATGAGAACATTTCGACACTGGGGCCTATCATGGGGTAGGGGGAGTGGAGAGGGATAGCATTAGGTGAAATACCTAATGTAAATGATGAGTTAATGGGTGAAGCACACCAACATGGCAGATGTATACATATGTAATAAACCTGCAGATTGTGCACATGTACCCTAGAAGTTAAAGTATAATTATATATATACACACACATATATATATATACACACACACATATATATATATAAAGTATGTTCTTAAAATAAACCCAGGAACTAATGTCTTTGCAGCTGAATTCTACCAAACATTTATAAAAATTAATACAAGTCAAATTCAAACTTTTCTGAAAAATAGAGTAGGAGGTAATACTTTTAAAGTAACTTTACAAGACGAGTACTACTCTAATAACAAAACCAGACAAGAACACATCAGTGAAAAACTACAGGCCAATATCTCTTATAAATATTTATGAAAAATTTCTCAACAAAATACAAGCAAACCAAATTTCACCATGCATTAGAAAGATCACTCATTATGACCAAGTTGGATTTATTCCTTTGATGCAAGAATTGTTCAACATATGGGTAAATCAATTAATATGAAACATTGTGTCAACAGAAGGAAGGAATAAAGCCACATGATTATTTTAGTTAACTCTGAAAAAGCATTCGAATATATTCAGCACTCCCAATGATGAAACCCCTCAACCTGCTGGGTATAGAAATGACATGCTTTAACAAAATAGAATCCATATATTACAAATCCACAGCTAGTATGTTACTGAATGAAGAAAAACTAAAAGCCTTTCTTCTAAGGTATGAAATATGAAAAGAATGTCGACTGACAACACTTACTCAAGATAGTACTGGAAAACCTAGAGATATGAGATATTTGGAAATGTCACTTTTCTGGATGGAAATATCTGTAGCTGGTAGCTCATTTGCCTGCATTTTCTTAGGCCCACCGGGCTTATTCCACTAATTTGGCCTGGCAGGCTATGCTTGGCTTATGCTACTTGTCTGGATACCATCCTCTAAGAAAGATTACAAGTCAGGTGTGAAGCAGCAAAAGGTGTGTCAGCAAGAGTGAATTCTGGTTACTGCAGTCAGACACGCTGGCTGCTGCCATGTAGTGGGCAATTCCATCTGCCAGGTCTCTGCAAGGCTGCAGCTGGACCAGGGGTACTGAAAGTAGCTTTTATGACTAGCACTGAGAAATGTGGTGGTGCCTTGAGGCTTGGAGATGCCAGGAACCACAGTGCCCCAGAAAGAAAGTCATAACCTTGCCTCAGAAGCCACAGTGCCCCCAAAATAAAGTCACAAACTTGCCTCAGGGAGCTCACAGGTCTGAGGTTCCTGAAGACCACAACTTTTTTTTTCTTACTTTTTGCCCATAATGTGGGAACCAAGGGACATGTTTTAGCCCTGTTTGTGTTACAGCTTTCTTAGATTTGCCATTCGATAAGTTCCAAGTTCTTGTTCTGTGACTAGGAAGAATGATGTATGCAGACAAGTGAAGAGTAAGTAGGATGAGAAGGAGTTTTATTGAGTGATAAAACAGCTCAGAGAAGACCTGCAGTTGGTGGCTCAGTCAGGGTCTCCCTACAAATGTTCATCTCCTAGAAGGGAGAGACTTGTAGCGGAGAGCTCCTCTCTGCAGGCAGACCAGTCCTTCATCTCACCATCATCTATCTTCTTTTTGAGTCTGGCTGAGTGTAGGCTTTTTATGGACTGCAGTGAGGAAGAAGTGAGTGCTGATTGGTCCATTGGTTGCCATGGGTGGGCTCAGGAACAAGCAACACAAGTTTCCCTTCTGGTCTCTGGAACTGGTTGCCTGGACCCCAGGCTTTGGGCCCTCCCTGGCTTGAAGATGGGGTTTCATCTGAGTTCTGTCCCCTTCGGTCAAACAGCCTGTCTGCCTCCTGCTGCTGTAAATTGTTCCGAGACTGTTCATGCTAAGGGTCACCAAGATGCAAGCCCCAGGCTGCCCTCAGCACCCCCACCACACCACTGGTACTCCCTCCTGTGCTTGTTGGTGGCCAAAGTCTGCAGAGGGCCAAAATGGCAGGGGGCTGGCCTGTCAATTCTGCCCTGAGTGTGTGCATACTAGGCTGGGCTGCAACAGCACCTAGGCTCAGTGCCCAGCTTGCTCCAATACTGAAGGAGGCATCAACACTAGGGAGAATCCCGGCAGTGGGAGCAAGTACCCTCAAGCCCATGGGGAGGCAAAAGGGCATTTTCCAACCCTGAGAGTGCAGAAATTTCCAGCTTTGCAGTGGCAGAATGGCAGCAGCAGCTTTACCTGGGGAGTTACCACCCACCAACTCAGAAAGGGCACTGGTCCCACTTGTCCTCCAAGTGGAGACTGGCTCTGTGGAGCAAGCAGCCCCAGTCATGCCCTCTTGCAGCCTGGGGCAGGGAATCCATGTCCTCACTGGGCCTGGTTTGGTGTCTGGGGCAAGGGTGACATTTCTGTGAGATCGCTCAATGCCCCCCCACCCAGTGCTCAGGGTGGCCCAGGGCTTCCCCTTACCCAGGTTGCATCCCTTCTCAGGAAAATGCTTTCAGGAAGTGTCAGTCTCAGTGGTCACTCTGATATGGGGCAGACCCAGTGAACATGTGGCTCCACTCAGAGCCTCTCTCAAGGCACAAGAACCTGGCACCCTCAGAGGTGTAAGTGCCATGGCCATCCGATGTGGGCACCACTCACACTTCCCACCCTGGGCTCCTGAATCATGGTCTCAGCTCTGCACTGCAGGCCAGCCCCTGCACTCCATGTGGAAGTAACACACTACCCTTGTACCATCTCCACCTTGGGCCCTTCTTTGCCTGACCACGGTGCTCTCCTGTTGATAAGTGAATCAACCTGACTTTATTGCAGTGGCCTCCAGGGCAGTAGGCTCCCAGGGGCAGGCTCCAGTGACTGTCTTCCTCCTTCCGAAACCATCCTAGTAGTGGCAGTGTGTGAGAGCAGCAGTGTGGGGCCAGAGTTTAGAGCAATGAAGTCTCTGGGCCTGGGAACAAGTTTTGTGCAGTGGTGAAAGGATTGGAGCAGCACCATCAGCTGCCTCAGGGACACGGGGCATGGGGTCAGACTGCCACCACTGCTTCTCCCTCAGCCTGTCTTGCTGGCACCACTCATGCCTCACCACTGCAGCCTTTGTGATGGCAGTAGCTCCTCCAGACAGCTTGTTATTGCCATCACTAACTAGAGCAATCAGACAAGAGAACAAAATGAAAGACATCAAAATTGGAATGAAAGAAGAAATATTGTTTGCAGATAAAATAATCTTATATTTGAGAAAACCTAAAGTCTCCACCAAAAAAGTTAGAACACATGAATTGACTAAAGTTGCTAGATACAAAGGAAAACCCATAAAATCGGTCGAATTTCTATATGTCAAACATAAACCATCTGGAAAAAAATTAAAAATACTATTTACTATGGCTACAAATAAAATCCAATACCTAGAAATGTACTTAGCCAAATAAGTGAATGAGCTCTACAATAAAAACTTTAACTAACTGATTACATAAAGAGAGCACCAAACAAGTAAAAAAAAATTCATGTTAATGGATTGAATTTATTAATATTATTTAAACATCTATACTACCCGGACTAGTCTACTGATTCAGTGTAATCTCTATCAAAATACCAGTAACATTTTTCACAGAAATTAGAAAAAAAACACTTTTAAAATTATATGGAATTACAAAAAAAAAAGAAAAAGAAAATATGAACAACTAAAGCTGTTTTAACAAAAACAAAAACAAAAAGAACAAAAAAAACCTGATGTCAAATTATACTAAAAAGCCATAATAACCAAAACAGTAGGGTACAAAAAAAGCAATAAAAACAAATACAAAAACAGATGCATATACCAATATAACAGAAGAGAGAATGCAGAAATGAATTATCACAGCTACAGTGAACTTTCAACTTGTTTTCAATAGAGGTGTGAAGAACATACACTGTGTAGAAGAGAGTCTCTTTGGTAAATGATCCTGGAAAAACTGAATATCTATATGCAGAAAAATAAAACTAGGCCCCTATCTCTTTACATATAAAAATCAATCCACGCCTGTAGTCCCAGCTACTGGGGAGGCTGAGGCAGGAGAATGGCATGAACCTGGTAGGCGGAGCTTGCAGTGAGCCAAGATTGTGCCACTGCACTCCAGCTTGGGTAACACAGCATGATTCTGTCTCAAAAAAAAAAAAAAATCCAAATATACTAAAGACTAAAATTTAAGACCTCAATCTACGAAGCTATTACAAGAAAACTTTGGAAAAAATCTGAAGGACATTGGTCTAGGCAAAACTTTTTTGAATAATACCTCAAAATCACAGTTAATCAAATTAAAAATTGACAAAACTGATAACACTAAGTTGAAAATCTTCTGCAGAGCAAAACAATATCAAAATGAAGACACAGCTGACAGAATGAGAGAAACTATGCAAACCACTCATCTGTCAGGGGATTGATAACCAAAATGTATAAGGAGCTCAAACAACTCTATATAAATAAATTTAAAAATTTAAGTTAGATATTTACATAGATATTTCTCAAGAGAAAACATACAAATGGCAAACAGAAATATAAAATATGCTTAACATTATTGATCATCAAATAAATTCAAATCAAAACTATGATGATAGATATATTTTCTCACCCCAGTTAAATAATTTTAAAAAGACAAGCAATGATAGATGCTGGTAACGGTGTGGAGAAAAAGAGTACCCTCGTACACACTGGGTGAAAATATAAATTAGTAACACGAATATAGAAAACAGTTTGAAAATTCCTCAAAAAAACTAAAAATACACCTACTACATGGTCAAGTAATCCCATTCCTGGGTATATACCCAAAAGAAAGGAAACCGGTGAATCAAAGAGATATCTGCCCTTTTATCTTTGTTTCATCACTATTCACTATACTTAAGATTTGGAAGCTATGTAAGTATCCATCAGTAGATGAATGGGTTAAAAAAATTGTATACATATACACAATGGAGTACTATTCAGCCTTAAAAATAATATTCTGTCATTTATGGCAGCATATATAAAACTGGAGATCATTATGTTAAGTAAAATAAGCCAGACATAGAAAGAAAATGTTACATTTTCTCACTTACTTATGGTATCTAAATATCAAAATTATTGAAGTCATGGAGGGAGAGAGTAGAAGTGTGGTTACCAGAGGTTGAAAGGGCAGTGGGGGATGGTGGGGAGATGGAAATATTTACTGGATACAAAAAATAAGAATAAATACATAAACATGACCTATTGCTTGATAGTACAACAGGGGATTATAGTCAATTACAGGCTTTTCTCATGTTCTAAAATAACTTTATAATGTGTTATTTATTAGCTTGTTTGTAACACAAAAACATAAATGGTTGAGGGAGCATTTACCCCATTCTCCATGATGTGATTGTTACACATTGTGTGCCTTTATCAAAACAGCTTATGTATTTCACAAATTATACACTTACCTATGCACCAATAACAGTTAAAATTAATATAATTGAGAAAAAAATGTAAAAGTGTAATGAATTTTTACAAGTAAGAAAAAATAAGCGTTTGACTTTACAGTCAAACTTTCTTTAATATTGTGTCTGATTTTCCCATTCTTTATTTAGTTCTCCCTTTTTCCATCTTCTTCCTAACCTTGTTTCTTCCTTTGAACTAAAACATTTTTCTGCCTAATCTTTCAAAAGACATAAATATCCATAAATTGGCTCTAAAGAAATGAAGATGTGTAAATTACCCTTAAAAATTTAAAATAATTATCTGAGTAATGCTGAATGAGTGAAATAAAACTAGAAAGCTATATTAAATGAGAAAAAAGACTATTAAGAAAATAATACAAAGTATTTTTAAAAACCAGAAATTATGTCACCAAATAATAACAGAATTACTATGCAAAAAATTATCAAACTTAAGAAAAATACACTAAAAATAAATCTCAATGATCTCCAACTATGATAAACAGAAATAAATCAATAAGAAGATACACTATATGCAAAGTTTCAAAAGTTACAGATGAAAATGGAATCTTCAAGACAACAAGAGAAAAGTGATATGTCATCTACAAGGAATATCTTTTGAGATTACCTGTGGATTGTTCAAACAAAACCTCACAGGACCGAAGAGAATTTGCTGATACAGTCAATGTGCTGAAAGAATTCCATGCAGAAATACTATAAGCAAAAAAACTGTATTTCAAAATGAAAAAAAAAAAAGTCAAAAATAACCAAATGCTGAAAAGACCTTACTCTTTAGTTTCTGTCAAGAAAAGTGAATAAAAATCCTAATGACTCTCATTTCAACAATAAATTTTAACTTAACAGTAAATAAACATTTTAATAAATGTGAAGTGTCTACTCATTACCTAATTATCTTATAGAAAGTCAAAATATTTTACTTCATATATGATATAATGTTATGCTTGGAAAACTGCATATTCTCTGCCAAAGGCTCTTAGAGCTGACAAACAACTTCAGCAACGTTTCTGAGCACAAAATCACCATACAAAAATAAGTAGCACTTCTATACACCAGTAACATCCAAGATGAGACAAAATCAAGAATGCAATTCTATTTATAATAAACACAAAAAATCATAAAATACCTAGGAATACAATTAACCAGGGAGGTAAAAAGTCTCTATGATAAATATTACAAAACACTGCTGAAAGAAATGAGAGAAAAACAAATCGAAAACATTCTATTACTCATGGATAGGAAGAATCAACACTGTTAAAATGGCCACACTGCCCAAAGCAGTTTATAGGGTTAGTGCTATTGCTGTCACATCACCAATGACATTTTACAGCATGACTTTAAAACTATTATAAAATATTTACAAAACTAACATAAAGACCAAATAGCCAAAACAATACTAGGCAAAAATAATAAATAAATAAATAAATAAATAAATAAATAAATAAATAAATAAATGCTGGATGCATTACACTAACCAACTTTATACTATACTCAATGCTTCAGCAACCAAAACAGCATGGTACTGGTACCAAAATAGATACATAGACTAATGAAAGAGGTTAGAGTATCCGGGAATAAAGATGTACACTAGCAACCATCAGAATTTTGTCAAAGATGACAATAACAAGCAATGGTTAAAAAATATTTAGTAAATGGTGCTGGCATATTTAGCTAGCCATATGTAGAAGATGAAAACTGAACTGTTGCCTTTCATCATTTACAAAAATCAACTTAAGATAGTATAAACACTTTCACGTAAAAAGTAAAAATATAAAAACTCTAGAAGAAAACCTAAGCCATACTATTCTGGCCATGTGCTTTGGAAAATATTTCATGATAAAGATTCCAAAAGCAATATCAACAATAACAATTTGACAATTAGGACCTAAGTAAACTGAGGGGCTTCTGCACAGCAAACGAATATACCAACAGAGTAAACAATGTATGAAATGAGAAAAAAATTGTAAACTATGAATCTGATAAAGATCTCATACCCAGGATTTAGAAAACATTTTAACAAATCAATAAATGAAAAGCAAACAACAATCCTATTAAAAATGGGCAAAAGAAATTAACAGACACTTCTCACGAAAACCTCCATGTGTCGAGGAAAGATATAAAATGTTTAACATTGCTAATCATTACAGAAGTGTTAATTAAAATCACAATGAGATAATATCTCACATCAGTCTGAATGTCTGAGTGGATATTAATAAAAAGTAAGGCCGGGCGCGGTGGCTCACGCCTGTAATCCCAGCACTTTGGGAGTGAAGACAAGGGGATCACGAGGTCAGGAGATCGAGACCATCCTGGTTAATAAGGTGAAACCTCATCTCTACTAAAAGTACAAAAAATATTAGCCGGGCGTGGTGGAGGGCACCTGGAGTCCCAGCTACTCGGGAGACTGAGGCAGGAGAATGGCGTGAACCTGGGAGGCAGAGCTTGCAGTGAGCTGAGATAGCGCCACTGCTCTCCATCCAGCCTGAGCGACAGAGCGAGACTGTTTCAAAAAGAAAAAGTAAACAAAACAAACAAAAACTACAAAACCTGGTGGTAACATGGTGCAAGAAAAGGGAAATGCTTATACACTGCTTGTTAAAATGGAAATTATACATCAACTGCAAAATGAATTTGGATATTTCTAAAAGCATAGAAAACAAAATTAACATTCAACCTAAAGAACCCATTACTGTGTATATGCCCAAATGAATATAAATCATTTTACCATAAAGACTTATGCATGCATATATTCATTGCAGCACTATTTTCAAGAGTAAAGACATGGCATCGACCTTTATGTCCATAAATAGTGGAAGGCATAAAGAAAATGTGCTACATGTAAATGATGGAATACTACACAGAAATACTAAGAACAATTCTGTGTCATCTGCAGCAATACAGTGGTAGCTGGAAACTAGTATTCTAAGTGAATTTATCCAGGGACAGAAAACCAAATATTATGTGTTCTCACTTATAAGAGGAAGCCACACCTTGAGAACACATGGACACAAAGAATAAAGCTATAGATATGCAGACCTACTTGAGAGCAGAGGTTGGGAGAAGCTTGAAAATCAAAAACTAACTCTCATATACTGTGCTCACTACCTGGATTACAAAATGATTTGCACAACAAACCCCAGTGCTATTTAACTCTGTATCAAATCTGTACATGTACTCTCAAATTTAAAATAGCTACAATGTTTTAATTCAACAGCTTTAGAGTTCTATCAAACAGCATATAAAAATTATTAAAATTGTGAGCAGTTTATGAAAAAACTGCATAATAGAAAAAGCATAAAACAATCTATAGGTAACCAAAAATGTTAATCATTTAGAAACTGAATTAATAAAAATATTGTAGCCATAAAAAAGTGTAAATTCTAGAACACTTTTTGAACTTTTGAATGTAGAATTATAGAAAAAAATTGTTACCATCTTTATATCTCTGGGTATTCAGAATTAATCTCCTACTTATAAATGAGAATATGTGGTAGTTAGTATGCAAAGGTATTCCATGGTGTATATGTGTAACAGTTATTCTTTATTTAATATACTGTTGATGGATACCTAAGTTAATTTCATGTAGTTGCTCCTGTTAATTGTGCTGCTATGGACACAGGACTGTGTGTCTTTTTGGTGGAACAATTTATTATTCTAAATGTGTATCCAGTAAGGTGATTATTGGGTTAAATGATATTCCATTTTAGTTCTCTGAGAAATCTCCTTTCCATCTTAGGTGAATGAACATTTCCACCAACAGTGTATAAGCACTACCTTTGTTTCTACAGCCTTAGCAACATTGTTGTTTTGACTTTTAAATAGTGGTCATTCTGACTGCCGTGGAATGTTATATTATGGTTTTGGTTTGTGTTTCTTTGATTAATATTGATGTTGAGCCTTTTTAATGTTTATTGACTGCTTGTAACATAAAAATCAGAAAGTAAAAACACATAGGAAAAGTAACATCAGTAGGATCACAGAATGGGTGGATCCCACTTGTATACCCTCTCAGGGTAACAACATTTGTCAGTCATCCCTGGGCAAGTTTTTTATGTGAGCTTTGGGATACAGGTTGTCAGATAGAGGTTGTCAATCTCTGTTAGAGCCCAAGACCTAGAAAAGCTATTTTAAGAAGGCCTTCATTCACATGGCAAACTGAAAAGCGCATGGTTCAAGTTAAAGACCAGGAAATTGCCCACTCAACTTAGTCCCACTAAGAATTCTAATGTGATCTTGTAACTCCCTCCAATTTTTCCCAGTCACTATCTGGAAGTAGTCCTTCTCATCAATAGATTTGAAGTTACATATGTCCTTTTACAGCCATGTAGGCATGGAAAAAGCTTACAGACATTAGTTTTAACTGCGGTACCTAAAGCAGTTTGTGACTCAGTTCTAGCTCTCTCAGCTACAGTCCACAGTTAATAATTTCTGCATAAAACCCACAAAGTGACTGATGAAAATTCTTTCATGTATTAATTGAGAGCCACATCCATTTACCCTAGTGTCTTCTCTACTTATAAAAGTCCTGAGAGCAATATAGTTTTTTAAGACACCAAGGAGATATACATCTATGCAAGTCCTTTAGTTACATGACAACCAAAGGCCAACCCCACTGCAGATTCAGCAGCGGCTTAGTAACACAACTACAACCTCTCTCCATTGCAATCCAATGGGAGATTCAGTTATCCCAGGAATCCATAACTAGGCAAAACAATGTTTAAAAACCTAACATCCAAATTGGAAAGTGAAAGTAGAAAGGTTGCCATTTGTAAATGACATAATCTTATATATAGAAAACCATAGAGTACATAAAATAACTATTTGAAATAATAAGAATATTCAGTAAATTAGCAACATATAATATTAACATACAAACATTGGTTATACTCTCTAGTGTATCACTGATGATAAACTATCAGATAAAATGTAGAAAGCAATCACATTTATAACAGTATAAAAATATTAAGTTGGTGCAAAAGTGATTGTGTTTTTTGCCATTAAAAGTGCAAAAGTGGTGAAAATCACAATTACTTTCGTACCCATCTAACAGTAAATGTTATCAATGCATTTAACTAGAAGATAAAATATATTAAGATATTAATTGAAGAAGACACAAATGACTAAAAAGATATACCATGTTTTTAGATTTGAAGAATATTTTTAAAATGAAATATTATCCTGAATGATTTATAGATTTAATGCACCATCTATAAATATTTCAATGATATTTTTACAGTAATAGAAAACACAATTCTAAAATTTGTATAAAAACTACAAAAGACTTTAAATAACCAATGAAATTTTAAGAAAAAGCTAAGACTAGAGCATCATAGTTTCCAATTCAAAACTATATTTCAAGGCTAAGTTATATAAAAATGTGCATAAAAACTGACACAAAATTAATGGCACAGAATAAAGAGTCTCAGAATAAATTAATGTATATAAGACCAACTAATCTTTAATGAGGATCCCAATAATAATAATGCAGAATGTATGGTCTTTTTGAACTTGATACTGAGTAAACTATATACCCACAATCAATCAATCAATCAATCAATCAATCAATATATTTTTATGTCATACCACCCTAAAATAATTTGCAATAAAATGAAGTCATAATATATAAAACCCTGAAAATCTTAGGGAAACTCACACCCTAAAGGGAAGGGCAATAGACTGGCAGGCTTCAGTACCAACTAATTTAGATCCTTAGGTTCGTGAATGGATATAGGTAGTATACAGACAGTTGTTATAGTGGTTCTTGGGCAATACTCAGTACAGTGCTGCCTTCAGGTGTAATCAGGGTTGTCTCAGCTGTGGTAGCCACAGTGGTGGTTGTATCATCTTTCCTCCAGCTCCATGAAGCTCAACACGGAAAGAGATAGTGTTGCCATATCCTTACTCTTTAGTTTAGCAAGGTCTAAGTTCTTGCCATATAATCAAGAAGAATAAGACATGCGCATACCAGAGAATGCAAAACAAAATTGTACTAAGCAACAGAAAAGCTCTCAGCAGCTAGAAGGGATGTGAAAAGCGTTGCCAGAAATGTGATTGTGTTCTGGATCTTATTTGTGGCAAAAACAAGCAGGCTTCTGTGGGTTTCACAAAAATGGGAGGGGTAAAGTTCCCTGCTCTGACCCAGGGATGTTGCATCTGCACATGCCTAAGGTTAGCCATAGTGACTCCATCTGGGTTATTACCCATGAGTGTCTAAGCAAAACCCATGGTGTGGGGGTGGGTGTGGCAAAACGACAATGCTAAAGATATTACAATCAGGTCTGGATGAATGTATGGACATTTTGTTGATTTATTGCACCTGCACCTAAGTTGAGTCAGTAATTTCTGAGCAGACATCCTGGTGTAAAATGAAATTCTTAACCACATTTCTTCCCTCAAGCTACGGGGGAAGTGCAGATGTAGTCCCATGGGGGTTTTTTTCTTTCCCAAGACCCCTTCTCTCTATCTTCCTAGATAGCCTCTCACTTCCTTTTCTCTCAATAGCCAGTTTATTTGGGAGAAAATAAGGAAGAATATCAAGAGTGTCTGCTTGATAATTTAGATAATTCTTTCAGATAAATCAAACACCTCCAAGGCAGAACCACTGTGTCTCCAAAACCACACTGTTACTGGGCTAGTGGTGTCTCATATTGCAGGTACAGCTTCAGTGACCAAAAGCTTGGATCACAACATTGAAGTTTCTTTAAATATTATGATTACAGTGTGGTAGGAACAATATATGGCCATTGAAACTATTGAGTTATATCTGCCCTATGGTAAATAGCAATGTGGCAGGGGCAACACACAGACACACACAAGACGTCAATGTACCCTGTTATAATTGCTCTGTTTTGTATATATAAGCAGATGAGCCTACATCTCTCCTAAGAATATATTGTAATTTTAGGCTGAAATTTGAATTTAAATAAAATGTTTATGAGAACCAAATAATTTTTACATCTTTTCATGGTTAATAGTGTAGAAAATATTCTTAGTTTATTCTTCATATTAAAAAACTGGTGGGTAATTTGGTTATATCTCAAAGCCACATCTTTTACAGATTAATGAAATGCAGACCTAAACAGTGATGGCTATTCATTACTGTCATAACAGAAGATTTCTTAAGCCTTCCTACTTTGTGCTGTTCAGAAAATGAGGTAAGTTTCTGTGTTTTATCTTGTATTTGAGAATTTGAAACCTTCTTGTTGCCTCATTTAAAGTAACAGTTTCACTTGCCATTTGCTTAAAAAATAATAATTGTCTGCATTTAGAATAGAAATACCTATATTGTGGTTCAGTTGTTTTTCTCAAAAAACTATATTTTTCTCTCTATAAGCTTGCACAGCTATTAAGTGTATAATCGTATCTTCCTACTCCTACCTCTCCTAGTAGTATACATGAAGTAAAATAACCTCTTTGTCTAGGGATTCGAACCCACTCAATAACTGGTCCCTCTCATCTGGTCTTTTGGGCCAGCATGCACAGAAGACATTTTACCTGGATTAGGGTACAGAAGCATTTGTGAAGACAATGTGTTTTTAGCCAGTGTTTGAAAAACCAGAGAGAGCAGGCACCCTGTGCTTGTAAATGTATGAAAAACTGCAACAGCCAAAGCTTTATCTTCCCATATTGATGAGATCCCTTGTATCATCTGACCTCCAAAGCAGAGTAGCAACCTGCATACTTGATGTTCTGGATGCTTAGAATATTTTTGAAACAATTTCCAAATGCATAATATACTTATGAATAACGTGGATTCTTCCAGTAATCTTCCTACAAAGATTTTTCCACTTTCCTGGCAGATGTTATGGCTAATCTGGTTAGAACTTTTCTTTTTTGAATGTGAAATGTTTAGTATTCATTTTTCTGGGTACCAATCACTGACTATTATCATTCTTGCCCACATTCAGATCTAAGATTGCTGTTCTCAAGCTCCCCCCAATGAAGTCTTTGTCTCCACAGGACCTAGGTTGTTTTTGCAATGAATGAAATTATCTCCCAATTAAAAAAGAGGCATTGGTTGAACAATGCTCTATTGAATTTTGTAAATCATTTTACAAACTGCATGTGCACACAAGGCTCCATGACAATGAATTGCCTTAATCCATGGTTGCATATTCATCTCTAGTACTCTCAGAAAAGCAAAATGGACTTTTAACATGTAGTCCTCTGGCATAGTGAAGAAATTAGGTAATGAATTTGTTCATGAAACACTTTAAGTTTAACAGGCGTCTAACTCATATTTTATATACAGAATATCAGTCTTGAAAATAATATCAAATGACCATCTACTATAAGCATTGAATATACTTTACATTTATTGGGGAAAGTACCCTCAATATTTTCTTATAAAATGTAAACTTAAGATGTTCTCAAAGGTTTGGCAAAATGCATACCAGAGAAAGTTATTGTTACCATATGAGATGTGGAGCAACATGAGTGCTTTTGCTCTTAAGAATTTCTATCTGGACAAGATGAGGAGGAACAGAGTGTTATACTGAAAGTCCTGGACATGTGTAATATCTGGCACTGTGTGTGTTTGCACTTCAGAGGTTTTGATTTTAAATTTTAGAATTTTAGAACATATAAAATTAAATATATAGATTATAGAAATAGAATCAAGCTTAGAATATTTTTGAGCTGCTGTAAAACATATTTATGCTTTATGTTAAATATATGTAGAGAACTGTCTAAATTTCAAACAAAATACAAAGTTGCTTCATGAAGTAAAATTTTACACTATCGAAGCACATATTGCTCCTGAGGGAGGGCACTCTACGTAAATTAAGGGTAGTCCAACTATAAAGTGTTAATCAGGTATACAGTAGTGTATAGTAATGTTATGGACATTCACCTTTTCTCATTATTTACTTTGTTTGTCTCCCAGAGAACATACTGTCTTGCAGACTTAATTTATTATGAAAGCCCCACATAGGAATGCTATAAGTTAAGTCTTCCACATTATTTTAAGTGTACTCATTTATACTTACTTATGTTTAGTTACAAAGCCACGTTCCATTGTGTTATAACTGCCTACAATATTTAGTAGACTAGCATGGTATATAAGTTTGTAGCTTAACAACCAATGGCTACACAATGCATCATAGGTTTGTTGGCTATCACTTCTTGGTTTGTGAAAAATGCTATCCAAATGAAATATTTCCTTTAGTATGTGCTAGACTTCTCTTTTCTGTCTCTCATGGTTTGAAATAGATCTTATCTCTTCCTTTATGGTGTTTAAGAGTTTTGCTATAAACATACACGTGCATGTGTCTTTATAGCAGCATGATTTATAATCTTTTGGGTATATATATACCCAGTAATGGGATGGCTGGGTCAAATGGTATTTCTGGTTCTAGATCCCTGAGGAATCGCCACACTGACTTCCGCAATGGTTGAACTAGTTTACATATATTTAACAAACCTGCAGATTGTGCACATTTACCCAAAAACTTAAAGTATAATTTAAAAAAAAGAAAAAAAGAAAAAAGTTTTGCTGCAGGCTACAGCAATGTTGCTAAGCAAAATGAGCATTTGTCTTACTTAGCTGCCAAACATGCAAATCAGACCAACTGTTTTTAGAAGTACTGTCTCTGTCTCCACCCCAACAGCCACAGGCATGCATGGCTCAAGATATATTTTCTTACACTTTTCCCTTTTAGCTAAGTTGCCTAGACATGTCCACAGAATGCAAAGGCCTCACTGAACAGTCATGAAGGGGTGGAGAAGAGCAGCACCAGTCTCGGCTTCCTTAGCCTCTGCTGTCTTAGCCTGCAGGACCTTAGCCTCTGCTACCTGAGATGAGGGAGGGAGAAAACTGCAGCAGTAGTTGTGACCACACGGGGCCAACAGACAGATGCTTCTCAGCCATTGCACCCAAAGAATGTTTCTCCCCTGACCAAGGAATCCAACCCTGTCTGAATTGAGGGAAGGACACAAGGATTAAAGGAACCAGCTTGCACTGAGCAAGGGGTTCCTTCTCCAGGAACTTTTTTTTTTAGTTTAAAGAGTTTTTCTCATTTTCTCCACCTTTTCTAAGTGAGAGGACTTCCCCTTCCAGCATTCTATTTCTGAAAGGAAAGTTAATGGAGAATTGACCCCTGCTGGCTGATTGACCCCTGCAAGCAAATTTGGCAGGGCTTCTTTGCAACATTCTAAATGGATACTAACAGCCTTTGAAGTATCATTTTAGTCCCAAATTTGATTTCAAGTTTCAGGCTGAAGCCTTAAATAGAAATAACAGATTTCGGTGATCGAAAGCCAGGCAACAGGTACAATACAAATGGGCAGGATCAATTCCTGCTGACTAAATCCTCCACCCCATGGAAGAAGGCTATGCCCCATGACATAAACAAGCCAAGGAAACACAAAAGTTGTTGACAGCAGGAAGGCATAGGTAAGGGCAGTTAATTCTTATTCTCCAAGTTTTCCCTGCTTCATGGGGACATATCACATTGGTACCTATGGGAGGCAACTGCAAATGCCATAGGGACTCAGGGATAAAAGGTGGAAGGAAAGGGAGGATGCTTGCTTTCTCTCTCCATCACACATTGAGTTTTTGCTGAAAAAAAAAAAAGAGGGGCAAATGAGGGACACCTTTATTCTGTATATTTCAGAATGGGCAACCAGTTTACTTAACCACCCCAGCTCATACTTCTTTGGAGTGTATTCTGAACTATTAGTACTGCCTTGACCTTCAGAATCTTGAGAAAAAAAAACACTTCATAGCACTCTGCACAAAGGTTTTGCCAAATTATAATTTATAGCAAAGACTGGCTTGGGCTCAGGAAACAACCGTGTATTTTTCTACCATCTGGCATCTGAAAGTGTTTTGTAGATGTGAGGATAGATGGTCTGAGGCCCCATATGTGTATGCTTTCTATACCTTGCAAGACAATCCAGACCTTTGGCAACATTGTAGGATTGACCTAGCCCTCCCTTTTGCCATCTCAGGAAAGGTTGCAAGAGGCAAGACCAGGAAATTAAAAATGAGAGTCCCAAAGGGACTCCCAGCAGCAGAGCCAGGTCCCTCCAGCCCTGCTGTGCCAAGACCAGCTCGGCTGGGGAGACCCTAACCCAGTGGTGCTAGAGGAATTAAAGACACACACGCAGAAATATAGAGGTGTGAAGTGGGAAATCAGGGATCTCACAGCCTTCAGAGTTGAGACCCCCAACAGAGATTTACCCACATATTTATTAACAGCAAACAAGTCATTAGCATTGTTTCTACAGATATTAAATTAACTAGAAGTATCCCTTATGGGAAACGAATGGATGGGCCGAAATAAAGAAATGGGTTGGGCTAGTTAACTGCGGCAGGAACATACCCTTAAGGCATAAATTGCACATGCTATTGTTTGTGGCTTAAGAATGCCTTTAAGTGGTTTTCCACCCTGGGCAGGCCAGGTGTTCCTTGCCGTCATTCCCGTAAACCCAAAACCTTCCAGCTTGGGCGTTAGGGGCCATTATGAACGTGTCACAGTGCTGCAGAGGTTTTGTTTATGGCCAGTTTTGGGGCCAGTTTATGGCTAGATTTTGGGGGGCTTGCTCCCAACACTGCTTCTCTAGGTATCCTCCAACTTCTCCATCCAGCTTCAGCCTTTCACTTGCCCACTTCTAGAAATCCTCTTTTGAAACAAGCCCCAGTCTCCCTCTTTCCCCTCCAACATACACCCAGTGAATTTGGGCATAGTAAGGTCCAGGTCTTTTTTTTCCTACAGGACTCAGAGCAAACTGAGGATCTTGGCAGGTTTTCAGATGACCCTGCTAGAGAAATAAATGCTTTCCAAATTTCACTCAAATATTTGAACTCTCCTAGATAGATGTTATGTTCTTTTTTTTTGTTTTGTTTTTTGTTTCTTTTTTTTTTTGGAGACGGGGTCTCGTTCTGGTGCGATATTGGCTCATTGAAAGCTCCACCTCCTAGGTTCATGCCATTCTCCTGCCTCAGCCTCCTGAGTAGCTGGGACTACAGGCACTGACCACCATACCTGGCTAACTTTTTGTATTTTTACTAGAGATGGGATTTCACCATGTTAGCCAGGATGGTCTTGATCTCCTGACCTCGTGATCTGCCCACCTCGGCCTCCCAAAGTGCTGGGATTACAGGCATGAGCCACTGCACCCGGCCGATGTTAAGTTACTTTTGAATCAGACCCTGATGGACACTGAGAAATAGGGCACTCTGTAAGCAACAGAGAAATTTGAGGATGAGCTTGGCATAACACATAGCATAAGGGAAGGGGAAAAACATTATCCAACTGGAATAGAAGCAGTACCAATGGATGACCCTAAATGGGATCCCAATGACAAGATGAAAGACTGGAAGAGGAGACACTTTCAAGTGTGTATAATGAAAGGCTTATGTAGAACTAGTACCAAGCCACTTAATTATACTAAGTTGTCCATGATTGACCAAGGATTTGATAAACATCCCACTGCCTTACTGTTAAGGTAATGGAGCATTGGTAAAGTGCCCCTCTTTATCTCCTAACTTAGTTGAGGGACAACTAGCCCAGACCAATTCTGGTATCAGAAGAAGCTACAAAAACAGGTCCTGGATCTGGATAGTACTTTAGAGAACCTCCTGAAATAGCCACCATTGTATTTTATAATAAAAACGGAGAGGCCCAGAAAAGAGAGAAAAAACAGGAAAGAATAAGAAGACTTAATGGCTGCCAAGTAATCCCCACAAACTTCAGAATTCCCAGGGTGCACCTGGTAACTGTTAAAGATATGGCAAAAACAGTTATTTATCTTCTAAAGTTTAACTACCTCCATACAAAGTTTAATTTATTTTGTCAGGGTGAAACAACTCAGGTAAAATGTTTCTGTTAGTACGTTTCACTTCTTATCTCTGTAATCTTTGGCAATAAATTATTTCCTTTTACAATACACATGTTTAACCTATGCATACATAACTGTATAAAACGTGTTTCTCTCTGACTTAGCAGCCACAAAATTCCAAATGGTCAGACAATGGGAGCTTCAGATGATGGCTCCACTTACTAGGAACCCTTAGATAGACATCTGGGAGAAATCTGACTGCTGCTTTCCCTGTCAGCAGGAAGTAGCTTAAGACTGGTGGTCATCCAAATTCTAACAGCAATTAGATGTACCTCTTCAGGAAGGGCAAATGATATAGGAGAGAGATACGGTAATGCTGGATAGAAAAAATTGGTCTCTGGTGAGGTCTCTCCATCCTCTGGCCTATGGCAATGGACCTAGGTCAGGACAGGCACTCCTGTTTTTATGCCCAAATATTGCATTTCCCAAGAACACCATGTCCAGCCATGCCCTCCATCCTGTGCCTATAATAACCCTGAGACCCTAGTGGGCACACACACAAGTGGCTGGATGTTTAGAAGAACACACTAGCAGAAGAACACACAGGTGGCTGGACACTGAGAGGAGCAGAGGAATGGAAGAGCACAACAACAGTCACTGGCAGGCCATCAAGATGCAGAAGGACACTAACAATGAAGGAAATTTGGCTGGGGTTGTTGGAGGATAGTTCAGCCACTGAGCAGCCTGACTCCAGGGGAAAACCACCTTTTCACTGTATCCCCCTTCTGGCTTCCTATTTATCTGTAGTAATATGGTTTGGCTGTGTCCCCGCCCAAATCTCAACTTGAATTTTTCTCCCAGAATTCCTATGTATGGTGGGAGGGACCCAGGGGGAGGTAATTGAATCATGGGGTCTTGTCGTCCTGTGTTATTCTCATGATAGTAAATAAATCTCAGAAGATTTGATGGGCTTATCATGGGTTTCTGCTTATGCTTCTTCCTCATTCTCTCTTGCAGCTACCATGTAAGAAGTGCCTTTCACCTCCCACTATGATTCTGATGCCTCCCCAGCCATGTGGAACTGGAAGTTTAATTAAACCTCTGTGTCTCTTTCCAGTCTCAGATATGTTTCCTTATTAGCAGCATGAAAATGGGCTAATACAGTAAATTGGTACCAGTAGAGTGGGGTGTTGCTGAAAAGATACTCAAAAATGTGGAAGCAGCTTTGGAGCTGGGTATCAGGCTGAGGTTGGAACAGTTTGGAGGGCTCAGAAGAAGACAAGAAAATGTGGGAAAGTTTGGAACTTCCTAGAGACTTGTTGAATGGCTTTGACAAAAATGCTAATAGTGATATAAACAATAAAGTCCAGGCTGAGGTAATCTCAGATGAGATGAGAAACTTGGGAACTGGAGCAAAGGTGACTTGCATTATGTTTTAGCAAAGAGACTAGTGGAATTTTCCCCCTGCCCTAGAGACGTGAAATTTTGAACTTCAGAGAGATAATTTAGGGTGTCTGGCTGAAGAAATTTCTAAATGACAAAACATTCAAAAGGTGACTTGGGTGCTGTTAAAAACATTCCATTTTAAAAGGGAAACAGAGAAAAAAATCAGAAAATTTGCAGACTGATGATGCAGTAAGCCCTTGGTGCCCTGTGTCCCAGCTGCACCAGACATTGCTAAATGGGGAAAAGGTACAGCTTGATCCATGGTTTCAGAATGTACAAGCCTCAAACCTAGGTAGTTTCATGTGATGTTGAACCTGCAGGTGCACTGAAGTCAAGAATTGAGGTTTTGGAGCCTAAACCTAGATTTCAGAAGATGTATGAAAACACGTGGATGCCCAGGAAAAAGTTTGCTTCAGAGGCATGTCCCTCATGGAGAACCTCTGCTATGGCAGTGTGAAAGTGAAACGTAGGGTCAAAGCCCACACACAGAGTCTCTACTGGGGCACTGCCTAGTAGAGCTGTGAAAAGAGAGCCACTGCCCTCCATATCCCAGAATGGTAAATCCATTGACAGCTTGCACTGTGCACCTGGAAAAGCCACAGACACTCAGGGCCAGCCCGTGAAAGCAGCCAGGAGGGAGGCTGTACCCTGCAAAGCCACAGGGGTGGAGGTGCCCGAGACTATGGGAACCCATCTCTTGCACCTATGTGACCTGGATGGGAGACCTGGAATCAAAGGTGATTATTTTAAAACTTTAAAATGTCACTGCCCTGCTGGATTTCAGACTTCTGTAGGGCCTGTAACCCATTTGTTTTGGCCAATTTCTCCAATATGGATGACTCTATTTATCCAATACCTGTATCCCCATTGTATCTAGGAAGTAACTAGCTTGCTTAAAATTTCACAGGGTCATAGGCAGAAGGAACTTGACTTCTCTCAGATGAGACTTTGGAGTGTGGACTTTTGGGTTAATACTAAAATGACTTAAGACTTTAGGGGACTGTTGGGAAAACATAATTGTTGTTGAAATGTGAGAACATGAGATATGGAGGGGCCAGGAGTGGAATGATATGGTTTGGCTGTGTCTTAACTCAAATCTCAACTTGAATTGTATCTCCCATAATGCCCACATGATGTAGTAGGCACCCAGGGCGATGTAATTGAATCACTGGGGCCAGTCTTTCTTGTGTTATTCTCATGCTAGTAAATAAGTCTCAGGAGATCTAATAGGTTTATCAGCGGTTTGCGCTTTTACTTTCTCCTCATTTTCTCTTGCCACCACCATGTAAGAAGTACCTTTCTCATCCCATCATGATTCTGAAGACTTCCCAGCCATGTGGAACTGTATATCCAATTAAACCTGTTTTTCTTCCCAGTCTTTGGTATGTCTTTATCAAAAGTATGAAAATGGACTAATAAATGCAGAGAGCTATATTCATCATTTAAGAAAAACTTGGACTCATTATGCAAGCCCATGTGTGATTCAATTTTTCTACTACCTTAGGGGAAGAACTCCAGGACACAGGTCCTCTGTCCTTGCAATAAGGCAGAGGGTCTAATTGACCTGATTTATATGAGTTGCCTACAGGCATAAAACTAAAAAAGCACACTGTAACACATGCCCACTGGAACTTCAGGAGCTGTAAACATTCACCTTAAGATACTACCATGGGTTGGAAGCCCACACTTCACATGACCTGCCCATCTGCTTCTTCCCTTAGGGGTTTTGAGTAGCAGGGCACCAAAGAAGTAAGCCGTATCCCCATCACATGCCCTGTAAGGGGGTCAAGGGAACTTTTTCCATTTCAAAATGAAATAAAATAAGTGGAAAGACCTACCAAAAGAACATGCTGCAACTACACATCAGATAATATATCAAACACTGTGCTTCCTCAACTTGCAGCATGTTAAGATCATTTGCTTTCCTTAGTTCTATGAGAATATAAATTCAATTATGGGCAGTTTTTACCCAGTTCCATTAAGGTAACTTGTACTTTCATGTAAAAACACACATTTGTTTAATTTAGTGGAAAGCTGAATCATTCCTACAGTTGATGTCCAAAATCAACCACAATGCTTGGGGCTTTCTTATCTTCTGGCAAATATTCTCACCCTCTTTCTCAATCTCTCTCTCAGGTGAATAAACATTAGTGGAATAACTTGTCTCTAGGGCATCTATGTACAGAACATCAACACTAACATATACTAGTTCACCTGAGGTTTTAAAAAAGACAAGCAATCAGTACCTCATGAGCCTGTCCACTGCTAACTCCAAGAAAGAGTCCACCTGCAATATTAGCAACTACACTATTGTCTTCAGGGACATCTGCAGATGGGCACTTGAACTGTCATCTAAGAAAGGAAAAACACTGACCACTTCTGTAAGGAAAGTTGAATTACAGTATTCTCCTTTTTTAAGTCTATCTCTCTCTCTTTTTTATTTTTTATTTTGTGAGACAGAGTCTCACTCTGTCACCAGGCTGGATTGCAGCCTCCTGAGTAGCTGGGATTACAGGCACCAACAACCACTCCCAGGTAATATTTGCATTTTTAGTAGAGATGGAGATTCACTGCATTGGCCAGGCTGGTCTCATCTGGTTCCAGACCTCAGATGATCCTCCCTCCTTGGCCTCCTAAACTGCTGGGATTACAGGCATAAACCACCATGTCTGACCTTTAATGGATTAATTCAATGTTCTTGGATAATTGAATGGATGAATTCAAATGTTCTTGGCATTGAAGATAAGGTAGTACCATTCATAATTTAACTACTTGTTTGAAAAACCTTTAGGACACTAAAGATTATCATGTAAAGTAAATTTTTAGAGATTCTCTGTTTTCTCTAGTTACATTCACTTATCTTTAACTCATCTGTATCTCCAATATTAAATATCTGGATCTGTTTTAAGTGTGTCTTTGGAACCACAGTAAGGTTCTCTAGGCCTAAACACACATAAGGTTTTTTTTTTTTTTTCACCCTGTGAAAATGAAGAGTAATGCAGAGAGAAAAAAATTTCTCTCAGCTTGTTTATGTCATTTAGAGATAAACCAAACAATGCTTTTTATTAGAACATGAATTTCAGGCAGTTTACATCAAAATGTAAGGCCAGGCCTCTTTCTAAAATGGGGGGAGGGGGAAGGCTACCATTAGGAGATATACCTAATGTAAATGAAGAGTTAATGGGTGCAGCACACCAACATGATGCCTGTATACATATGTAACAAACCTGCACATGGGCACATGTACCCTAGAACTTAAGGTATAATAAAAACAAAACAAAACAAAAACTGACTGCTTCTTTACAACATGTCCATCCAAAGGGGTTATTTTCATGAGAGTTTTTCTTCTTACATATCCAACTATTTAAAATCATTTAATTTTTTTCTCTAGAAGAGAGAATGCTGCTTTTTATATACATAGTTTCTGTAGATTATTGCAATTACTATTTCAGTGTACTGGAAAAAAGCATCTATTTTTGTTACTATTCTTAATTACTTATTATACTTCTGAGAGCAGAGAGAAGTGCAACATCAATCATAATATTGAACAAAAAAACAATTTGAAGGTTTTAATGCAATATTTCTAGGTCTAAGAAAGGCCAGGTTAATTGTGGGGTAGGTCTATAAAGGAAATCAAGTGGCGATGCCTTTCTGTACAAGGTACTGACCTGAGTATTATCCTCTCTTTTCCATGGTGCCATCACAATTTTATGTTCATATGTAAAATGAAGGTCAAATTTTATAAAAATTTGTACATTCTTAATTACTGCATAAGTACACACTTCAGATTATCCCCATCTCTACAATTTTTGTTTTGTTTTGTTTCTACAAACTATCGAGTAGGAAAACACAAAGTCCTTTCTTTGAGGAATATTAGGCAATATTGAATATATTAGTCTACATCTTTAGCATTTTTTAAAAATTTTCTACCACACCGTAGGTGGCCTCAATTTAGGAGGCTGGAAACCCTTGTCTTTTAAACACAAGATCTAAAAACTGTTGGTTGACATACGTGGTTCTTTGAGGAAAACGGGATGATATTTGGAACATGTAGGAAATGCCTGTACTCATTAATGATGAAGAGCTTGAGACAATAAGCTGGCAAAAAGATTATATCTTAAATTTTTAAAGAATCAGGTTGGTCAACAAAGGTGTAACTAAATTTCCTGTTGGCTGAAGCAGAGTGTAAAACACATGGATTCTACTGAAAATGAAGGTTCTCAATTGTGTGTAAGCATGTCCCAGATGAAAGGACAAAAACACAAAAAGTAGATAGCTAATTTAGAGTCTCAGATCCTTTGTATCTGCAAAATATATATATATATATATGAGAGAGAGAAAAACTCTCAGAAAACCTACAGCAAACTTCTGTGTCACAGCTATGATAATTTGCTTTGTCACATTTCCAAAGCATCCCTTTATACCATAGCCCATCAGAAAATTGTCTTTACCAAACCTTTGTTTTATCTGCCAATGGCCTTTCTAGACTTTCCCTGGCTAAAAAAGACAGGGTGCTATGGCATTGCCAATAGTTTAGGGGCCATGCGGCATTCAGCTTAATGCTGCCCTTGTGCAGATAAAAGAGGGATGGTTCATAATAAAATTATATTTTATATTTCTATTTTCTGACTCAGAAGCTAGTGCCTGTTTTTCTTGGCAAAACCATGCACATTGTGCAAGTAAATAATGCTGCTATTCATAGACAGGTGTAGTTCTATAATCTCACATCAAAAATAGCCCCAAAACAGAGTCTACTAACCTAGGTAGGAGACTTGGCATAGGTAGAATTACAACTAGGATCAGTTGTAACTCTGTTGCAATTATACAACAACTGGGGTCAGTTATAACTGAAATTCTACTACCTATGATAACAATGTGGAAAACAGATACTTTTAAAAAAATTTTTTAACTATACTTTGAGTTCTAGGGTACATGTGCACAAAGTGCAGGTTTGTTATATATGTATACATGTGCCATGTTGGTGTGCTGCACCCATTAACTGGTCATTTACATTAGGTATATCTCCTATGCTTTCCCTCCCCCCTTCTCCCACCCCCCAACGGGCCCCGGTGCGTGATGTTCCCCTGCCTGTGTCCAAGTGTTCGCAATGTTCAATTCCCATCTATGAGTGAGAACATGAGGTGTTTGGTTCTTTGTCCTTGCGATAGTTTGCTGAGAATGATGGTTTCCAGCTTCATCCATGTCCTAAAAAGGGACATGAACTCATCATTTTTCTGGCTGCGTATTAGTTCATGGTGTATATGTGCCACAATTTCTTAATCCAGTCTATCATTGTTGGACATTTGGGTTGGTTCCAAGTCTTTGCTATTGTGAATAGTGCCGCAATAAACATACGTGTGCATGTGTCTTTATAGCAGCATGATTTATAGTCCTTTGGGTATATATTCAGTAATGGGATGGCTGGGTCAAATGGTATTTCTAGTTCTAGATCTCTGAGGAATCGCCACACTGACTTCCACAATGGTTGAACTAGTTTACATTCCTACCAACAGTGTAAAAGTGTTCCTATTTCTCCACATCCTCCCCAGTACCTCTTGTTTCCTGACTTTTTAATGACCGCCATTCTAACTGGTGTGAGATGGTATCTCATTGTGGTTTTGATTTGCATTTCTATGACAGCCAGTGATGATGAGCATTTTTTTATACATCAGTTGGTGGCATAAATGTCTTCTTTTCAGAAGTGTCTGTTCATATCCTTCGTCCACTTTCTGATGGGGTTGTTCATTTTTTTCTTGCAAATTTGTTTGAGTTCTTTGAAGATTCTGGATATTAGCCCTTTGTCACATGTGTAGATTGCAAAAATTTTCTCCCATTCTGTAGGTTGCCTGTTCACTCTGATGGTAGTTTCTTTTGCTGTGCAGAAGATCTTTAGTTTAATTACATCCCATTTGTCAATTTTGGCTTTTGTTGCCATTGCTTTTGGTGTTTTAGACATGAAGTCCTTGCCCATGCCTATGTCCTGAATGGTATTGCCTAGGTTTTCTTCTAGGGTTTTTATGGTTTTAGATCTAACATTTAAGTCTTTAATCCATCTTGAATTAATTTTTGTATAACGTGTAAGGCAGGGATCCAGTTTCTGCTTTCTACATATGGCTAGCCAGTTTTCCCAACACCATTTATTAAACAGGGAATCCTTTCCCCCATTTCATGTTTTTATCAGTTTTGTCAAAGATCAGATGGTTGTAGATGTGTAGTATTATTTCTGAGGGCTCTTTCCTGTTCCATTGGTCTGTATGTCTGTTTTGGTACCAGTACCATGCTGTTTTCGTTTCTGTAGCCTTGCAGAATAGTTTGAAGTCAGGTAGTGTGATGCCTCCAGCTTTGTTCTTTTGGCTTAGGATTGACTTGGCAATGCGGGCTGTTTTTTGGTTCCATACGAATTTTAAAGTAGCTTTTTTCCAATTCTGTGAAGAAAGTCATTGGTAGCTTGATGAGGATCGCACTGAATCTATAAATTACCTTGGGCAGTATGGCCATTTTCACAATATTGATTCTTCCTATCCATGAGCATGGGATGTCCTTCCATTTGTTTTTGTCCTCTTTTACTTCATTGAGGAGTGGTTTGTAGTTATCCTTGAAGAGGTCCTTCAAATCCCTTGTAACTTGGATTGCTGTGTATTTTATTCTCTTTGAAGCAATTGTGAATGGGAGTTCACTCATGATTTGGCTCTCTGTCTGTTACTGATGCAGAAGAATGCTTGTGATTTTTGCACATTGATTTTGTATGCTGAGACTTTGCTGAAGTTGCTTATCAGGTTAAGCAGATTTTGGGCTGAGAGGATGGGGCTTTCTAAATTTACAATCATGCCATCTGTAAACAGGGACAATTTGATTTCCTCTTTTCCTAATTGAGGAAATTTCTTTCTTTCTCCTGCCTGACTGTCCTGGCCAGAATTTCCAACACTATGTTGAATAGGAGTGGTGAGAGAGGGCATCCCTGTCTTGTGCCAGTTTTCAAAGGGAATGCTTCCAGTTTTTGCCCATTCTGTATGATATTGGCTGTGGGTTTGTCATAGATAGCTCTTATTATTTAGAGATACTCCCATCAATACCTAAATTATTGAGAGTTTTTAGCATGAAGGGCTGTTGAATTTAGTCAAAGGCCTTTTCTGCATCTATTGAGATAATCATGTGGTTTTTGTCTTTGGTTGTGTTTATATGCTGGATTAGGTTTATTGATTTGCATATGTTGAACCAGCCTTGCATCCCAGGGATGAAGCCCACTTGATCATGGTGGATAAGCTTTTTGATGTGCTGCTGGATTCGGTTTGCCAGTATTTTATTGAGGATTTTTGCATCGATGTTTATCAGGGATATTGGTCTAAAATTCTCTTTTTTTGTTGTGTCTCTGCCCGGCTTTGGTATCAGGATGATGATGGTCTCATAAAATGAGTTATGGAGGATTCCCTCTCTTTCTATTGATTGAAACAGTTTCAGAATGAATGGTACCAGCTCCTCCTTGTACCTCTAGTAGAATTCGACTGTGAATCCTTCTGGTCCTGGACTTTTTTTGGTTGGTAGGCTATTAATTATTGCCTCAATTTCAGATCCTGTTATTGGTCTATTCAGGGATTCAACTTCTTCCTCATTTAGTCCTGGGAAGGTGGATGCGTCCAGGAATTTATCCACTTCCTCTAGATTTTCTAGTTTATTGGCAAAGAGGTGTTATAGTATTCTCTGATGGTAGTTTGTATTTCTGTGGGATTGGTGGTGATATCCCCTTTATCATTTTTTATTGCAACTATTTGATTCTTCTCTCTATTCTTCCTTATTAGTCTTGCTAGCAGTCTATCAATTTTGCTGTTCTTTTCAAAAAACCAGCTCCTGGATTCATTGATTTTTTCAAGGGTTTTTTTGTGTCTCTATTTCCTTCAGTTCTGCTCTGATCTTAGTTATTTCTTGCCTTCTGCTAGCTTTTGGATGAGTTTGCTCTTGCTTTTCTAGTTCTTTTAATTGTGATGTTGGATGTCAATTTTAGATCTTTCCAACTTTCTCTTGTGGCATTTAGTGCTATAAATTTCCCTCTACACACTGTTTTAAATGTGTCCCAGAAATTCTGGTACATTGTGTCTTTGTTCTCATTGGTTTCAAAGAACATCTTTATTTCTACCTTCATTTCGTTATATATCCAGTAGTCGTTCAGGAGTAGGTTGTTCAGTTTCCATGTAGTTGAGAGGTTTTGAGTGAGTTTCTCAATCCTGCATTCTAGTTTGATTGCACTGGGGTCTGAGAGACAGTTTGTTATAATTTCTGTTATTTTACATTTGTTAAGGAGTGCTTTACTTCCAACTATGTGGTCAGTTTTGGAATAAGTGCTAAGTGGTGCTGAGAAGAATGTATATTCTGTTGATTTGGGGTGGAGAGTTCTGTAGATGTCTATTAGGTCCACTTGGTGCAGAGCTGTGTTCAATTCCTGGATACCTTGTTAACTTTTTGTCTCATTGACCTGTCTAATGTTCACAGTGGGGTGTTAAAGTCTCCCGTTATTATTGTATGGGAGTCTAAGTCCCTTTGTAGATCTCTAAGGACTTCCTTTATAAATCTGGGTGCTCATGTATTGGGTGCATATATATTTAGGATAGTTACCTCTTCTTGTTGAATTGATCCCTTTACCGTTATGTAATGGCCTTGTCTCTTTTGATTTTTGTTGGTTTAAAGTCTGTTTTATAAGAGACTGCGATTGCAACCCCTGCCTTTTTTTGTTTTCCATTTGCTTGGTAGATCTTTCTCCATCCCTTTATTTTGAGCTGATGTGTGTCTCTGCATGTGAGATGGATCTCCTGAATACAGCACACTGATAGGTCTTGATTCTTTACCCAGTTTGCTAGTCTGGGTCTTTTAATAGGAGCATTTAGCCCATTTACCTTTTAGGTTAATTTTGCTTTGTGTGAATTTGATCCTGTCATTATGATGTTAGCTGGTTATTTTGCTTGTTAGTTGATGCAGTTTCTTCCCAGCATCAATGGTCTTTACAATTTGGCGTGTTTTTGCAGTGGCTGGTACTGGTTGTTCCTTTAAATGTTTAGTGCTTCCTTAAGGAGCTCTTGTAGAGCAGGCTTTGCGCTGACAAAATCTCCTAGCATTTGCTTGTCTGTAAAGTATTTTATTTCTCCTTCACTTATGAAGCTTAGTTTGGCTGGATATGATATTCTGGGTTGAAAATTCTTTTCTTTAAGAATGTTGAATATTGGCCCCCACTCTCTTTTGGCTTGTAGAGTTTCTGATGAGAGATCTGCTGTTAGTCTGTTGGGCTTCCCTTGTGGGTAACCCGACCTTTCTCTCCGGCTGCCCTTAATATTTTTTCCTTTATTTCAACTTTTGTGAATCTGACAAGTATGTGGCTTGCAGTTGCTCTTCTTGAGTAGTATCTTAGTGGTGTTCTGCATATCTCCTGAAGATAAATGTTGGCCTGCCTTGCTAGGTTGGGGAAGTTCTCCTGGGTAATATCCTGATGGGTGTTTTCCAACTTGATTCCATTTTCCCCGTCACTTTCAGGTACACCAATCAGATGTAGATTTGGTCTTTTCACATAGTCCCATATTTCTTGGAGCCTTTTTTCATTTCTTTTTACTCTTTTTTCTCTAAACTTCTCATTTCATTTAATTCATTGATCTTTAATCACTGATACCCTTTCTTCCAGTTGATTATCTCCTGAAGCTTGTGTATTCATCACGTAGCTCTTATGCCATGGTTTTCAGCTCTGTCATGTCATTGAAGCACTTCTCTACACTGATTATTCTAGTTAGCCATTCGTCTAATTTTTTTTCAAGGTTTTTAGCTTCTTTGTGTTGGGTTCAAACTTCCTTCTTTAGCTTGGAGAAGTTTGATCATCTGAAGTCTTCTTCTCTCAACTCGTCAAAATCATTCTCCATTCAGCTTTGTTCCATTTCTGGTGAGGAGCTGCATTCCTTTGGAGGAGGAGAGGTGCTCTGATTTTTAGAATTTTCAGCTTTTCTGCTCTGTTTTTTCCCCAACTTTGTGGTTTGATCTACCTTTGGTCTTTGATGATGGTGATGTACAGATGGGGTTTTGGTGTGGATATCCTTTGTGTTTGTTAGTTTTCCTTCTAACAGTCAGGACCCTCAGCTGCAGATCTGTTGGAGTTTCCTGAAGGTCCACTCCAGACCAGGTTTGCCTGGTTATCAGCAGCGGAGGTTGCAGAACAGCGGATATTGGTGAACAGCAAATGTTGCTGCCTGATCGTTCCTCTGGAAGCTTCATCTCAGAGGGGTACCCGGCCATGTGAGGTGTCAGTCTGCACCTACTGGGGGGTGCCTCCCAGTTAGGTTACTTGGGGGTCTGTGAGCCACTTGAGGAGGAATTTCTGCCCATTCTCAGATCTCAAACTCCGTGCTGGGAGAACCGCTACTCCCTTCAAAGCTGTGAGACAGGGACATTTAAGTCTGCAGAGGTTTCTGCTGCCATTTGTTCAGCTATGCCCTGTCCCCAGAGGTGGTCTACAGAGGCAGGCTGGCCTCCTTGAGCTGCAGTGGGCTCCACCCAGTTTGAGTTTCCCATGTCCTTTGTTTACCTACTCAATCCTCAGCTATGGTGGGTGCCCCTTGCCCAGTCTCACTGATGCTTTGCAGTTCCATCTCAGACTGCTGTGCTAGCAATGAGTGAGGCTCTGTGGGCATGGGACCCTCTGATTCAGGTGCGTGATATAATCTCCTGGTATGTCATTTGCTAAGACCATTGGAAAAGTGCAGTATTATGGGGGGGGGGTGACCCAATTATCCAGGTGCTGTCTGTTACCCTTTCCCTTGACTGGGAAAGGGAATTCCCTGACCCCTTGCACTTCTCGGTGAGGTGATGCCTCGCCCTGCTTCAGCTCACACTCAGTGGGCTGCACCCACTGTCCTGTCCCCAGTGTCCAATGAGCCCCAGTGAGATGAACCTGGTACCTCAGTTGGAAATGCAGAAATCACCCATCTTCTGCATCGCTCATGCTGGGAACTGTAGACTGGAGCTGTTCCTATTTGGCCATCTTGGAACTGCTAAAACAGATACATGCTTGCGCAAAATAGCATCACTTGAATTTCTTAGCAGTGGCACTAATGTTAATCTATTCTACAGCCATAAAATATTCACGCTGTAGAAGTTGTTTCAGGATGGAAAACCCTTGGCTTTATTAAATATTGAAATATATCTTCATGGCCAGCAGCCATGTGTGAAGCAGCTGCAACCATCCCAAATATCCAGATCCTGGGCTTGTATTCTCTGCACCACCTCATCTTCACCCCCTTCTGTTGCATCTTGAGCTGGATTCATCTTCTCTTCTATGTTCCAAAATGGTTGTTTTACTCTGCAGACGGGAACTTTGCATTCTTGCTCCTAATCCAGCATAGTATAGCCATCATTTATCCTGTGGACTGTCTGCTGTTTGAATAGAACTGTAGGTGAGATGAAAATTTGAGAAACCAGACTGGTTTGCATGTCATGGAGGACACCTGCACTGCCTTGTGCATCTGTACAGTGTACTCAGATATTCAAATCCATTCCTCTGAGTTATTTGATACATTAAAATTGTCTCTTCTTTTTTGACAAGAGTCTGTTTTGTGGCTTTACTTTTGGTGTCTTATCCAGGATGGACTGTGACCTGTCTTAGTTTCTCCAAGTTTTTGCAGATGGGCTCATTTTTGCCTGCAAGTGCTATGGTAGAGAGTCTGCTTTTTTGGCCTGGCCAAGTTTTTATACTGGGAGGTCTTATTTCTTAAATTTGCAGAGTGTTCCAATCTGCCATGTCAACAAAGTTTTGAGACATATAATTCTTATGTTTGCAGGCATTGATTAAGCCTTTTCCATAGGCTCTGCTCTTGCTGGTAGAAAAGGTCCTGGTTGAAGTTGAGAACTGTGTACTTGCCTGTTGGTTGGATCTTCTTCTTCTATGCTTGATTGTTGTTCTAGCTTTTTTTATACTTGCGGCTTTCAGGATGGAATTGTGATTTTTCATGATTTGCCAGTAGACCATACTTCTGGAAATAACAGTTGTGGCCATGGACTATAAATTCTTCCATGGGCAAAGTGACAACAAGTTGCTTGCCAAACTGTCTGGGTGACTCCAATGGTTTAGCAGGGCTAATGGTCCTCTACGGTGCCCCATGGTTACTGCAGCCAAGTGTCCAGTATAAGGACACCTTGTGGGATAAGGACACCTTGTGGGATAAGTGGCTGCTATGACATTAGAGTTTTGTGACATCACTAAAGCAATGAGCAGTACTGCCTCTGGCATTAACCATTTTTTGAACTTTAGAAACATCCAATAAGCACCAGGACATAGATGGGAAATCTGATTCTGAGGTAATCCTGTTGGCTTTATGGGTTTCTCTTCTACTAACATTGTTTGAAAAAAATTGTTTTCCATCCCAAGTGCTTTGATGGGGTTAATTTTTTTGTCTTGAAGCAGGAAGATGCTACAGGACAATTAGTGATTATAGGACAAAAATAATTCTCTTAGAAAACCCCCAAAATATGTCTGGCTTTTCAAATCAGACATAAGAGATATAATTTTCTGCTTTTCTTCTCTCGTTTATTGCCTAATAAGTGACTTTAAAATGGGTAACTATCTTACAGTTCTGAAGTCTAGAGGAGCAGAAACATAATGTTGACTAGTTTTTGTTTTTGTGTCTATGTGAGTTGTCTCTCAAGCTGGATGTGGCAGTGTACTTACCATGCCATTAAATGGTCAATCCTTTCTTGTTTGAGTCTTATTCTTCCATGCTCTTACATGTGCCAATGATATAGGGTTAAGAGCCATCCATATACAAATATTTTACAGTAATTCCCCTAGTAAAAGTATTATATGCATACAAAGTCAAACTCAGACATTTTAAGCACAATGAGAAAACAAACAGAAACAAAACAATCCAAAAACACATGATTTTCTATCTTCTCTGGTACTTGGTAATTTTAGATCTATGTCTTTTTTTTTTTTAAACAGGAAATTTCTGAAACAACCTAATTGTCTGTGGTAAATACCAAGGATCTTAGTCTCACAGCCAAGTGGATCAAGGCTGTGGATACACACACCCATAGAATGAGTTTAGAGCAGGAGTTTAATAGACAAAAAGAACAGCTCTTCAGCATAGAGAGGAGCCCTGAGTAGGTTGCCAAGCTGTGCTAAAATCTCAGGGTTTTTGTAAATGGGCTAATGAGGAGGGCACTAGTGAGGAGAGGATGTCTTATCCTCATAAAACCTGATGATTTAGTTGGAACCAGGTATGCTTTCTGTATAGAGCAGAGTCTTTATCAACTCTCACCTTATTCCCTGATCAGGTAGGCAGACTTTCAGTCTCTGTTGCTCTGTGCTGCTTTGTGTTGCTTATCTGGGAGAGAGAGTTTGTGTGTCTATTCCCAGACATCTTAACAGCTGCAGGTATCTCTCACACTTCCACTTCTAGATTCGCTATTGTGTCTATAAGGAAAGGAATGTACTTATTAACACCCACTGTTTTTACTGGGACCCATTTGTAGGAGTGTGAAGTTTGGTGATTACCCAAGTGATCTCTCTCATTCTGTGCTCAAGGTGTTTATCTGTGATTTACAGTAGACTTATTCTTTGTTGAGTTGCCCGCATTTCTAGATTAATATTGGCTTCCACTAAGGAAAGACAAAGAGTTTGTCCTGGGGCCATGAGGATGCAGGCCTCCATGTAGGTAGGGTAAAATATTTCTACCTAATAAAGGAGTGGGACTTTCAGGCATAATAAAGGAGTCCTGTGTAAATAATATGTCCCCCCAACTACAAATAAGTAGTGGAGAAAAATATCAAGTTAGAGTCTTTTTTAAGACACCCACCATTGTTGTGACATGGGAAGAGGAGAGGCATGGATTGGTGAGGAGAACAGAAAGACTGGCTCCAGAATCCAGTGGGAGGCTTGCCCTCCTCCCTTCAATTTCCATTATCACCCAGGACTCCTGAGCAGTAATGGATGTTTGAACCATTGGAACCAGGGGTTTCAGCCCCAGAACCCATCAGTCCTGCTGGAGCATCTGTGAGAATGATTCCGTACTCACTGACCTCTGTCTTGGTGGTCAGTAGTGCAATCTCCAGTGGTCTTCACCACAAAAGTGGTCAAGGTGGCTTTTTCTTGTGGCTTGGGCAATTCTTCTTAAAGTGCCCTGGCTTTAACACTGGTAACAGGTAGCAATCAGTGGAAGTTCCTGGGGGATCCTGGACTCTGCAAGTCTGCAAAGCAGCCACTAGAGCCTCAGCCTTTCTCTTGTTCTTCCTGTTTTTCTCGTGGGCCTCCTCCCAGTCCTATTGTAAGAGAACAATGAGGCCACATTCAGGAGGTTCTTCAAGATACAATCTGGTCCTATAGCCTGTTTCTGTAGCTTTTTTCTAATATCAGGAACTGCCTGCTTTTCGGCTGCAGTAAGGGTTTGGCATAGGAGCAGCATAACATCCCTCCACTTGAGATTGAACACTAAGTTAAATTTTGAAAGGTCTCCAAATTCCTAGCCAGGTCATCAGAAGATCAGCCCAAGTCTCCCTCTATTTTCCTAAGGTCCTATAATGAAAGGAGAACATGTGTTTTAGTGGTGACCCTTCCATCTGGCATTTCTTATAGGGGTAGGAGTGAAGCAGGGGAAATGGTGAGCTTTGGACCTGGTGGAGGTGGGGGAGATTTTGGTGCAGTTGGAGGGGACCCTGGATAAGAGACACTGAAATAACTCGGGCACACATAGAATGCAAAGGTCTGCACTTGCAAAGGTCTGGGTTTTCTCCACAGGGCAAAGAAAGCCTGTTCATATCAAACTTTGGATCATTTGCTGTCCCATCTACACAAAAGATCTAATTGTTGGATAAAATTAGAATCAAGGCTCCTTTCAGCTGGCCAGGTCTCTTTATTCCTGAGACAGTAAGAAGGCCACACCATTGTGCAAAAGAAAATGAGCTGTTTTTGTTCAAAGTTCCAGGGTCAAAGGAGTCTCAATGTTTCAGAATGCACTCTAGAGAAGTGCAAGCTGAAGATGGCTTGTCATCCATCAAAAAAAGAGACAAAAGAAGAGGCATCCTTGTGTCTCTTGGTTCTTTTTAATGTGACCCAGATTGAAGGAGATGACCATTGGGGGACTCCCCCTGACCTCCCTCCTTGGTATCTGGGTCCCAACACCATAATTCCCATCTCATGATTGCAGGTGTAACCCTCAAACATGGTACAGAGAGGTGAAGTCAGCTGGACTTCCTGGGTCAGTGAGTGGGGACTTGGGGAACTTTTCTATCTAGCTAGAGGATTGTAAATGCACCAATCAGCACTCTGTGTCTAGCTAAAGGATTGCAAATGCACCAATCAGCACTCTGTAAAATGGACCAACCAGCACTCTGTAAATGGACCAATCAACTCTCTGTAAAATGGGACAATCAGCAGGATATGCACGGTGCCAAATAAGGGAATAAAAGCTGGCCACTTGAGTCAGCAGCGGCAAACACTGGGATCCCCTTCCAGGCTGTGGAAACTTTGATCTTTCACTCTTCACAATAAATCTTGCTGCTGCTCAGTCTTTGGGTCTGCACTACCTTTATGAGCTGTAACTCTCACCATGAGCATCTGTGTCTTCAATCTTGAAGTCAGCAAGACAAAGAACCCACTGGGAGGAACAAATAACTCTGAAAGCTCCACCTTTAAGAGCTGTAACACTCACTGTGAAGGTCTGTGTCTTCACTACTGAAGTCACCATAACCATGAACCCACTGGAAGGAAGAAACTCTGGACACATCTGAACATCTGAAGGAGGAAACTCCGGACATACCATCTTTAAGAACTGTAACACTCACCATAAGTGTCTGCAGCTTCATTCTTGAAGTCAGCCAGGAACCCACCGGAAGGAACCAATTCTAGACACAGAACCACAGGACCTAATCAATGGGGCTAGTAACTTTTACCCATGTGACATCAGTCCTTTTTCTAATAATAGGGTAATTATCCTCTGACCTCCTAGACCTGTGTGACTTGTGTGGCTCCTTGATAGATGAGCCTTGGCAGAGATTATGTAATAGTTGCATTTAAGCAAGACCCCTTAAAAGAGGGAGTGTACTGAACTGAGAATGTTTAGGTTCTAGTTAACTTCCAGATAAAAAAAATCCCCTTTCTATTTAGATGCCATTCTTGTTGTAGGCAGTATAGGTGTCTCAAGAGGACATAAGTGTCAAATGATGGTCTTCCTGCTAATGCAGAGAGTATTAAGACTAAAATTTCGTTTTGGAAGATATGTTACTCTTTACTGCTAAAAAGAGGACTAAAAGGCTTTTGGCAAAGGGCAGACAAGATTCCCCATGGAGAGGATTCCCATTCCACGATGTGGCACTGTAAGCACTGAAATACCAGGCAGTAACTGTCTCCATATGCTCTCTAAACAAAGGATGGAGAGGGAAGTTTAACTTGTAGCTACCTGTCCCCACAGCACACCTCCTAGAAGAAAAAAGGCAATTCACCTCATAGAGGGACTATCCAGTCTGACTAGTCAGTGCTGGCTTCTCACATGGAAAGCAACAACAACAACAACAAAAAGAGGCTAGGTAGAGAAAGGGGTGTTCAGTGATGGTTGTTTGGGAAGGAGGAGTAACCTCCTACCCAACCCCAGGAAGTGTTATTATTAGCAGTTAAACAGTCTTTGAGATTTGGTATAAATCCTCCTGACTGCAGAAAGTCACAAAAAATTGCAATCCCTTTACCTGCATTCCTGGTTACTAAGCCTGCTTAATTGAGTTATTTCACTGCTCTGTAAAAGATCCTGTGGCATTGCATCCAGAGAAGGGATGGGAGACACGATGATCTCAAAAAGTAAAGGAGGAAAATAACATTTGCAATAGGAAATCTTTGAGATACTGTGGCTGACACCCGGTTGGGTAGTTGGGAGGCTGGGGTCAGTCCAGAAACCTTTGAATAACACTGGGGTGTAGCCATGGCCAGAAATTCTCAGTTAATCCAAGACCTATTCAAGCTCCATGCAACAGCCAAGCTCTCCACGAAAATAAACTGGTTTTGACAAAGACTACATTCCCAGCACCCTGAGGGCACTAAGGGATTGACTAGGTCCTTCCCAGTAAGCCTCACATCTGAGTCTTCAAGACTAGCCCTTGTGGTTAGTCAGCCATCAGATGCTTGATGGTTTTTGATAGTTCTTTTAGTTAATAAAAACTGAGTGCATGCTAGCTGCGGTGGCTCATGCCTGTAATCCAATCACTTTGGGATCTCTAGAGATTGGGAGTTTGTGACCAAGCTGGCCAACATGGTGAGACCCCGTTTCTACTAAAAATACAAAAATGAGTCGGGCATGGAGGCTGAGGCAGAAGAATTGCTGGAACCCAGGAGGCAGAGGTTGTTGCAGTGAACGGAGATCATGCCACGGCAGTCAGCCTGAGTGGCAAAGTGAGACTCCGTATAAAAAAACAAAAAAAACAAAAAACTGAGGACAAGAAGCCAGAAAAATTAAAGTAGATGTTCACTCCTGTACTCACCTTTCAGGGAATACACCTTTAAATCCTGGGTGGGCCCATGAAATGAAGCAACCTTACACTTTATACTTGAAGTATATACTTTATACTTAAAGGGTTAAGTATAAAATGAACTGTAGAAAGGAGAAAAGGTGAGTTAAAAGGCAATATAATTAATGTATCTCTTAGAAAAATAAAATGCTTGCTAATTTAGTTGGGACTACATGTGCTTTCTTTACAGAGCAGAGGTTTTTGTGTTTTTTGTTTGTTTGTTTTCTTTTTTATCAGATCTCACACCATTCCCTGAACACATAAGCAGACTATTAATCTGTTGCTCTGTGTTGCTTATCTGGGAGGGAGCATTTCTGTGACTGTTCCCAGACATCTTCTTGCAGCTGCAGACATTCCTTCCCCTTTCTGCTTCTAGCTTCTACATTGTAGTGTGCCTAAAGGGAAAGGGATGTACATATTAAAGGCCACTGTTTTTACTGGAGCCGATTATATGGTGTGAAGTTCGGTGATTACCCAGCAGACACTCCCTCCTTCTGTGCTCAAGCTGTTTATCCATGATTTACAGCCTGAATTTCCATGCTGCCCTTTCTTAGGAAAGAAGTGATTTCTTTCAATGGTGTAAGTTAGAAAAGGAGCTATTTCTGAAGTTTTTTTGTTAGAAAAGTTTTCTTCTGGCTACTCTCTTTACCCTGTGTACCAAAATAATTTCTTTCTACTTCCTATAACATTGCCACAGCCAAAACTTCAGTTCATTCAGAAAACTAGCTATTTATAAAGATAGTCTGATTGTCATAAAATCTATTTATAATAAAATATTCTGGTTAGTCAGAAAATTGCTCACAATAATATTAAACAAACACAAATTATTATTAAATAAACAACAAATAATAATAATATTCACCTCAATGGAAATTTATCATGAAGTTGGAAAAGACAGACATCAATTCTTCTAATAGCCAATCGTGAGAAATTACTTGCATAATTATTCTTCAGATAAACAACCTCTGGCTTCCATGACAAAATTCCTTCACATAAATATTTCTCACACAGGGTTTAGGTTCCATTATTCTTCTATTTAGGGGGCTATCTGTGTTAGCTTACAGCATTTAGCAACAAAGAAAATGAGTTGTCACATTGTCAGAGCAGCATTATTTTGAAGTGTGGCATATACCCAATAAAAGCCCTAAAAGACTATCAGGGAGCTGGAGAAGAGCAGTTCTGTGATCTACCTCATCTGATTCATTGATATGTCATTAAGAAATTGTCTTCCTTACTTTGATGATCTATTCTATTACTATTAACGGGATGTCTCTCAGGGACAGGAGAGAGAAAAACTTTATTTTACAATTGAGAAACGGCTCCTGTGGGTTTACAAATATTCCTCATACGGTGTTTTCTTAATGTCATAGATTCTTAAGAACTATTATTTGAAGAAGAGCAGAAATACTGATTAGTCATAAGTTTGCTTTTCACTTATGTGTTTCATTTTCTGATTTTTGTCTGAGTGTGTTAATTTGAAGAACTAGTGTTTGTGCAATGAAATCTTTTCCTCAGATTGGTCTATTTTGCTGTTATAATTTCTGATTGTATTTAAAAAATGCTTGTAGTAATTATTTTTATCTCAAGAAGCTCAGCTTGGATCTTTCTTAAAATAGGATTTTAATCTCCCTGTGAGAATGAATTGTTCCACTATATGAATTAACTGTCTTGAATTATTTCAACTTTCTGCTCAATCTCAACTAATTTATTGCTATTCTGATTGTGAATTCTATCTCTGTAATTTCAGAAAGTACAGACTGATTGAGAGTCATTACTAGACAGCTGGTGTGCTCCTTTTGAAGTAAAGGGACCCTCCTAACTTACTGAAAATCCTGAGTACTTGTGCTGGCTCTTCTTAGCAAATGCAAATCAAAACCACAAACAGATAACACTTCGTATCAATAAGAATAGACATTATTTAAAAATATGAAAATTATGGAAGCTAGCAAGACTTCAGAAAAAAAGAAATACTTAGACCCAGTTGATGCAATGTAAATTCCTACAGTCAAAGTGGAAAGTAGTCTGGAAATATCTCAAAGAAGTCAAAACAGAGGGATCATTAAACCTACCAATCCCATTCCTTAGTAAATAATAATAATAATAATAATAATAATAATAATAATAATAAATAAATGGTGATACAAGAAAAAAATTTGTTTTCCTTCTTGGCTTTTAAATAACAAACACTTGAAATCAAATTAGTTGTTTTTAAAAGCTAGATTAATGAAGAAAATATGGATGAACATATGGTAAATATGGTCTATGTAGACCATAAAATACTATACAACCATTTACAGTAAAATTGGGTCCTTTGGAGCAACATGGATGGAGATGTTGCAAGATCACTTGGGCCACTGCGATGACTGCCTCTATCTGATATGAGAGTCACTAGATGCCAAGAGTGGGACTAAGCACTACCCCAAATTATTCCAAGTTTTCCCCTATGAATGCAACAGACTAGATAACATTTCCAAGTACCAAAATGAATTATGGGAGAAGTGGAATATTAATGAAAGATTGAAGAATCCAGAACATAAATTCTTAGCCATTAATGTACATTATAGCCCAATCATGGATATAATGTACATTAATGTACAAAATATAATGTACAAAATATAATCAGAGCCCAGATAGCCTCTGGGGCTGTCTATAGTTGAGTCAACAATAACTTTGTTAACAAGAAGAAAGCCCTATGTAGTGCCTGCCCAAGGGGACTGAGTAGTCTATGAGCAATCTTTTTGGAAGTTAACAGTTGGCCCTGGAAAAAGGCACAAGATTTAGATCCTGCCAACTTTTATAGGAGTAACTGAATTGATGTAACAATGTTTTCCATTTAATTAACAGAGACAGGATAACTTAACTATTTTCCCAGAAGAAGACGTTAAGGGTATCGTTTGTTCAACTGTAGGCATTTATTTCACATAAACGTCTCCTCCATAAGAATGTGGAAGTCTTATCACATTTAATCCCATTGCATTTAGCAGATTCTGATTTCAACTTCTAAATTTAATCTAAGGAAACACTTTCAAATGGGCCTTTTTTTTTTTTTTCTAAATCCAAGGGTGAGTACATTTTATTTATTTATTTATTTATTTATTTATTTATTTATTTATTTATTTTTATTATACTCTAAGTTTTAGGGTACTTGTGCACATTGTGCAGGTTAGTTACATATGTATACATGTGCCATGCTGGTGCGCTGCACCCACTAACGTGTCATCTAGCATTAGGTATATCTCCCAATGCTATCCCTCCCCCCTCCCCCGACCCCACCACAGTCCCCAGAGTGTGATATTCCCCTTCCTGTGTCCATGTGATCTCATTGTTCAATTCCCACCTATGAGTGAGAATATGCGGTGTTTGGTTTTTAGTTCTTGCGATAGTTTACTGAGAATGATGGTTTCCAATTTCATCCATGTCCCTACAAAGGACATGAACTCATCATTTTTTATGGCTGCATAGTATTCCATGGTGTATATGTGCCACATTTTCTTAATCCAGTCTATCATTGTTGGACATTTGGGTTGGTTCCAAGTCTTTGCTATTGTGAATAGTGCCGCAATAAACATACGTGTGCATGTGTCTTTATAGCAGCATGATTTATAGTCCTTTGGGTATATACCCAGTAATGGGATGGCTGGGTCAAATGGTATTTCTAGTTCTAGATCCCTGAGGAATCGCCACACTGACTTCCACAATGGCTGAACTAGTTTACAGTCCCACCAACAGTGTAAAAGTGTTCCTATTTCTCCACATCCTCTCCAGCACCTGTTGTTTCCTGACTTTTTAATGATTGCCATTCTAACTGGTGTGAGATGATATATCATAGTGGTTTTGATTTGCATTTCTCTGATGGCCAGTGATGATGAGCATTTCTTCATGTGTTTTTTGGCTGCATAAATGTCTTCTTTTGAGAAGTGTCTGTTCATGTCCTTCGCCCACTTTTTGATGGGGTTGTTTGTTTTTTTCTTGTAAATTTGTTTGAGTTCATTGTAGATTCTGGATATTAGCCCTTTGTCAGATGAGTAGGTTGCGAAAATTTTCTCCCATGTTGTAGGTTGCCTGTTCACTCTGATGGTAGTTTCTTTTGCTGTGCAGAAGCTCTTGAGTTTAATTAGATCCCATTTGTCAATTTTGGCTTTTGTTGCCATTGCTTTTGGTGTTTTGGACATGAAGTCCTTGCCCACGCCTATGTCCTGAATGGTAATGCCTAGGTTTTCTTCTAGGGTTTTTATGGTTTTAGGTCTAACGTTTAAATCTTTAATCCATCTTGAATTGATTTTTGTATAAGGTGTAAGGAAGGGATCCAGTTTCAGCTTTCTACATATGGCTAGCCAGTTTTCCCAACACCATTTATTAAATAGGGAATCCTTTCCCCATTGCTTGTTTTTCTCAGGTTTGTCAAAGATCAGATAGTTGTAGATATGCGGCATTATTTCTGAGGGCTCTGTTCTGTTCCATTGATCTATATCTCTGTTTTGGTACCAGTACCATGCTGTTTTGGTTACTGTAGCCTTGTAGTATAGTTTGAAGTCAGGTAGTGTGATGCCTCCAGCTTTGTTCTTTTGGCTTAGGATTGACTTGGCGATGCGGGCTCTTTTTTGGTTCCATATGAACTTTTAAGTAGTTTTTTCCAATTCTGTGAAGAAAGTCATTGGTAGCTTGATGGGGATGGCATTGAATCTGTAAATTACCTTGGGCAGTATGGCCATTTTCACGATATTGATTCTTCCTACCCATGAGCATGGAATGTTCTTCCATTTGTTTGTGTCCTCTTTTATTTCCTTGAGCAGTGGTTTGTAGTTCTCCTTGAAGAGGTCCTTCACATCCCTTGTAAGTTGGATTCCTAGGTATTTTATTCTCTTTGAAGCAATTGTGAATGGGAGTTCACTCATGATTTGGCTCTCTGTTTGTCTGTTGTTGGTGTATAAGAATGCTTGTGATTTTTGTACATTGATTTTGCATCCTGAGACTTTGCTGAAGTTGCTTATCAGCTTAAGGAGATTTTGGGCTGAGACGATGGGGTTTTCTAGATAAACAATCATGTCGTCTGCAAACAGGGACAATTTGACTTCCTCTTTTCCTAATTGAATACCCTTTATTTCCTTCTCCTGCCTGATTGCCCTGGCCAGAACTTCCAACACTATGTTGAATAGGAGCGGTGAGAGAGGGCATCCCTGTCTTGTGCCAGTTTTCAAAGGGAATGCTTCCAGTTTTTGCCCATTCAGTATGATATTGGCTGTGGGTTTGTCATAGATAGCTCTTATTATTCGGAAATACGTCCCATCAATACCTAATTTATTGAGAGTTTTTAGCATGAAGGGTTGTTGACTTTTGTCAAAGGCTTTTTCTGCATCTATTGAGATAATCATGTGGTTTTTGTCTTTGGCTCTGTTTATATGCTGGATTACATTTATTGATTTGCGTATATTGAACCAGCCTTGCATCCCAGGGATGAAGCCCACTTGATCATGGTGGATAAGCTTTTTGATGTGCTGCTGGATTCAGTTTGCCAGTATTTTATTGAGGATTTTTGCATCAATGTTCATCAAGGATATTGGTCTAAAATTCTCTTTTTTGGTTGTGTCTCTGCCCGGCTTTGGTATCAGAATGATGCTGGCCTCATAAAATGAGTTAGGGAGGATTCCCTCTTTTTCTATTGATTGGAATAGTTTCAGAAGGAATGGTACCAGTTCCTCCTTTTACCTCTGGTAGAATTCGGCTGTGAATCCATCTGGTCCTGGACTCTTTTTGGTTGGTAAACTATTGATTATTGCCCCAATTTCAGAGCCTGTTATTGGTCTATTCAGAGATTCAACTTCTTCCTGGTTTAGTCTTGGGAGAGTGTATGTGTCGAGGAATGTATCCATTTCTTCTAGATTTTCTAGTTTATTTGCATAGGGGTTTTTATAGTATTCTCTGACCACATACTGGGAAGTAAAGCGCTCCTCAGCAAATGCAAAAGAACAGAAATTATTACAAACTATCTCTCAGACCGCAGTGCAATCAAACTAGAACTCAGGATTAAGAATCTCACTCAAAGCCGCTCAACTACATGGAAACTGAACAACCTGCTCCTGAATGACTACTGGGTACATAATGAAATGAAGGCAGAAATAAAGATGTTCTTTGAAACCAACGAGAACAAAGACACCACATACCAGAATCTCTGGGACGCATTCAAAGCAGTGTGTAGAGGGAAATTTATAGCACTAAACGCCTACAAGAGAAAGCAGGAAAGATCCAAAATTGACACCCTAACATCACAATTAAAAGAACTAGAAAAGCAAGAGCAAACACATTCAAAAGCTGGCAGAAGCCAAGAAATAACTAAAATCAGAGCAGAACTGAAGGAAATAGAGACACAAAAAACCCTTCAAGAAATCAATGAATCCAGGAGCTGGTTTTTTGAAAGGATCAACAAAATTGATAGACTGCTAGCAAGACTAATAAAGAAAAAAAGAGAGAAGAATCAAATAGACACAATAAAAAATGATAAAGGGGATATCACCACCGATCCCACAGAAATACAAACTACCATCAGAGAATACTACAAACACCTCTACGCAAATAAACTAGAAAATCTAGAAGAAATGGATACATTCCTCAAATGGGCCTTAAGCACAATTGAAATACAGGCCTGGAGAAGCAAACAGGTGAGTGGTTAGCATGTCCAACTTTTGACTCTTCTGAGCTGGGCACCTGAGTATGTGATTGTTGGCCTTTTCTTTTCTGAAGCTTCCAAGAACATAGTTACATAAACCTGTAGTAAGGGCCTCACAAAGAGGAGTCAAAAGACTGTGTTTTAATTGTTAAAGGGTTAAGTATAAAATGAACTGTAGGAAGGAGAAAAGGTGAGTTAAAAGGCAATATAATTAATGTATCTCTTAGAAAAATAAAAGCACTTGGTAACAATACTCCACTTCTGTTTTATTCCATTTCCATGGGAATTCTGTGTTGTACTTATTCTAGATAGTTTCTGCTCAAAGAGGGCAGAAATATTAGGTCTCAAAGTGGAAATGATCTATTTGAAGTTAGAAATATTCATGAGTATCAAAAATTTAGAACTATCTATTAGATCATGAGGATGCCAGGTCTGGAAGGTCTCTCAAGAAGCCAGTATTGTAACCCCATACAGAGGGTGTAACAACAGTATAATCTGCAGTGCACAAGTATGCCTCTTCTTACAACCAGGTCTAAAGGTAAAAGTAGCCCCCACAAACAAAATTTTTCTGACCTGATAAAGAATTCTAACTATTCAGGGATGGAGCCAAGATGGCCAAATAGGAACAGCTCCAGTCTACAGTGCCCAGTGTGAGTGATGCAGAAGACAGGTGATTTCTGCATTTCCAACTGAGGTACAGGGTTCATCTCACTGTGGAGTGTCAGAGAGTGGGTACAGGACAGTGGGTGAAGTGCACTGAGCATGAGCTGAAGCAGGGCGAGTTATTGCCTCACATGGGAAGTGCAAAGGGTCAGGGAATTCCCTTTCCTAGTCAAAGAAAGGGGTGACAGATGGCACCTGGAAAATTGGGTCACTCACACCCTAATATTGCACTTTTCCAACAGTCTTAGCAAATGGCACACCAGGAGATTATATCCCACACATGATTCAGAGGGTCCTATGCCCATGGAGCCTCACCTATTGCTAGCACAGCAGTCTGAGATCAAACTGCAAGGCTGCAGTGAGACTGGGGGAGGGGCGCCCACCATTGCAAAGGCTTGAGTAGGTAAACAAAGTGGCTGGGAAGCTTGAATTGGGTGGAGCCCACCACAGCTCAAGGAGGCCTGCCTGTCTCTGTAGACTCCACCTCTGGGGGCAGGGCATAGCCAAACAAAAGGCAGTAGAAACCTCTACAGACTTAAATTTCCCTGTCTGACATCTTTGAAGAGAGTAGTGTTTCTCCTAGCATGCAGCTGGAGATCTGAGAACAGAGAGACTGCCTCCTCAAGTGGGTCCCTGACCCCCAAGTAGCCTAACTGGGAGGCAACCCCCAGTAGGGGAAGACTGACACCTTAAATGGCTGGGTACCCCTCTGAGACAAAACTTCCAGAGGAGTGATAAGGCAGCAACATTTGCTGTTCACCAATATCCGCTGTTCTGCAGCCTCCACTGCTGATACTCAGGCAAACAGGGTCTGGAGTGGACCTCCAGCAAACTCCAACAGACCTGCAGCTGAGGGTCCTGACTGTTAGAAGGAAAACTAACAAACACAAAGGACATCCACACCAAAACCCCATCTGTACGTCACCATCATCAAAGACCAAAGGTAGATCAAACCACAAAGATGGGGAAAAAACAGAGCAGAAAAACTGGAAACTCTAAAAGTCAGAGTGCCTCTCCTCCTCCAAAGGAATGAAGCTCCTCACCAGCAATGGAACAAAGCTGGACGGAGAATGACTTTGATGAGTTGAGGGAAGAAGGCTTCAGACGATCAAACTACTCTGAGCTAAAGGAGGAAGTTCGAACCCATGGCAAAGTAGTTAAAAACCTTGAAAAAAAAACTATACAAATAGCTAACTAGAATAAGCAATGCCGAGAAGTGCTTAAAGGAGCTAATGGAGCTGAAAACCATGGCACAAGAACTACATGATGAATGCAGAAGCCTCAGTAGCTGATTCGATCAACTGGAAGAAAGGCTATCAGTGATAGAAAATCAAATGAATGAAATGAAGTGAGAAGAGAAGTTTAGATAAAAAAGAATAAAAAGAAACAAAGCCTCCAAGAAATATGGGACTATGTGAAAAGACCAAATCTACATCTGATTAGTGTACATGAAAGTGACTGGGAGAGTGGAATCAACTTGGAAAACACTCTACAGGATATTATCCAGGAGAACTTCCCCAATCTAGCAAGGCAGGCCAATATTCAAATTCAGGAAATACAGAGAACACCACAAATACTTCTCGAGAAGACCAACTCCAAGACACATAATTGTCAGATTCACCAAAGTTGAAATGAAGGAAAAAATGTTAAGGGCAGCCAGAGAGAAAGGTCAGGTTACCCACAAAGGGAAGCCCATCAGACTAAGAGTGGCTCTCTTGGCAGAAACTCTGCAAGCCAGAAGAGAGTGGGGGTAAATATTCAACATCCTTAAAGAAAAGAATTTTCAACCCAGAATTTCATATCCAGCCAAACTAAGCTTCATAAGTGAAGGAGAAATAAAATACTTTACAGACAAGGAAATGCTGAGAGATTTTGTCACCTAGAAGAGCTCCTGAAGGAAGCACTAAACATGGAAAAGAACAATCGGTAGCAGCCACTGCAAAAACATGTCAAATTGTAAAGACCATTGAGGATATGAAGAAACTGCATCAACTAAAGGGCAAAATAACCAGCTAACATCATAATGGCAGGATCAAATTCACATATAACAATATTAACCTTAAATGTAAATGGGCTAAATGCTCCAATTAAAACACACAAACTGGCAAATTGGATAAAGAGTCAAGCCCCATCAGTATGCTGTATGCAGGAAACCCTTCTCACGTGCAGAGACACACATAGGCTCAAAATAAAGGGATGGAGGAAGAACCAACAAAAACCAAAAGAGACAAAGAAGGCCATTACATAGTGTTAAAGGGATCAATTCAACAAGAAGAGCTAACTACCCTAAATGTATATGCACCCAATACAGGAGAACCCAGATTCATAAAGCAAGTCCTCAGAGACCAATAAAGAGACTTAGACTCCCACACAATAATAATGGGAGACTTTAACACCCCACTGTCAACATTAGACAGATCAACGAGACAGAAAGTTAACAAGGATACCCAGGAATTGAACTCAGCTCTGCACCAAGCAGACCTAATAGACCCCTACAGAACTCTCCACCCCAAATCAACAGAATATACATTCTTTTCAGCACCACACCATACCTATTACAAAATTGACCACATAGTTGGAAGTAAAGCACTCCTCAGCAAACATAAAAGAATAGAAATTAACAAACTCTCTCTGAGACCACAGTGCAATCAAACTAGAGCTCAGGATTAAGAAACTCACTCAAAACCACCCAACTACATGGAAACAGAACAACATGCTCCTGAATGACTACTGGGTACATAATGAAATGAAGGCAGAAATAAAGATGTTCTTTGAAACCAACAAGAACAAAGACACAATATACCAGAATCTTAGGGACACATTCAAAGCAGTGTGTAGAGGGAAATTTATAGCACTAAATGCCCACAAGAAAAAGCAGGAAAGATCTAAAATTGACACCCTAACATCACAATTAAAAGAACTAGAGAAGCAAGAGCAAACACTTTCAAAAGCTAGCAGAAGGCAAGAAATAACTAAGATCAGAGTAGAACTGAAGGAAATATAGACTCAATAAACCCTTAAAAAAATCAATGAATCCAGGAGCTGGTTTTTTAAGAAGGTGAACAAAATTGATAGACCACTAGCAAGACTAATAAAGGAAAAAAGAGAGAAGAATCAAATAGATGCAATCAGAAATGATAAAGGGGATATCACCACCGATCCCACAGAAATACAAACTACATCAGAGAATACTATAAACACCTCTACACAAATATACTAGAAAATCTAGAAGAAACGGATAAATTCCTTGACACATACACTCTCCCAAGACTAAACCAGGAAGAAGTTGAATCTCTGAAGAGACCAATAACATGCTCTGAAATTGAGGCAATAATTAATAGTTTACCAATCAAAAAAAGTCCAGGACCAGATGGATTCACAGCCAAATTCTACCAGAGGTACAAGGAGGAGCTGGTACCATTCCTTCTGAAACTATTCCAATCAACAGAAAAAGAGGCAATCCTCCCTAACTCATTTTATGAGACCAGCGTCATCCTGATACCAAAACCTGGCAGAGACACAACAAAAAAAGAGAATTTTAGACCAATATCCCTGAAGAACATCGATTCAAAAATCCTCGATAAAATACTGGCAAACCGAATCCAGCAGCACATCAAAAAGCTATCCACCATGATCAAGTGGGCTTCATCCCTGGGACGCAAGCCTGGTTCAACATATGCAAATCAATAAACATAACGCAACATATAAACAGAAACAATGACAAAAACCACATGATTATCTCAATAGATGCAGAAAAGGCCTTTGGGAAAATTCAACAACGCTTCATGGTAAAAACTCTCAATTAACTAGGTATTCATGGGATGTATCTCAAAATAATAAGAGCTATCTATGACAAACCCACAGTCAATATCATACTGAATGGGCAAAAACTGGAAGCATTCCCTTTGAAAACTGGGACAAGACAGTTTTCACGACTCCTATTCAACATAGTGTTGGAAGTTCTGGCCAGAGCATTCAGGCAGGAGAAGGAAATAAATGGTATTCAATTAGGAAAAGAGGAAGTGAAATTTTCCCTGTTTGCAGATGACATGATTGCATATCTAGAAAACCCCATCATCTCAGCCCAAAATCTCCTTAAGCTGATAGGCAATTTAAGCAAAGTCTCAGGATACAAAATCAATGTGCAAAAGTCACAAGCATTCTTATACACCAGTAACAGACAAACAGAGAGCCAAATCATGAGTGAACTCCCATTCACAATTGCTTCAAAGAGAATATAATACCTAGGAATCCAACTTACAAAGGAAGTGATGGACCTCTTCAAGGAGAACTACAAACCACTGCTCAATGAAATAAAAGAGGATACAAAGAAATGGAAGAACTTCCCATGCTCATGGGTAGGAAGAATCAATATCGTGAAAATGGCCATACTGCCCAAGGTAATTTATAGATTCAATGCCATCCCTGTCAATCTACCAATGACTTTCTTCACAGAATTGGAAAATAACTACTTTAAAGTTCATATAGAACCAAAAAAGTGCCCACATTGCCAAGTCAATCCTAAGCCAAAAGAACAAAGCTGGAGGCATCATGCTACCTGACTTCAAAGTATATTACAAGGCTACAGTAACCAAAACAGCATGGTACTGTTACCAAAACAGAGATATAGACCAACAGAACAGAACAGAGCCCTGAGAAATAATGACGCATATCTGCAACTATCTGATCTTTGACAAACCTGACAAATACAAGAAATGGGGAAAGGATTCCTTATTTAGTAAATGGTGCTAGGAAAACTGGCTAGCCATATGTAGAAAGCTGAAACTGGATCCCTTCCTTACACCTTATACAAAAGTTAATTCAAGATGGATTAAAGACTTAAATGTTAGACCTAAAACCATAAAAACTCTAGAAGAAAACCAAGGCACAACCATTTAGGACATAGGCATGCACGAGGACTTCATGTCTAACACACCAAAGCAATGGCAACAAAAGCCAAAATTGACAAATGGGATCTAATTAAACTAAAAAGCTGCTGCACAGCAAAAGAAACTACCACCAGAGTGAACAGGCAACCTACAGAATGGGAGAAAATTTTTCCAATCTACTCAAATGACAAAGGGCTAATATCCAGAATCTACAATGAACTCAAACAAATTTACAAGAAAAAAACAAAAACCCCATCAAAAAGTGGGTGAAGGATATGAACAGACACTTTTCAAAAGAAGACATTTATGCAGCCAAAAGACACATGAAAAAATGTTCACCATCACTGGCCATCAGAGATATGCAAATCAAACCACAATGAGATACAATCTCACACCAGTTAGAATAGCGATCATTAAAAAGTCAGGAAACAACAGGTGTTGGAGAGGACATGGAGAAATAGGAACACTTTTACACTGTTGGTGGGACTGTAAACTAGTTCAACCATTGTGGAAGTCAGTGTGATTCCTCAGGGATCTAGAACTAGAAATATCATTTGACCCAGCCATACCATTACTGGGTATATACCCCAAGGATTATAAAACATGCTGCTATAAAGACACATGCACATGTACATTTATTGCAGCACTATTCACAATAGCAAAGACTTGGAACCAAGCCAAATGTCCAACAATGACAGACTAGATTAAGAAAATGTGGCACATATACACAGGGAATATTATGCAGCCATAAAAAAATGATGAGTTCATGTCCTTTATAGGGACATGGATGAAGCTGGAAACCATCATTCTCAGCAAACTATCACAAAGACAAAAAACCAAACACTGCATGTTCTCACTCATAGGTGGGAATTGAACAATGAGAACACATGGACAAAGGAAGGGGAACATCAGACACTGGGGCCTGTAGTGGGGTGGGAGGAGTGGGGAGGGATACCATTAGGAGATATACCTAATGTTAAATGACGAGTTAATGGGTGCAGCACACCAACATGACACATGTATACATATGTAACAAACCTGCATATTGTACACATGTACCCTAAAACTTAAAGTATAATAATAAGAAATTCTAACTATTTATTTAATATCAGCATGCAGTCAGATACAGCTTTAAACTATTGGTCCTCATCCCCAGGGCTATCTGATACACTTTCTAAATGTTCTTGAATGTACACACAGAAGTTAGTCTTAATTATTTTGCAAGGTTCCCATAATCAATCATAAGTAAATATGATGAGAAGTTAGGCAGAAAAATAAATAATATGTTGTCAATCCTGTCTAGTTTCTGAGAATAAATCAGGTTACATAACTGCCTCATTCAAAAGGTAGCATTGCAAATGAGCTAGTAATCTGCATGTGAAGAAGGCCCTCAAATTTTAATAAGAGCCATTTCTATGGAAATAAAAGAAATACATAGTTTAACATTTGACCAATTTATTAAGTTGTCAAACTAAAAGCATTATTATTTACAGAGAAGGAATATAGTGGTGGTATAATACTTTTTTTGCCTCTTTTAAGAGGAATAGTGTAGGAGTGTTTTCACGGAGACCAAATCAGAAACACAGACACACATAAACACGCACACACACGTGCGCGCACACACACACATCTATATATATATATATGCACTAACTTGGTAAGTTTAGCCCAAGAAGCACATAGCATTCAGCCTAAATGGTGGAAAGTAATAAAAACTCAGAAACAGTGGGCAGTACAAGAATCTAACAGCTTGTGTACTGGAGTTTTTAAATTATCATACTCTCTCAAGTTATGCTTCTTTTATTATTATTATTAGCTTTATATATTATTTTTTATTTTAATTATCCTCTTTCAAGTTCCTGTATTTATAAAGACAAATAATAGCAAGGGCAAGTTGTTCAAAAATTTAGTTCTTTTTTTATTCTCTTTGCCTGAGTATTTGCATTGAATGATACAATGAAAGTTATTTGTTATAAAGGCTCCTCTTAAATTGGCTTTGCTGGAACTTTGTTTAATTAGGATTATAGATTAGACTTTCCAAAGCCTTGACCTAAGCCAATGTTTTGTGTGTGCCTGCATATATTTGTGTTAATTGGATAAACTTCTCTACTGAGGGTCCCAGGATAATTTGGAGATCCTGGGCCTGTCAGAAAAGTACATGATTTAATCATCAGAGTTCAGGGAGCCTGTAGAGGAATCCCATAAACAAAAAATAGAGATAGATTTTCCAATGGTCTTTTAAAAAGCTGTATAAGTCAACTTTGATTTTTAAAGCAGTCTCTTTATATCTGAAAGTATGCCATTGCAGAAAAAAACTTTGGTAAGATAACAACTGCTTATAACGGCATTTTATAAGTCTAATGGAATGTATGCAAATAATTACACTGCTACATATTAAGTATAGTTAAATATAGTCCTCATTTTCTGGGGGTATCTGGTAGAGACAGAAAAAGACACTCCAACTTTTCTCGAAGTAATCAATCTTATTCAACTTTTATAAATTGCAAATAGCTTAAAAGAAAAAATATCATTGAAAACAAACCAAGAATAATAAACTAATTCAACAAAAAGTTATGAGAGTTTAGTATAATATTCTGTTAGTTTTGTCAATAAAATTTACTCTCTTTCTGATTAACATTGAATCAATAATCCTCAGGTATATTTTAGTTCTCCATGACAGAACAGTCCTGAAAGCTTTTGGCTCCATTCCAATGGCACAATTCTAACGTTATCAGGGACCCATTCTTAACTTATCAGGAACACATTCTTTAGTATACTCCTTAGAGTTTTGTAGCTGTTTACATACTGCCCTATAAAAAATCAAAGAAAAGGAGTGATTGTTGATGATAAAATTGTTAAAATCTCTATGATTATAAACAAAATCAACTATAAGTCTCGGTTACATATATGGCATACAAATATTTTGAATAATATTTGTAATTACAACTGATAACATATACTAAGAACAATTATAGGACACATAGTAATGGGAAATCTGTATGAATATAGCTCAGAGAAGCTTAAGCAGCATTATATTGCTATAGTTCACAATACTTTCTATATACAATTAATATACCAGATAAGCAAAATATGCCTTTTTTGGACTTCAGGCTACCTCATATTCAGAAAACGAATAAATAGATCAATAAGAGGCTTGATTTAGAATATGACTTTTAAAGCTTTTTAAATATATACATTTTAAACATTTGATGTTACAAAACCCAGAAAAAGATATCTTAAATACCTAAGAAAAGTTTTTACTTTGTTATATGGTAGACATATTTTTTTTGAAGGGAAAAACTGGTCAAATAAAATAATGTGAGAGAGAGAATCTGTATTTCTTCCCATTTTCTTTATCATTTATCCAAAGGAAAACAAAATTATTATCTTTTACTATATCATAAATATCCAGTTTAAAAAAGTAAGCAAAATTTTACATTTGCCTTAGTTTACTACGTTAAACTTGATTGATAGTATAACCTTATAAACAAATGTATTCAGCATTCTTTAGTTTGCTTATAAAGTAAGATTCTATAAACCTACGATAATTTTTTATAACTTCTGTGGAACAGTTGACAATCTCTGTAAAAACAACTTTAAAGAAATTTAAAAAAAAGTGTTTTAAAAGTTTCCTTATAAAAACCAAAGGCAAAAATTTTGGTTGCATATTACTGTAATTGTATTGTAAGGTTTTATATAAAGAAAAATCATTAAAGCCCCTTAACTTCAGGAAAACTGCTCCCAGCCACAGAATTTTTTTATTAATAAAAATTTGTTACAAAATTTTTTGTAACTGTAAAGCCAGATTTTACAAGCAGATTATGAGAAAGAAAGAAAAGAAAGGAAAACACCTAAAGTGACCAAAAGTTAAGTATAAACTATGGGGTCACTTTCTGTAGTATTTTTGTTTACTTACCTCAAGAATCAATATATAAAAATTAGGTCAGCTGTTAATATTTAGTTCAATTTTTGAAAGGAAAAAATTGGGGACTCTCAGTGTTCCAGGTAGATGACTTTCCCAGATAGGAGGGTGAAACAAGAGGTGCAGCGTGTAGAAGAAATCAGTGTTCATACAGAAATTTATGCATTCACAAATTCAAATAAACAGTGTGCTTCAAAATGAGTCCCAAATCAATAGTTTGGATAGGTCCTTGAAACCTCTTCCCAAGCTCTGAATTGCTCCATGGACAGCTGAGTCTCAGTCAAGCAAAGAGCTTCAGTGGTGCTGCACTTGACAATAAATACAAAGGCATAAAACATTCAAATAGCTTTTTGAGGAACCTATAGTCAAAAATTGCAGGACCATAGTGACACTCTAAGAGAGGCAGAAGGTGGCCAAATATTTATTGAGATCATATAGCTTACTTCCAAATGTAGCCATCTTTTTAGAGGTCACTTTCTTCTTTAGAAGTGTGTTGAAGGAAGTAAGGTAAAGAGGAGGTTTGCCAAACCAGAAACCATTTCTGTCAGTTGTTGAGAATTTTCTGAAAATTCTCATCAAAGAGTCAGCCAGGCATAAGCAGCTGTCACTCCTAGGTGCCCTCATTTTTGTTCAATAAAGTAATATGTCAGGTGCAGAGTAATCCACAGTGTGCAGCTCTTCTGCATATGGGCTACAGCTATTGTGATTAGAATGCAGATTCAGTCACTTTCTGCTTGCAGAGTCAAATTGACAAGAGTGATATACAGAAACTCTAGTAAACAGCAAGTTCTGCTTTAATTTCAAAACTAGCCTAGAGGAATAAGTGCAGGCTTTCTGTCTTTTTAGGGTATGATTTTACATTTGGAACAGAAAGGGAGTACTTTTAAAAGGGGCCTAACCTAATGGTCATTCAGATGAGGGAAGGGGGAAGGGAGCAGGTGGGGTTTATACCGGCTAGCCTACTGCCTTATCTACAGAGCAATTTACCAGGAGATTGTTGGCATTTTCCTAAGTCGGGATACTTCTGGTGATAAACTGACTGATATTTTTTAACGTATTCTGCTCATGGGAGTGTGTTTCATAGAAATTTAGTGTTTTATCTTCAGACAGTCTCCTGGTAGGTAAGAGTTCTTTTTAGGAACTGTAAGAGAGTAACTAGCCCTGTAGAAATCATCTACTGAAAGGTAGATAAAAGGCTACATCTGCCTTTCTAAATGGCCAACTAGGAAGTGGAGAACTAAAGAAATAAGAAAATAAGAGAAAGAAAAAAATACACCATCTCAGCAAAATGTGAGTAGACTTCAAATTATACTACAAGGCTTTAGTTATCAAAACAGCATGATGCTGATATAAAAAAAATGGCACACAGAACAATGAAACTGAATACAGAACACAAAAACAAGGACAAATACTCACTGCCAATTCCTTATTGACAAAGCAAACAAAAATATAAATTGGGGAAAGGACACCCTATTCAACAAATGATGCTGGGAATACTGGCAAGCCACATATAGAAGAATAAAACTGGATCCCATCTCTCACCCCATGCAAAAATCAACTCAAGATGGATCAAAGACTCAAATCTAAGACCAAAAACTATAAACATTCTTGAAGATAACATCAGAAAAATCTTGTAGACATTGGCTTAGGCAAATAACTCATGATTAAGACCCAAAACCAAATGCAACCAAAACAAAACTAAATAAATGGGACCTAATTAAACTATTCCTCCACATCCTCTCCAGTATTTTTTTTCCTGACTTTAATGATCACCATTCTAACTGGCATAAGATGATATCTCATTGTGGTTTTGATTTGCAGTCCTCTAATGACAAGTAATGATGAGCTACAGCTTTGTCAGTCACACTAGTTTTATTATTTTCTCCCGAAAATATCAGAGACTTTGAAGGAGAACATTATAAGCCTAACACAATCCAAGAAATTCTGTGGTTTTGCTTCTTGAAATGCACAAAACAACACCACAGAGATAGAAGGAATGCTAAGTATCAGCCATTCATGACACAACCAGAGAAATTTCATCAGACTTCAAAGAAAAGATAAAAAATCAGAGACCTAGAAATTGCCTGAAATGTAATTAACAATATGTCAAAAAGAACAAAGAAAACCTACAGCTGTGTAATATATTCATGGAATTTAAAATATCAATACAAAATTGCAACAGCATAACTAATCTGGTAGAAGAATTAAATGGCCATCTCAAATACAGTTTATATGAATTTAACCAATTAGAAGAACAACAATAAACATGGAAAAATGAAATAACCATGTCTATTAATGGATGCCTTAATTTGTAAAAATACACCAATTATAAAAGTACACAAAAGATAAGAAAGAGACAAAGAAGCAGAAAAGTTATCAGAATTTTTATTGTTCACATTCCAAAGTTTAGAAAAAATATGAACTCACAGATTTAGAAACTCAATGATCATATCAAGATTAATTTTAAAAGTTAATAGTCCTAGATGCATTTTAATCAAGTTATAAAAAGTAAAATTTAAAAAGTAATGTTAAATCTGTCAGTGGGAAAACTCATCCCACATAAGTGAGCTCTATCTGGGTAATTCCCAGTATTTCTAACAGGATTCTACAAAGACAGGAGATAATGTGATGCCATATTAAAAGTGCTAAGATAAAATTTAAAATACTGCTACCTAAGAGTAGTCTAGACTGCAAAGCTCTTCCTCGGATATGAAAAAAGGCACAAATAGATTTTTAAGTGAACGTCTTAAGCCTTTCTTAAAAGTCAATCTGTTAGATAATTAACTTCCAGATTCATTTTTTTTCTCTTGAAAATTATTTGTGTCTCACTCTTCAAAAGAAGACATTTATGCAGCCAAAAAACATAGGACAAAAGCTCATCATTACTGGTCATTAGAGAAAGGCAAATCAAAACCACAATGAGATACCACCTCATGCCAGTTAAATGGCTATCATTAAAGTCAGGAAAAAACAGATGCTGGAGAGGATGTGGAGAAACAAGAACGCTTTTACACGTTGGCGGGAATGTAAATTAATTCAACCATTATGGAAGACAGTGTGGTGATTTCTCCAGGATTTAGAATCAGAAAAACCATTTGACAGAGCAATCCCATTAATGGGTATATACCCAAAGGAATATAAATCATTCTACTATAAAGACACATGAACATGTATGTTTATTGAGGCATTGTTCACAATAGCAAAGACTTGGAACCAACCCAAATGCCCATCAAAGATAGACTGGATAAAGGAAATGTGGCACATATACACCATGGAATACTATGCAGCCATAAAAAAGGATGAGTTCATGTTCTTTTCAGAGACATGGATGAAGCTGGAAACCATCATTCTCAGCTAACTAACACAGGAACAGAAAACCAAACACTGCACATTCTCACTCAGAAGTGGGAATTGAACGATGAGAACACATGGACACAGGGAGGGGAACATTATACATGGGGGCCTGTTGCGGGGGTAGGGGACTAGGGGTAAGATAGCATTAGGAGAAATACCATCATCTACCTAATGTAGATGATGCGTTGATGGGTGTAGCAAACCACCATAGCACGTTTATCTATGTAGCAAACCTGCTCATTCTGCACATGTATCCCAGAACTTAAAGTATATATATATAAATTCTCCAAAAAATAAAAAATAAAAATTTTAAGAAAGCACAACACACCAGACAATCCCTTCTACGGCTGCTAGGATGATTATAATATAACAATGCTTATATGCTAAAGATTGTATGAACCAAGCCAAGCAAATTAGAGAGATCAAAAATTAAGCCAGGTGAATAGCTTACCTATGGTAATCAAATAGCCTATTTAATCTTCTGTAACTGTGTTTCTATAAGACTCAATCTATCCAGGTGCAAAAGTAGTGTCAACACTGATAAGCATCTACTTTCATATAGGTACATCTGCTGTCTTTTGATTACCATTTACTTTGAATATTTTTAATCCTTTCACCCTCATATTTTGGTGTACTGAAATCTAAAGATAGCTATTATCTTGGCATCAAATTATTGGGTTTTTTTCCTTTTTTATTTTACTTATTTTTATTTTTTACCACTTCTATTACATTAGGTCTTTTGGTTCAAAAAATAAAATCCAGGTACACTTAATTATTTATTGTTAACAACTTGCTACAGCAATTTTATTTTTAAATTTTGCCTGACTTTTGCAGTTCTTGTTTTGCTTTATTCCAATTTTACTTCCTTGATTTTGTTTTTGCTGTTGTCTAATTCCAGTTGTATACCGTATCTATTTTTTTTGTTGCTTTTGTATATGTAATGCAGAATTTTTTGTGATAACAAGGAATATTACCTAAAATGTCTTGTAATATTCTAATTTAAGAAGATATTATTTTATTTGAAGATTAACATGGTTTTTACATCCCCTCACACATTTTATAGTATTAATGTTCTACTATATATCAATTTATATTCAGAATCCATTGAGCAATTCTTTACAGGTGTATCTTATTGAAACTTTTTAAATTCTCATCCCAGAGTTACTAGTATTTAAATTAGATAATAATTATTTACTGTAGGTTTTCCTATATTATATTTTTTCCAAAAAATATTATAATTTCATGTTTTTTTATCATTGATTTGTTTCAAACAGTAAAACTGGTTAGGAAATTATTGTAAAGATATTCACAAGGAGATGAACATGCACAACTTTTTTTCTCTTTAAATGTGCTTTTTAAATATCAAACAAAGAGCTTTTCAGGTTAGAGTATTCTGAGCTAGCAATTCCTTATTTCTTTAGCACCTTCAATATGTCATTTCATTTTCTCCTTACTTGGTGATTTCTTTTATAAAGTGAGGTGATAACCTAATAGAAGATAAGTGATATGTAGCAAGTTTCTCCTATAGCTGTTTTACATTTATTTTTATCTTTTACTGTTTACAATTTCATTATAATGCTCCTTGGAGTATAAGATTTTTTATCTTGTTTTTTTTGAGTTTCATGAATTTCTGAGTTAATATTTCTCTTAGCATTTTAGATGGTTTGAACAGTATATTTCAATGCATTTTCTGCTTTTTTGTCTTTCTCTTCTGTCTTGGGTATTTCATAATTTGTCTTTTCATACAATTGACAGTAACCTCCCCACAACACTCTTACTTTAATTATTTTCCAAATGCTTTTGTTATTGTTGTTGGTGTTTCAATTGGCTGAACAAACCTGGAGAACAGTTTAGGCCACAAGGACTGCAAGTCTTTGGTGAGCCCAAGTGCTGGCTTGGTCCCAGAGACAGTGGACTGGAGGGAACATGCAACCTGCTGAGACACCAGCTGGGACAGTCAAGGATGTGCTGGCATCACCCCTCCACTAACCCTAGGCTGCACAGCTCATCGCTTTAAAAAAGACCCCTTCACTCCACTTATGGAGAGGCGAGGGGAAGAGTGGGGAGGATTGTCTTCTATGTTGGATACCAGCTCAGCCACAGCAGGATAGGATATGGGTCAGTCATGAGGCCCCCATTCCAGACCCCAGCTCCTGAACACATCCTGGGCTGGAAGGAAACCTGTTGCTTTCAAGGGAAGAACCCATTCCTGGCAGCATTCATCACCTGCTACCTGAAGAGCCCTTGGACCTTGATTAACCATCAGCAAGATCCAGGTACTACACTGAAGGTGTTGGGTGAAACTGGGAAACTCAGCACATTCCCAGCTGTCATGGCTACTGGCTGAAACCCCTTCCAGTTAAGAAAAGCAGAGGGAAAAGCAAAAGGGACTTTGTTGTATATATCAGATATCAGCTTAACCACAGGAGATTAGAGCACCAAGTAGGCTCTTGGGTCTCTCATTCTAAGACTTGTCTATTGAATGGAATTTCTAGACCTTCCTTGGGCCAGAGGGATGCCCACAGCCCAGAAGGTTAAGTCTCAGGCCAGGAAGCATTCACTAAGAATTGATTAAGAAGCCCTTGTGCCTGAAGGGTAAATTGATGGTAGGCTGGCAATACTCTCCATGGGTGTTTGGTCATGATAGCTACAAGGTGAGACTCCTCTGTCTTTGCAAATGGGAGAGAATACTAGGAAGGACTGTGTCTAATAGTTTGAGTTTCAGCTAAGCCATAGTGCTGTAGAACACTAAGTAGACATCTAAGGTTTTTGACTAGTCTCTAACTTCTGGAATGTCCCTCTGGACATGGCTGGGGACTGAGGAACTAGCTACCCTAATAGGAAGGACTTGTCTTGCAACTAGGTCTGGCTGGCTTTTCAACCTGCTTACTGTAGACCCCAAGGGACTTGAGCAACCATAGGCCATAGTCAGAGTGTGGTTACAGCAGCCCTTGGGTGAGACACAGTATTGTGCTGGTCTGACGTCTGATGCAGAGCAGTCCTGGTAGTGGAGGCCACAGGGGTGCTTCTTTTACACCACCAGAAGCTCTGGGTGGCTTAGAACAAAGAGAGACTGTTCATTTGGGAGAACGTAAGAAAGATAACAAGTGTATCTGCCTGGTAATCCAGAGAATTCTTCCAGAACTTGTGCAAGACCATCAAGGCGGCACCTCTATGAGTCTGCAAAACCACCGTGTTACTGGGTTTGGGGAGCCCCCTAAAGCAGATACAGTTCAGATCATAACAGCCAATTCCTTTAAAATATCTGAAAAGCCTCCTCAAAGAAAGAGGGGTACAAATAGACTCAGAGGAAGAAGGCTATTATAGATACTGAACTCTTCCATGCCCAAACACCAACAAATCTTTATAAATATTAACAACATTCAGGAAAACATGACCTCATTAAATGAACTAAACAAAGCACCAGTGACCAATTCTGAAGAAACAGAGCTATGTGAGGGTTCAAACAGAGAATTCAAAATTGCGGTTTTGAGGAAACAAAGATATTGAGGAAAACACACATATAAAATCATAATTCTATCAGATAAATTTAACAGAATAGAATAAATATAAGAGAATGGAATAAAAAAGAGTCAAGCAGAAATTCTGGATCTGTAAAATACAGTCGAAATGTGGGAGGATACCTCAGAGTCTCTTAATAGCAGGATTGATTAAGAAGAAGAAAGAATTAGTGAGCTTGAAAACACATTATTTGAAAATACATTCAGAGAAAACAACAATAACAAAAAACAATATCAGCGAAAATAGATTTTTAGACAAAAACTATCAAAAGAGATAAAGAAGGATTCTATATAATAATAAAGTTGTCAATTCAGAAAAATGACGTGGCAATTTTAATTATATATGTGCAAACACTGGAGCACCCAGATACACAAAGCAAATATTATTAGAGATAAAGAAAGAGATAAGCCCTGATACAATAATACCTGGAGACTTTAACATCGCACTTTCAGCATTGGACAGATCTTTCAGACAGAAAACCAACAAACATTGAATTTAATCTTCACTAGATACAGAATGAATCTAATAGATATTTACAGAACATTTCATCCAGTGGCTGCTGAATACATGTTTTTTTCTAAGCATATGGAGCATTCTCAAGCATAAAGTGTTTGTTGGATAAACAGTTTTAAAACATGCAATAAATGAAATCATGTCAAGCATCTTCTGAATATAGTAAGATTGGATTACAATGTAATAACAAGATAAATTTTGGAAATTATACAAATACTTGGACATTCATCAATGTGCTGCTGAATGACAAGTGGGTCAATAAAATTAGTAAAAGAAATAATATCATGGAGCACAAATAAATAATATTGAAAAAATAAAGACCAATGAAACAACATTTTTTTGTAAAGTTTAATGCAATTGACAAACCATTAGCTAGACCAGCTAAGAAAAAAAGTGAAAACATAAATAAATAAAATCAGTGATGAAAAAGGAAACATTATAGATTACTGCAGAAATTCAAAGGATCACTAGAGGCTACTATGAGCAAATATATGCCAAAAATTAAGAAAATCTTAAAGAAACAGACAAATTATTAAACATATATTACTTACCAGGATTGAGCCATGAAAAAATTCAAAACATTATCAGACCAATAACAAGTGACAGGATTGAAGCTGTAATAAAAATTCTTCAAGTAAAGAAAAGCCCAGGACCCAATGGCTTTGCAGCTTAATTTTACCAAACATATTAAAAGTACTGATCCCAGTTCTACTCAAACTATTCCAGAAAACACAGGTGGATACACTTTCAAACTAATTCTATAAGGTTAGTTGTACCCTGGCACTAAAAGCAAAGACACATAACCCCACAAAAAATCTTACACACCAATATATCTGATAAATATGCAAAAATCTTCAATAAAATACTAGCAAACCAAATGTAATAATACATTAAAAGGGTAATTCATCATGACGAATTGGAACTCATTTCTGGGATTCAAGGATAGTTCAGCATATGCAAATCAATCAATGTAATACATCATATCAACAGAATGAAGAGCAAAAATTATTTGTTCATTTCAATTGATGCCATAAAAGCATTTGATAAAATTCAACATATCTTCAGATAAAAATTCTAAGAAGAACTGAGGATTGAAGGAACATACTTCCACATAATAAAAACTATATATAACAGAACGACAGTTCATATTATCCTTAATGGTGTAAAACTGGAAGTCTTTCCTCTATCCATTATAATTATTAATGGCTAATTGCCACTGTCCTGACTGAAGATTTCTTTGGGTCTCTTATTTTGTGTTCTAGTAAACACAGTTGTTCAGGAAAATTAAAAGTTTTCTATTCATTTTGTTTTGGAATATTCTGCTCACCCTTCTTCTTAATAACTTGACACTGTTTTTGTTGCAGTTTTCTTATATGATGATAACTATCTTCCATTCAAAATAGATGTTTTTCTTGACTTTACATAGTTCTCCCCAAATAATATTTTCTCCTGTCCCAAAATTTTAACACATTGCATGTATGCCCTTACTTCGCTTCCACTGCCTCCTCTCAATATTATGTATGTAATAAAATGTCATCTCTGCTTAAGTAACTTAATCCAAACCATTACACCTTTTCTGAGTTCCTCTGTCCCAGTTTGCTCAATCTTGCCTGTGTTTCTTCCACCTAGTTCTGAATAACATGCTGTATTTCCTCCATTACTTCCAGATCTTACACATAAATATATAAATGGGCTAAAGATTGCTTCAGTATACTGGTGTCCAAATTGTTTATTTTTGATGGTGGACTAAGAGCTGTTAGCTAAAACCCCACTGGATTGAGAAAGAAATTTCCATACATTCACGTTTTTTTTGGAGACAGAGGCTTGCTCTGTCACCCAGGCTGGAGTGCAGTGACACTATCTTGGCTCACTGCAAGTTCCGCCTCCCAGGTTCACACCATTCTCCTGCCTCAGCCTCCCCAGTAGCTGGGACTACAGGCACCCACGACCACACCTGGCTAATTTTTTGTATTTTTTAGTAGAGATGGGGTTTCACTGTGTTAGCCAGGATGGTCTTGATCTCCTGACCTCGTGATTCAGCCACCTTGGCTTCCCAAAGTGCTGGGATTACAGGTGTGAGCCACCCCACCTGGCCAACATCCAAGTATTCTTAAGTAACCATAATTACTACACTTTAGTCATTCAATTTTTTAGGTGTGTAATCTTGCAAATTATTGCACAGTAGTTGCTGCTGATAAAAGCAAAGTCTTAATTAAACATGCCCAAACAAGTTCTCAACTCAAGGCCTTTGAAACTATTATTTTTGTAGGCATGTGGGACAACATAAGTGAGATATGCTTCCACTTGGACCCTCATTTGACCCAGAAATTACCTTATTCAACATCCTAATTGGAAAACCTGTACCTAAATTCTCTGTACATCTCATCTGTTAACTGGATCATATGGTAGGTCAATTTTTAGTTTTTAAAAGAAACTCCAAACTGATCTGTACAGTGGTTGTATTAATTTACATTTTGACCAACAGTGTACAAGGGTTTCCTTTTCTCCACATCCTTACTAGCATCTGTTACTGCGTATCTTTGGATATAAGGCATTTTAAATGGGGTGATACCTTATTGTCATTTTGATTTGAATTTGTCTGATTATCAGTGATGCTCAGCACCTTTTTCTATGCATGTATGCTCTCTATATATCTGCTTTTAAGTAATACCTATTTAGGACAGGCACAGTAGCTCATGCCTGTAATCACAGCATTTTGGGAAGCTAAGGTGGGCTGACCACATGAGGTCAGGAATTCAAGAGCAGCCCAGCCAAAATGGTGAAACCTCATTTCTACTAAAAATAAAAATTAGCTGGGCATTATGGCAGGTGTTTGAATGTCTCAGCTACTCAAGAGGCTGAGGAAAGAGAATCACTTGAACCCCGGAAGCAGAGGTTGTAGTGAGCTGAGATTGCCCCACTGCATTCCAGCCTGGTGGACAAAAAAAGATTCTGTCATTAAAAAAAAAAGAAAAGAAAAAAGAGAAAAATAAAGTTTATTTAAATATTGTGCCAATCTTTTGATCAAATTTTTTTGTGTATAGAATTGATAGAATTGTTTGAGCTCTTTATATTTCCTGGTTATTAATTTTTTTTGTTGGATAGGTAGTTTAAAAATATTTTCTCCAATTTTGTGGGTTATCTCTTCACTTTGTCGATTGTATCCTTTGCTATAAAGAAGCTTTTTAACTTGTGACCCCATTTGTCCATTTTTTTTCCCTCATAATTGCTTGAGCTTGCAGGGTATAGCTCAAGAGATGTTTGCCCAGACCTATGTCCTAGAGAAGTTCCCCAATGTGTTCTTATGCTAGTTTCATAGGTTTAGATCTTACATTTAAGGCTTTAATCCATTTTATTTTGATTTTTTCTTACGGCAAGAGATGTGGGACTGGTTTTATTCCTTTGCATGTGCATATCCAGTTTCTTGGCACTATTTATTTAAGAGACTGTATTTTCCCTAGTGTATGTTCTTGGCACCTTTGTTGAAAATTAGTATTCTGTAGGTATGAAGATTTGCTTCTCAAGTCTCTATTTTGTTCCATTGGTCTATGTGTCCATGTTTATACCAGTGCAATGGTGTTTTAGCTAGTATAATTCTGTAGCATAATTTAAAGTTAGGTAATGCTGTTCCTCCAGTTTTGTTCTTTCTGCTTAGGATGGCTTTGGTTATTCTGGGTCTTTGTAGTTCCAACTAAATTTTTGGATTTTTAAGATTCTACTTCTGTGAAGAATGTTGTTGGTATTTCTATAGGGATTGCATTAACTGTTTGGATTGCTTTGGGTAGTATGAAGATTTTAACAATATTAATTCTTCCAAACCATGAACATGAAATATTTTTCCATTTTTTTGTGTCCTTTTCAATTTTTTTTATCAATGTTTTGTACCTTTTATTATAGAGATACTTTATAACTCTGGGAAAGTTAATTCCTAGGTATTTAATTTTATGTGTGGCTATTGTAAATGGGATTACTTTTTATTTCTTTTCACATTGTTCATTGTTGGCATATAGAAATGCTACTGATTTTGCATGTTGATTTTGTATCTGACAACTTTACTGAATTTGTTTACCATTTCTCATAGTTTACTTGTCAAGTGTTTAGGTTTTACTACATATAAAATCACATTATCAGAAAATAAAAATAACTTGACTTCTTTAAAATCTGAGTACCCTTTATATTTTTCTCTTGTCTTGTTGCTCTGGCTAAAACTGACAGTACTAAGTTGAATAACAGTGGTAACAGTGGGAACTCTTGTTATGTCCCGGATCTTAGTATAATACAAGCTGTGGATCTGTCATATATGGCTTTTATGTTGAGGTATGTTCCTTCAATCTCTAATGTCTTTGAGGATTTTTATCATGAATATGTTTATTTTATAAAATGCTTCTTTAGTATCAATTGAAATGATCATACGCTTTTTACTCTTTACTCTGTTAATATGATGTATCATGTTGATTGATTTGTGTACATTGAGCTGTCCTTGTATCACTGGAATAAATACCACTTGGTCTTGACAAATGATTTTTCTAATATATTGTTGTATTTGGTTTCCTAGTGTTTTGTTGAGAATTTTTGCATCAATATTTATTAGAGGTATTGCCCCATGGTTTTTTATTTTTGATGTGTCATTGTCTGTTTCTGTGTTAGCATAATACTGGTGTTGAGGAATTAGTTTGAAAGTATTTCCTTCTTCTCTATTTTTCAGAATAGTGTGAACAGAATTGGTATTAGTTCTTCATTAAATGTTCAGTGAAATTTAGCAGTGAAGCTACCAGGACCCGAGCTTTTTTTACTGGAATATTTTTTTTTTATTATGGCTTCAATCGCACCATTTATTATTAGTCCATTTAGATTTAAAATTTCTTACTAAGTCAATATTGTTAACTTTGAATGTATCTAGCAATTTGTCAGTTTCTTCCAGATTTTTGAATTTATTAATATATACTTGCTTATACTACTCACTAATAATGCTTTGAATTTCTATAGTATCAGTTGTAATTCATTCTTTTATATATAGCTGGTGCTATTTACTTTGAACTCTTTTTTCCTTAGTCTGACTAAAGGTTTTTCAATCTTAAACTAAAAACTTTGTATTTATCTTTTTCATTGCTTTCTATTTTCATTTTTATTTATTTATTTGTGTTCTAATCTTTATCACTTTATTTCTTCTTCTAATTTTGGCTTAGATTTGCTATGCTTTCCTAGTATTTCAAGATGTATCATCAGATTATTTGAAGTGTTTTTGTTTTTTGATGTAGGTGCTCATAGTAATAAACTTTCCTCTGAGTACTGCTTTTGCTGAATCTCACAGGGTTTGGTAGATTGTGTTTTCATTATCATTTGTTTCAAAAAAGTTTTCAATCTTCTTCTGAATCTCTTCATTGACCCACCTGTCATTTAGAAGCATATTATTTAATTTTCAGTTATTTGTATAGTTTCAAAAAATTACTTGTTATTAATTTCTAGTTTTATTCCATTGATGAGAAGATGCTTCATATAATTTCAATTTTTTAAAATGTTTTGAGACATGATTTGCTACCTAAGGTATAGTCTATCCTTGAGAATGATCCATGTGCTGAGTAAAAGGATATATATTCTGAAGCTCTTAGATAAAATTATCTCTAAATAACTATTAAATTTATTTGGTCTATAGTGGAGATTAATTATGACTTTTTTGTGTTGTTGATTTTCTGTCTGGAAAATCTATCTAATCTTAACAGTGGGGGGCTGAGGTCTCCAGCTATTATTGTATTGGACCCTATTTCTCTCTGTGGCTGTAATGTATGTATTATATATCTCTTTGCTCCAGTGTTGGGTTCATATATCTTTAAAATTGTTGTATCTTCTTGCTGAACTTACTCCTTTATTATTACATAGTGAGCTTCTTTGTCTCATATAGTCTGGTCTTGAAATTTATTTTGTCTGGTAAAAGTAAGTGATTCTTGGACCTTTCTTGTTTCCAATGACATGAAATATATTTTCACATCACTTTATTTTCAGGCTATGTGTATTTTTATAGGCAAAGTGTATTTCTTATAGGCAACTGGCGAGTGTCTTATTTTTTCATACATTCAGCCAGTCTATTTTAATTGGATAGTTGAGTCCACTTACGTTCAATGATATTATTGATTATTATGAACTTATACCCTGCCATTTTGTGGTTTGTTTTCTGGGTTTTTGTATGTGTGTGTGTGTGTGTGTGTGTGTGTGTGTGTGTGTGTGTGTGTGTGTGTGGTCTTTTTCTCCTTTTTTCTTTTATTGCTGTCTTTCTCTAGCGAAGATAAGAGTCTCTGGTGATATGATTTAATTTTCTGCTTTTCATTTTTTGCATTTTTAAAATATTTTTTTGTTTGAGGTTACCATGAGACTTGCAAATGCTATCTTATAGCCCATTATTTCAACCTGATATCACTATTTGCATAAACTAACAAGCAAAAAGAAAACTAATAAAAACTCAGATTAACTTCAGCTTCCACCCAACTTTTCTTACTTGTTACTTCTATTTATATTTTACTCTACTGTGTCCTAAAATGTTGTGATTATTACTTTTTTTTTATTGCTTAGTTTTTCCACTTAGGATAACAGTAGTTTACACACTGTAGTTAGAGTGTTATTATATCCTGTGTTTTCCTCCATACTTATTTTTATCCATAAGTTTTGTACCTTCAGGTGATTGTTGATTGTTCCTTAACACTTTTTTCTTTCTGACTGAAGTACTCCCTTTAGGTTTGCTTGTAGAATGCATCTGGTATTCATGAAATCCCATAGCTTTTGTTTGCTGAAAAAGTCTTTACATCTTCTTTATATGTGAAAGATATTTTCACCAGCTATACTATTCTAGGATAAAAATGGATTCATTTGTCCTTTTTTTTCTTTCAGCACTTCAAATATGTCATGACATTCTTTCTTGTTCTGCAAAGTTTCCACTAACAAGTCTGCTGCCAGACATGTTGGAGCACCATTGTAGGTTTTTTTTTGTTTTTTTTTTTTTCTCTCTTGCTGCTTTTAAGATCCTTTATCCTTGACCTTTAGGAGTTTGATTATTAAATTCCCTGAAGTAGTCTTATTTGGGTTAAGTCGTCTTGGTGTCTATAACCTTCTTGTATTTGAATGTTGATTTCTTCCTGTAGGTTTGCAATAGTTTTCTGTTACTATTCCTTTGTATAAACTTTCTACCCCTATCTTTTTCTCTACCTCCTCTTTAAGGCCAATAACTCCAGAGGCTACTTTCTAGATGCTGTAGGCATGCTTTATTATTTTCTTTTTTTTCTCTGACTGTATATTTTCTGTTTGCCTATCTTCAAGCTCACTAAGTCTTTCTTCTGTTTCATCCATTATATTAATACATCTCTGATGTATTCTTCTGTATGCCAATTTTATCTTTTAGCTCTGGAATTTCTGCTTAATTATTTTAATACCCCATTATTCTCATGGAATTCTGAATTTATTCTCCGTGTTATATCAAATTTCTTTGCGTTTCAACACTGGTCTTCAAATTCTCTGTCTGAAATGTCATGTACTTCTGTTCCTCCAGGATTGATCCCCAGTACCTTATTGAGTTCATTTAGTTGGGCCACATTTTCCTGAATGGTACTGATGCTACTAGATATTCTAAGGTGCCTGGGTATTGAAGAGCTAGGTATCTATTGCCATCTTTACTATATGGGCTTATTTATAGTCTTCTTTTCTGAGATGCCTTTCCAGATATTGGAAAAGACTTGGATGTTGTGATCTACACTGTGTTTGCTTTAGGAAGTACCACAAGCCCCCAAACTCTGTGGCTCTTCTGGAGTTGTTAGACGTACTGCCTTAACAGTCTTGGACAGAATCTGGGAGACTTATCTGGATTACCAGACAGACAATTTTTTTCTCTTTACTTAGTTTCTCCCAAACATACAGAGTCTCTCCCTATGTTCTGAGTCATCTAAAGCTAGTCATGGAGTGACACAAGTACCCCTGTGGCCACCATCACTGTGATTATGCTGGGTCAGAACTGAAGCCAGCACAGTGCTGGGTCTCACCCAAGGCCTGCTATAACCACTCCCTGGTTACTGCCTATGTTAATTCAAGGGCTTGGGGCTCCACAATTAGCAGGTAGCAAAGGCAGGCCTTTGTTCTTCCATTTAGGGCAGAGGTTCCCCAGATCCCATGTGTGTCAGAAGTGCCATCGTGGAGTCAGGGCTGGATTCAAAAACCTTAGAAGTCTAGTTGGTACTCTACGGTATTGAGGCTGCCACCCAAACCACAAGTTGCAGTTGTTTCCACTCTTCCCTCTACTTTCCAAAGGCAGAAATTTCTTATCCCTTAGTTACCACTACTACCCTGCCAAAAGGACTACTGCCAGACTACCACAGATGTTTTCTTCAGGCTTGAGGTCTTTTAGGTTAGCTTTTGGTGAATGCTGCCTGGCACAGGATTCACCCTTCAGGGCAGTGGGCCTCTTTCTGGGTCAGGGAAGGTCCAGAAATGCCATCCAAGAGTCAAGTCTTGGAATCAGGTACTCTAAGAGCTCACTTTGTGCTTAGCACCTGTGGCAGTGTTGGTATCTAAAATGCAAGACGTCAAAGTCCCCTTTAAGTTTCTCTCCACTTTTCTAGAGTAGAAGTTGTTTTGCCCCATTGCCACTACAGTCTACAGTTGGTTATGTGCTACATTTCTCCTGAAGCTAGCAAGTCTCAGAGCATCACTCAAGGCCCTTAATGTAGTACCTGGGTATCACTGCTGTTCATTCAGAGCCCAAGGTTTCTTCAGTGAGCAGGCAATAAATGTTGACTGGACTGAGTCCTTTCCTTCAAGGCATCAGGTTCCCTTCCGGCCCAGAGTGTGTCAAGAAATGCCATCTGGGAGGTAAGACCAAAAATGGCAGGCTCAAAACTCTGTACGGTACCTTAACCTGCTGTGGCTGAACTGGTGTGCTAAGTGCAAAACAAAGTCTTTTGTATCCTTTCATGCTCTCCCCTTAAGTGAAGGATAGGAGCCTTTTTTGGAGCCATGAGCTAAAAAGCTTGGGGTTAGCACAGAGGTGATGCCAGGACTCTCTTTTCTGCCTTAGCTGGTGCCTCTTGTTCCAGTCAACTCCACTGTTTCTGGGCCTACTTCAGCAACAGGACTTACTTAAGAGATGCAGTGGCTTAGAATACTATTCAAGTTTACTTAGATACCAAGAGCATTTTGGCCCTCTATGGAGAGGTTTGTGGGCAGTCAAGTTCAGACCACTAGGACTGGAGATTCTCTTGTAGCTAGGGATGGTTTCAATGCTCCTTCTGTGGGTGGGCATCAGCTGACTTTGTTCTGATTTTCTTCTCTCCTTTAATAGGACAGCACTAAGTTCACTGCCTTGCAATTACTGTGTTGTTTCTACATCAGTGCCCACAGATACTTTCTGCCTACACAGTTGCTACCAGGGATTAGGGAGAGGTGGCTTTGGTGATTCAGGGATGGTTTTGTTGTTCTTGCTTGTTTGTTTTTTGTTTTTGTTTCAAATCTTCAGTGCCTCTTTCAGTGATATGAAGTTAAAATCAGTTACTGTAAGTGATCACCTGATTTTTTGGTTCTTACGAAGGTGTGTAGTTTTTTGTTTGTTTTTCTTTTATGTGTAGATAATTGGTAACTTGATGTTCTTGGGGTGAGGGGGAGGGCTGTAATCAGTGGAGCTTTCTATTTCCACCATTTTGTTTCTTTTCTCTCCAAATTTTTATTTATTGATTGAACTTTAAATTTTGTATATGCATAGTTTTCCAATATTTTTATTTGTTCCTGCATTTTTGGGATTTCTTTTACATCTAAGGAGTGTTTTATAATAATCATGTTTAATTCTGTTTCAGGAAATTCATTTTTGTAATTTTTTAAAAGATGTATTAATATTCTTTATTAGTTTTATTAATATTCTTTATCTGATTATATGTTTGCATTGAGTCTTACAGACTGGTTTAGGTTTGAAGTTTTTCTCTATTAGGCTTTTGTGCTGAAGATATTGCCTTTGGGATTACAGTTTTGTGAGTTCTAAGTAGGTCTCCTGGCTAAACTTGGTGCACAATAAAAACTGAATTTTACAGTCCAGTTACCAGGAGAACTAGTAGACTGGAGTTCTATCTGTATCCTGGGGAGATCTGTTCGTCTCCAAGGTCATGGACTTTGGGGGCTGGCACTAAGACAAATATTTTCTTCATGACTTGCAAACAGTGGGGTTTTCAGCATTTGTGCTGAAAGGTGTGGCTATCTATGATAGTTGGGAGAACTACTCTTATGTACAGACAGGTCCCTGGGCCTTTCATATTGCCTCATTCTTTTACTGAGCCATGCTAGAATTGACATACAATGTTATGTCATCAAAGACTAAGATATCTAAACCTTCTTCTGGCATCAAAATTAGGATATCTATTGAGATAATCATGTGGTTTTTATCTTTGGTTCTGTTTAAATGCTGGATTACATTTATTGATTTGCATATATTGAACCAGCCTTGCATCCCAGGGATGAAGCCCACTTGATCATGGTGGATAAGCTTTTTGATGTGCTGCTGGATTCGGTTTGCAAGTATTTTATTGAGGATTTTTGCATCAATGTTCATCAAGGATATTGGTCTAAAATACGCTTTTTTGGCTGTGTCTCTGCCCAGCTTTGGTATCAGGATGATGCTGGCCTCACAAAATGAGTTAGGGAGGATTCCCTGTTTTTCTATTGATTGGAATAGTTTCAGAAGGAATGGTACCAGTTCCTCCTTGTACCTCTGGTAGAATTCGGCTGTGAATCCATCTGGTCCTGGACTCTTTTTGGTTGGTAAGTAATTGATTATTGCCACAATTCCGCTCCTGTTATTGGTCTATTTAGAGATTCAACTTCTTCCTGGTTTAGTCCTGGGAGAGTGTATGTGTCGAGGAATTTATCCATTTCTTCTAGATTTTCTAGTTTATTTGCATAGAGGTGTTTGTAGTATTCTCTGATGGTAGTTTGTTTCTCTGTGGGATCGGTGGTGATATCCCCTTTATCATTTTTTATTGCATCTATTTGATTCTTCTCTCTTTTCTTCTTTATTAGTCTTGCTAGCAGTCTATCAATTTTGTTGATCCTTGCAACAAACCAGCTCCTGGATTCGTTAATTTTTTGAGGGGTTTTTTGTGTCTCTATTTCCTTCAGTTCTGCTCTGATTTTAGTTATTTCTTGCCTTCTGCTAGCTTTTGAATGTGTTTGCTCTTGCTTTTCTAGTTCTTTTAATTGTGATGTTAGGGTGTCAATTTTGGATCTTTCCTGCTTTCTCTTGTGGGCATTTAGTGCTATAAATTTCCCTCTACACACTGATTTGAATGTGTCCCAGAGATTCTGGTATGTTGTGTCTTTGTTCTCATCGGTTCAAAGAACATTTTTATTTCTGCCTTCATTTCATTATGTACCCAGTAGTCATTCAGGAGCAGGTTGTTCAGTTTCCATGTAGTTGAGTGGTTTTGAGTGAGATTCTTAATCCTGAGTTCTAGTTTGATTGCACTGTGGTCTGAGAGATAGTTTGTTATAATTTGTGTTCTTTTACATTTGCTGAGGAGAGCTTTACTTCCAACTATGTGGTCAATTTTGGAATAGGTGTGGTGAAGGCCTTTGACAAAATTCAACAACTCTTCATGCTAAAAACTCTCAATAAATTAGGTATTGATGGGATGTATCTCAAAATAATAAGAGCTATCTATGACAAACCCACAGCCAATATCATACTGAATGGGCAAAAACTGGAAACATTCCCTTTGAAAACTGGCACAAGACAGGGATGCCCTCTCTCACCACTCCTATTCAACATAGTGTTGGAAGTTCTGGCCAGGGCAATTAGGCAGGAGAAGGAAATAAAGGGTATTCAATTAGGAAAAGAGGAAGTCAAATTGTCCCTGTTTGCAGACGACATGATTGTATATGTAGAAAACCCCATTGTCTCAGCCCAAAATCTCCTTAAGCTGATAAGCAACTTCAGCAAAGTCTCAGGATACAAAATCAATGTACAAAAATTACAAGCATTCTTATACACCAACAACAGACAAACAGCCAAATCATGAGTGAACTCCCATTCACAATTGCTTCAAAGAGAATAAAATACCTAGGAATCCAACTTACAAGGGATGTGAAGGACCTCAAGGAGAACTACAAACCACTGCTCAAGGAAATAAAAAAGGATACAAACAAATGGAAGAACATTCCATGCTCATGGGTAAGAAGAATCAATATCGTCAAAATGGCCATACTGCCCAAAGTAATTTACAGATTCAATGCCATCCCCATCAAGCTACTAATGACTTTCTTCACAGAACTGGAAAAAAACTACTTTAAAGTTCATATGGAACCAAAAAAGAGCCCGCATTGCCAAGTCAATCCTGAGCCAAAAGAACAAAGCTGGAGGCATCACACTACCTGACTTCAAACTATACTACAAGGCTACAGTAACCAAAACAGCATGGTACTGGTACCAAAACAGAGATGTAGATCAATGGAACAGAATAGAGCCCTCAGAAATAATGCCACATATCTACGACTATCTGATCTTTGACAAACCTGAGAAAAACAAGCAATGGGGAAAGGATTCCCTATTTAATAATTGGTGCTGGGAAAACTGGCTAGCCATATGTAGAAAGCTGAAACTGGATCCCTTCCTTACACCTTTTACAAAAATCAGTTCAAGATGGATTAAAGACTTAAATGTTAGACCTAAAATCATAAAAACCCTAGAAGAAAACCTAGGCATTACCATTCAGGACATAGGCATGGGCAAGGACTTCATGCCTAAAACACAAAAAGCAATGGCAACAAAAGCCAAAATTGAAAAATGGGATCTAAGTAAACTAAAGAGCTTCTGCACAGCAAAAGAAACTACAATCAGAGTGAAAAGGCAACCTACAAAATGGGAGAAAATTTTCGCAACCTACTCATCTCACAAAGGGCTAATATCTAGAATCTACAATGAACTCAAACAAATTTACAAGAAAAAAACAAACAACCCCATCAAAAAGTGGTCAAAGGACATGAACAGACACTTCTCAAAAGAAGACATTTATGCAGTCAAAAAACACATGAAAAAATGCTCACCATCACTGGCCATCAGAGAAATGCAAATCAAAGCCACAATGAGATACCATTTCACACCAGTTAGAATGGCAATCATCAAAAAGTCAGGAAACAACAGGTGCTGGAGAGGATGTGGAGAAATAGGAACACTTTTACACTGTTAGTGGGACTGTAAACTGGTTCAACCATTGTGGAAGTCAGTGTGGCGATTTCTCAGGGATCTAGAAGTAGAAATACTATTTGACCCAGCCATCCTATTACTGGGTATATACCCAAAGGATATAAATCATGCTGCTATAAAGACACATGCACACGTATGTTTATTGCGGCATTATTCACAATAGCAAAGACTTGGAACCAACCCAAATGTCCAACAATGATAGACTGAATTAAGAAAATGTGGCACATATACACCATGGAATACTATGCAGCCATAAAAAATGATGAGTTCATGTCCTTTGTAGGGACATGGATGAAATTGGAAATCATCATTCTCAGTAAACTATCGCAAGAACAAAAAACCAAACAGCGCATATTCTCACTCATAGGTGGGAATTGAACAATGAGAACACATGGACACAGGAAAGGGAACATCACACTCTGGGGACTGTTGTGGGGTGGGGGGAAGAGGGGAGGGATAGCATTGTGAGATATACCTAATGCTAGATGACGAGTCAGTGGGTGCAGCACACCAGCATGGCACATGTATACATATGTAACTAACCTGCACATTGTGCACATGTACCCTAAAACTTAAAGTATAATAATAATAAATAAATAAACAAATAAATAAAATTTAAGAAAATTAGGATGTGTCCTGGTGTCTTTTGGAGTTACCAATCCTGCTCTGAGGCTGTGGCAGAGAGGGGCTGGATTCTATTTACATACTTGTTTCAAGATTCACAGTGCATCCAAAGTGAGGGTATAAATCTGTAGGACACAGCTGGACCTGATTCTCCAATGGCTTCATAGCAGGCAAAATATCTTATGTATCTGCAAACAACAAAAATAGAGATCAAATATTGAGATCTATATATATATTAGAGGACTGACTGAAAGTCACCAGTGAACAAGTTTGGTAAGAAATCCCGTGTGTTGTTTCTTAGGTTTTAAATTTTCCCAGAGTATAGCTGGGGGAGCTGAAATTGAGATTAAGATCAAAAACAAAAACTATTTTGTACACCATCTTGAGATGGTGGCTTTTTTGATATAACACCAAGAAATTTCTTTTGCAGGCAAAATTGCTCACAAATACCAGTTAAGAGATGCTGTTGTCAATCTAATCAGTTACCTTCCAGAATATTCTTTGGCTTAAGGGACTTCAAGACTATCTAGTTGTAACTTATAATAATTCTCTATTGATACAGAGTAAATTTGGGACTTTGGCAGTGAAGCTAACACAGAGACTCATCAGTAACTGCTGACAGATGGAAGCAGGCAAGCTTGTCTGGGTTTATTGCTTAGGTGTTCGCTACACAGGCATAGAAACTCTGCCTACCACAGAATGGACCTGCTCTTGAATAGAGAGGCAAGCCAATCCTGGTGGCACAGATAGATGAGTTCCCTTTAGGCTCCTGAGGGGAGAAAAAATACCTGAAACGATGCCTTAAAAAGGAGAGAATCTATTTTACAAAATAACATCAGGGTCCACTGCCAAGACAAGGGTCAGCAGGCAGATTTCATTCTGTTTAGGCTCTACTGCACATGATTCTTCTGCATCTTGTAGAAGATAGTTTTGTGATTAGGCTCCCAGAATACATGTGAATTTACCCAGCCAAAGGGGCTACTCTTGAGTCCAAATTAAAGAGAACAAATGGCATGTCTGCCACATGAATGTTTATTTGCAGTCTCAAAAATCATAGTTCTTGGGCTACACCAGCATTTTACAAATCTCACAGCTGAATCCCAATCACTTTATCAAGAAATAAAGAAACTTATGTCCGTGGATGGGTGCAGAATTCTTCTGTTTTGAAGAGACACAAAATGGTGACCTCATATTTCACCATCTTGCTTTTATCATCCTCTATCTTCTATTTTTAACAGCTAAAATGTTATTGTACAATGAACACAAAGATTTGCCATTTAACTTAATATCAAAACTATTCACTCTGCACCATGTCTGACAATCAGCAGTTTCTATGTGTGTGAGGTTATATGTTTGTGTGGGGGTGTAATTGATGTACAGTGGTGAGAAGCAAAAGATAAACCAAATCCCTATGAAATCTTTATGTCCTTTGAAACACTTTTAAGTTAAAACAGCTTTACTGTGATTTGTAATGTCCTAAGCAGCAGTGCAAAGACATGAGAGCTTTATACACTATGTTGTAACTCTCCATATGTAAATAGCATGGGGCTGTTCCAATGTGATTTTATTTCTGATATCTTCACCTTTTTTTTCTTAAGCTGACACTGTCATTTCTGAGTTTTCTTACATAATGATAATTATCTGCATTTAAAATACATGTTATCCTTAACTTTCAGTTGTTTTTCCCAATGTTTTCTCCTCTTCAACAAAGTGTCTACCCTGTAAGCATATGACTTTATCTCACCACTCCTACCTCCTTCCAGTGATACAAATTTGATCTCTGCCTAAGAGTCTTTATCCAAGACGTGACACCATTTCTTAAGAGGTCCTCTGTCCTAGCTCACCCATTATTTCCTGTGTTTCTTCCTTCTAGCTCTGAACAATATACTCTATTTCTTCCATTACTGCCAATCTGATATAGAAAAAACTGATAAATAAGTCAAAACAACCACTGTGTAGCATCTCTTAAGTTGTTTATTTTTTTTAACCGCAGACTGAGAGCTGTTAGCTCAAATTTTACTGGCACAAGAGACAAAATTTTGCACATCTAGCTATGTTTAAATGAGTTTCAATGAGTAGAATGTAGACATTAGATTTTCTTGGTGTGCAAATTCATAAACTTGGCTCAGCATTTGCTGAATATTAAATAAATGATTTTATTATATGATGCTAAGCCAGCATTAGAAGTAGAGCTTTTAAAACTTAATTTCTGGAAGGGTTTTGAAGCACCATCACAGTGACATACATCTTCTTAAACTCTTGTCTTATCCAGAAATAACCTTACTTAATTCAGCTTTACTGAATTGAAAAATCTGCACCTTTATCCTGTGTACAATCTCAATTTGTGAGGGTCTTTATCTGTTATGCAAAATTGCACAATAAAGATTGTTGTGTGGTATTTACAGCCATAATGAATTTGTTTTTCTTTACTACTTCTCATATCATTTATTCTTCAACAATCATTCTACCTCTGTTAGCTCACAGGTGCATTGCTACATTCAAATATTTACATATCATGTTATTTTTAAAAGCCAAAATGACACCTTTTCAGCATTTACAATTTTCTTGGTTATTTAAACCCCTCCAGCTTTATTCAGGAGCTGTTAAATATTGATAAGATAGAGGCTTGTTGCTATATGCTTTCAAGTGCAATTTCTCTTGAAATTTTCTCACCTGGAGTTTCCATGGTAAGTTGCTAAGAGGTATCACCTAGACTTTTAAGTGCATTATAGGATACACCCCACTAAGGAGCTGTCTTTCCCTTCTCTCCCTCTTTATCACGGGAGACAGAGAGAAGGAAAAGAAGGAGACTGCAGGAAGAAGACAGAGAAAAGAAAATACAATAAAGATACAAAGAGAAAAACCTATGATAAAAGACTTGCCGTGAGAGCTGCACTTCTTAATTCTCTCTCAGGAGTTCTCTTCTCCTAGACCAGAAGGGACCCATGATAGAGTCTTTGTTTTCCATGTGATTATTGGGAATTCTAAGCAATGAGTTAGCAGAACAAGGACTATGGGTGGGCTGTCTGCTAACGGTTTGTTAGTCAAGTTTGAGTTAGAAAGAACATCAGAAGACAAAACTGGGCTATGATGATGGCCACAGTGTTGGAACCTTCTGCCACAAAAATATGAGTAGGACTTAAGCCTTAGAACCTCGGAAGCCAATTCAAGGCTGACATGGTGAGTCTCAGGATGAGATAAACTATGGACCATGGGATGCCAGAGCACTTTCTCTTGTGAGGCACAGGAGGGCACTGTGTGGGACTGGCTCAACTCACTTTTCTTGCTTCTGCTCAAGATGAAAAAAAAGAAAAAAAAAGGAAGAAGTTTAAAGATGAAGACAAGGGAGAACATTTGGATTAAGTCAGAAGGAGTAGTGCTTTGGCCACAGCCAAAACCGAAGCTAGCCCACTTGGACATGCTGTGCTCCAGGATTCTGCCTACCAGCCTGTCCCTGGCCCATTGGTGTCCCCAAGAAGTCAATATCCTGACCTTCTAAAGCACAGTAAGTAAGTAGAATCCCTATCTTTACGGTCAGGTCCAGCACAAGCATTACCAAATATCAATATGAAGCTTTTATCTTCAGACTTTTCTATCAGAGTAGCACTAAGGCACTATTGTTGAGGTGGTTGTTCTGAGGATTTCTGCGAATTAACAACAGAGTAGCTAGCCCATTGGCCCTTTGAGGATACAGCAGCTTATATTAAGTTAATCAAGATAATGCCTAGAACAGAGATGGGTAAGTGATGACCTCAAATTTGTCCAAGAAGGAAGGAAGCTTCAAGGACAGTGGCCCTGAACCTCTGAGAATTCCTGAAACCTTGGAATTTTGGCAGCCAACCAGAAATGGGTCTAATCAGTTCCAGGACAGGACACAGCCTGCCCTTAGCAATGCTAAATCTTAAATGCTTGTGGTCTACCCACCATCCCACAACCTCTTCTAGAGGCCAAAGCAGAAAGGTAACCTGCCTCTTTGTTGTGACTGTGCTCTTACGTGGCTTCTCAGTCCAGCCTTGACAGACAGCTTCAGGCATACATGGGTCAGGTTACAGAAGCAGTTCCACATAGAAGCCCTTAGCCTATATCCATCAGACTGGGGCCTGCAGGAGCAAGCATTACTGGCTATTGAATACACGAAAAGGCTGCATATATCTTTGGCTTTTACTCTCTGCATGCATTGAATCCCTTTTGTCATTAGGATTCATAAAAACAGGATCCTACAGTCTTGGTGCCCTGTGTTCTTAAAGTTGTGCCATCTTTCTTCCAGCTGTGAAATGGTCCCTCTGCAAAAAGAATGTTCTAACAAATTTTTTTCTTCCACCACCATCCTTGCATGTGTAAATCTTTATTCTGCCCATCAATCCTAAAATCTGACTCTAATACCAAAGGCTCTTTTGTCTTTTTACAAAGACTTCTTAATGTTATTTTCCTCCAATACTAGACACTGGCCATTCTTACCCTTGCCTTAAGATGCAAATTAAAGACTGTTGTGCCAGCCTTTCCCAATACAGCTTTTGTCTCCACATGAGCAGGGCTGCTTTTTCAATGAATGACATTTTCGCCAGACCATAGGGAATTACCAGGTGAACAAACTTCCCTTTGCTTCTGTAACCTATCTCATAAACTGTGTATGTAATCAAGACCTCATGATGCTAAATTAAATTTCTTGTCTTGTACTTCTCTTTAGTGATCTCAGAGAATGGTAAACCACTTTCTGTAATCATAGGGTCCCCTTAAAAAGAAAGAAAGAAAACATGAAACAAAAGAAACAAGGACACATCCCAGAATACTATTTTTAGCATCTTTGGGCAGGAATTAGACAACAAAGGACTTCAGAGGTTTTGCTGCCCATCTGGGTCTACTGCTTGGGTCCAGTCAGGTTATACTCCCAGCCTTGTTGCAGTGGCTTCATGTCCTATGAAAGCCTGACCCATGACCACTCTGCTTTGAGGTCTTGAGCTGCTTTCAAAAAAAAAAAAAAGACATTTTGGTTGAATAAATATTCAAATATTATGCCTACCAAATAGGTTGGCCTGGAGTTTGACTGTACTGCACCTATGACCAAAAAAGACTAGAAGCGTGTCTGGGTTTTGCACTCTCAGACCAAACAACCCTAATCTTACAGAATTTGGTCAGAAGCAGGGAGGCCTAGCTGTATGATTCAAGTGAGTACAGAATAAGAGAAGTTAAAGACTCTAGAGAAGGGAGTGGTGGAGGCATATTATCCCTTTGCAGGTAGCAGGTTATTTTGGGGTGGCTTGCTAACACCCTTCCCATCCTCGCCAAGCTGGGCAATTAGAACAAGGTAGAACCAGCAGTTCTGTTATCTATTTCACAAAGGCTATAGCTGGATAGAAAAGAGAGAGAGGGTCTGAAAAGAGACTTGTCCAGATAATGCCTTGGTCATTTGGGGTCAAAGGTAGCTGTAGGACCCTTGCCACTGTGGCTACCTACCAGGTCTTCATTCCTATAAACATAATACTTTTCAATACAGTCATGTGCCAATGACTAAGTTCAATGATTGGAATATATACAATGGAGGTCTCATAAGATTATAATGCAACTAAAAAATTCCTATTGTTTAGTGATGCCATAGCGGCTCTGAGGTAGCATCGCATCCCTCAAGTTTTTGTGGTGACACTGGTGTAAACAACTGATTGCACTGCCAATTGTTTGAGTCTAGCATACATATTACATACATACAATACATAATTCTTATTAATGATAACAACCATCCATGTACTGGTATGTACTGTACTGACTATACTGTATTTTCACTATTATTTAGCATATACTCCTACTCTTTACAAAAAAAAAAAGTTAAGTATAAGACATATCAGGAGATATTCCAGTACAGGAAATATTTCAGTAGGAGGCATTGTTAACATAGGAGGTGACCCCTGCATGTGTGTTACTGCCCTGTAGACCATCCAGTGGAACAAGATGTGGAGGGGGTGACAATAATATTGAAGACCCTGTCTCTGCATAATACAAGGCTAATGTGTGTGCTCATGCTTTATATTTTAAAAAATGATTTACATGGAAAAAATTAAGTAACCATTATAAGAGCAGATACAAGCTTATATTATTGAATATAAAATTAATGTTTATTCATCTGTATAATACATTTATTTTAACCTAAATTTCATTTAAAGAGGGTCAAGCATGGGCATGGTGGCTCACACCCACAGTCCCAGCACTTTGGGAGGTTGAGGTGAGGAATGCTTGTGCATAGGTATTCAAGAACAACTTGGGAAGCAGGGCAAGGTCCTATTTATACAAAAACTATAATAATTAGCCAGTGTAATTACAGTGACTGTAATTCCAGCTACTAGGGAGGCTGAATCTGGTAGGTTGAGGTAGCAGTGGGTTATGACTGCATCTCTGTACTGCAGCTTGGGTGACAAAGTGAGACTTTACCTTAAAAACAAAACAAAACAAAAACCCTAAATAAAATTTTTAAAAAGAAAAAATAAAATTTAAAAAATCTAAACTTTAAACAAAAATTAAAAGTTTGTAAAGTAAAAAGTTACAGTAGCAGAGGTTCATTTACTATTAAAGAAAGGTAGTTTTAATAAATGTATATATTCTAAGCATACAATATTTATGTCATAGTAGTTTACACTAATGTCCTTGGCCTTTATATTAATTTGCCAATTATTGACTCATCCAGAACAATTTTCAGTCCTAAAATCTGCATTTTAGGACATGCATTTAAGTATGTTCCCTAAACAGTTATACCACATTGTACTCCTTCCAAAATATTTTTAGTATACCTTTTCAGTATTTCATATGTTTAGATAATAAATACCATTGTGTTATAACTGCCTACAATATTTAGTATAGTAACCTGCTATGTAAGTTTATAGTCTACAAATCTATACCATATAGTGTGGTATACCATGTAGTGCAAGGTATCCTGTCTTGTTTGTGAATGTACTCTAAAATGTTCAGCCAATTACAGAATTGCTCCACAATGCATTCAAGTCATTAATTGATGCTTGAGTGTATTTTTAACTAGCCTGAATTGGTAGAAATGTGAGTGAGAGAATTTTGTCTTACTTCTTCCCTTAGCGCACACACTTGCTGTAAATTCGGGGAAGTTAATTTGTCATATTATCCCTTCTGTGATCATTTCTCATTGATGTAGTATAAAGAAATAGAGAATGTGGAAGGACCTATCAAAGGAACATGATGCAACCACACTTGAAATACAATATCAACAGATGTGGTTCCTCCTCCAGCAGCACAGTATAAAACATGTTGCCTTGTCTTCTTTGACAGAAACATGAATTTAATATTTACCAACTGTAGTCAGTGGTCAGTCATGAACACTAGCACTACTTCCAGACACCCATCCACTTTCTATTTATTTTGGAAGCAATCTGCATTTTACACTTATATTGCATATGCAATTCCATGGCTATGCTTGGTACTTACTGAATTTGTTGCAAACCTCGTTGAAAAGGAAATGGTGATAACATGCACTAGCTCAAGTATAGAGTGGAGATGCTTTATTCTGCTCATCTTTTTACTACATTATTTCCAACCTCTTCTCGTGCTCTTGACTTTAAAGGCAGCAGAGTAGTTCTTTTGGAAATTGTACTACTTGATTAAAAAAAAAATAGGATGCAGAGTATTGCCACCTAACCTGGATTTCCTCGGTTATACTGTGTTTCCTAGTTTATCCTTGTTCTTAACTCCAGTTTCTAATATTAGATATCTGCCTCTCTACCAAGTGGAGTATTAGAATCTCAAGAAGCTTCTCTAGGCCACAGGTTATATGCCATTGGACTTTATTGACTTCCTCTGAGTACAGAGTTAAAGGCTGTTATGAAATAGACCATAGTTTAGGTACAAGGTAGTACTCAGTTCAATATGATATTTGTGGACATTTAGAAAACAAAAGGTTGTGATACAAAACGAGTTAGTGGGTTCAGCGCACCAGCATGGCACATGTATACATATGTAACTAACCTGCACAATGTGCACATGTAACCTAAAACTTAAAGTATAATTTAAAAAAAAAGTCAGAGTTATTGTTTCTGATGCACAGGCTAGTTCTGTCTTCCCTTTACATAACTATGGTGGTATCTGCAAAGGAAAAATGTTGAAAGTCTGGGAGACATATGGTTGTATGATCTCATGCTAAATATGCTTAGAAAAGAGTCTAGCCCATGTATAGCACAGTCCCTGTATCTAACTCTACTTGCTACGCAAATAGTATGGAAACAAGTTATTTCTTTTTCTAGAATGGTATCTTCTGGCATTTTTGAGCAGTGTCACTGTAGATCCCTGAGAAACTGGTACAGCAAAGAGTGAGTAAGGCCAGATAACATGTTATTAAATATTACAATGTATCTCTCTGGCCTAGTGTCATACCTGGAACCATTCACATCACATAAAATAAAAAAGCCAGATTTTGGCTGTGTATTGTTTTTCACCACTCTCCTGTTCATTACCTTTCATCTTATATACCTAAATATATTCTGGCTTTTGTTCCTAAAAAATTTTGAGACTATGGCCTCCTGCTTCTGCTCCGGCAGAGTGTGGCCATCATTCACACTTTAGACTATCTGCTGTTTTAATAGAACTGTGTATGGGATGAAAATTTTAGAAGGTAAACCAGTCTGCACTGGAACTTCTTTATTACATACCACAGAAGGCATCTTTACTGACTTGTCCACATGCTCAGTGTAGTGAGTATGAGTGGATTATTTTAATCCACTCCTCTAGGTCACTTGGAAAAAGGACATTGTCTGTCTGGTTTTGGCACCAAAGTCTCTTATGTGTAAGTCTTGGTGTGACTCTTTGCCAAGAAGCTCAGTGCCTCATCCCAATGCTGCTTTATGTGTTGTACGTGTGCAAATGTGACTCATATACAGTAGTAGAAAGAAGCAAAAAACAAAGTGAAACCCCATGAAATCCATGTGGACTTTGACACTACTGCAGTACAACTGCATTAATGTGATTGGTAGTGCACCAAGAAGCAGTACAAATAGGTAAAAGCTCTATTCAACTCTGTTGTAACTACTTAAACATCCACACGTAAATGAAAGGGCATAGCTATGCTTTAATACATATTATTATGGTCACTTAAATTTGAATTTAATGAAAATGTTTATGTGACCATTTTTTTAGTGATTTATAGTTGTAAAGAAATAATCTTATTTCTTTGATTGTATAAAAACAGGTAGACGGTGGCTAGCTACAGGCCAAAATTTCTCAACCCCTTGTCTGAGGAATCAATAAAGAAAGACATAATTATATTTCAATAAATATCTGTTTCACAATTCTGTATTTCTTTTGCCTCTGTACTTTGTGCTTTAGTTGTTAAAGTCTTATAAAACAACTAAATAGGTTTGTCTTTCTGTGTTTTTTTGGAAATTTCTCTTTACCCTCTTCCTTTAATAACTAAACCTTGTTTCTCCTCCAGTTTTCCAAATGATGATAATCACTTGATGTCAATATAAATGTTTTATTTGTCTTTCAATATTTTATCTCATATAATTTTTCCTTATCTCTATAACTTTCACATCTGTTAAGGATATGGCCTTAATATTCTACAACTATTTCCTCTCAATTATGTACATATAGTAAAATTCCAACTATGTGTATGCATTGCCATCTGGTCCATAATTACTTTTTATATGTTCCTGTGTCCCAGCACTCCGCAATCATGCCTGTATTCTCGTCTTCAATAATATGCTGTCATTCCTCCATTACTGCCAACATATGATGTATAAATAACTAATATACAAATGAGCCAATGAGGGATTCTGTTTGTTTACTGGTCACCAAGTAACTTATTTTTTTCACTGCAGCCTAACCCTTCCAGAAGCAAAGCTATTGTTTTATATATCCAGTTATATTTATAAAGGAAGTCAAAATAAACAGATTTTAGCCATTATATTCTTTTGGTTTGAAATGCCCCAAAAACTTTGCTAAATATGTGTTTCAGATAAAATAGAAACTTTTCTGCGCAACCCCAAGACCAGCAGTGAACTTGGAACTTTGGGATGTAAATTCCTTTTATATCCCAATGTAATGGTCTTTTCAGCAACATTACTTAGATATAATTTCTCTTTGACTCTCTTCTTTATTCAAAATCACCTTAACCTATTTAGCACTTGAATGATAATTCCTGCACCTCAACTCTCTTCAGTCTCATACTGTGAGAGTCTTTTCCTCTCATCCAACAATCTGAAATAAAAATTGTGTGTGTTACTTCCTCCCATGGTCATTTTTTTTTTGATGACCAGCACCCATCCAGCAATACTTCTATGCATTGCTTCATACAGGTAAATTGCCAAAATTAAATGTTCACCCATGTTGTTCTTTTTTTAAAAGCTCAAACAGCATATTTTTTATCATTTAGCCTTTTTCTGCTTTTTATACCCCAAAAGATTCATCACCAGGCATCTATTGGCCATTGATGAGAAAAAGCCTTGCTACTATTGACCTTCAAGGTGCAATTGCTGTTTTAATTCTCTCACTCACTCTCACTGCTGGGTTGCCAAGTGGCATCACCCAGACAAATCAGACCCATCTAGAATATGACTACCTGGAAGTCTTTTGCCCTCCTCCCATTCAGGATGATGGCTCCTTTTCTGGGAGAGGTAATAGAGAAGAGAAACTAGAGACAAATTACAAAAAGGAGAACCAGTTAAATGAAGCCTTAACACCATTCGGTGAGAGCTACTCTTTTCATCAGTCTCTTCCACAAATGCTCTCTAAATTTTGTTACTAGAAGGCAGCAACCTCAATGTCAGGGTTCAAGGTGTTATTATTGGGAATTTCCATCATGGTTAAAGTGATGGGTTAGCAGGACTATGGGTGAGCTATCTACTTACAGCGAGTGTGTCAAATTGGGGTCAGACAGAAAGAGCAGCAAGGAACTAAACTGGGCCATGGTGATGACATTAGAAAGTCAGCATCTCCTGGCACAACTGTGTAAGCATGGCAACTGTCTTGGGCTCTCTGAAATCAATCCAAAACCCACCTGGTGAGTTACTAGATGACAGATCGTGGGGACCCTCTACAGCCAGAGCACTCTTCAACCTGGAATACAAAATAGGGAACTGCAAAATCTGGCTTTTTGTACTCTTTTTCTCAATGATTAGAGAGATGAAAAGATAACGAAAAGGTGAGGGTAGGGATACCAGGAAGCAGTTGGACAAGGCAGAAGGAACAACAATGCAGCTATATCCACAAGAAAATCCAGCACTGTGAACTGTGCCTTGGCTATTTGCTCCTGCTCCTTCACCTCTGCCTGGCTCACAATCATCTCCTAGAAGCAAAAATTCCTTAAAGCACAGTCACGAAGCAGTATTTCGTCTTTATTTCCAGGTCCAGCTGAAATATAACCACATTTAAATAATGCGGTTTTCAATAATTTTCTTTATCAGAACCTCCCATCAGAGTCCAAGGGCAGAATTTGTTGAAGTGAGTGTTTTGACAGGATCTAAGAAAGAGTATCAGGACAGCTCAGGGACCCTATAGGGCACTGGAGGCACCAGGTGAGTAAAACAACATGATATGTAAAACAAAGACATAGGTTACTGCTGACATGGGCTATGGCCAGGGTGGAAAGAGGCTTCAAGGACTGTGAAAACTAACCTTTGTACATTTCCAAAATTGTGATATTTTGGAAGCCAAGCAGGAGCTGTTCTGATAGGTTTCAGGATAACGGCCTGCCATCCTGGAGTTGCTGATGAAATGCCTGTCATTCCCTATACAAAGAAAGGCTGTTTGCAGGCTTACTTACCATTCACTTGCCTGCCCACGTATGCAGAAGTACAGAATGGGAGTGAGAAGGAAGGAGTCAGGTGACCTTTCAGGTTGTTGGTACGATGCTCTGGTTTGCTTTGTTGTGCTGACTTGGAGAGAAAGCTTAGCACACGATTCTGGGTATAGAAGCCTTAATGCCTAAGCAGCTCCTGGCTTAGGTTCACTGCCCTGAGAACTGCAGAAGCATAGACAACATGTTTTTTCATGCAAGTGAAAGCTGTAAAAACCTATAACCTTAATAGCATGAATGTATTGATTCACTTATATCATCTTGCTCAAAAGCAGAGCAGGATTTTACCACCTTGATATTATGAGTACTTAGGATGTTGCCACTTATTTTTCAGCTGTGAAAATGTCCACTGCAGAATGCAGCATCTTCTAGAAAACCTTCCTGACAAGTTTCTTTCCTCCATCACTGTCTCAGGGTATGAGATTTTTAGTTTGCTGACAAATCTCTTTTGTCTGCTGACAACTACTTCTATGAATCTTTCCGCATACCAGACCCTGACAAAATTCACCCATATACTAAAGGTCCCAATAAGAAACTCCTAGCCCCAGCTTTCCCCAATGTACCTCTGTCTCCACAAAACCTGGGCTACTACTGTACTGAATTACATTTCCTCCCCACCAAATAAGATGCCGGTAAACAATCTTTCATTTGCTTCTGTAATCCATTTTACAAACTGTATTTATAATCAAGGCCCCAGGATGCTAGATGGACCCAACATTCAGTCCCATTTCTAATGCCCATTTCTAATGCAGTAAGGGCAAGGGACTTTGCAAATATGGGATTCCTTGACAAAGACAGAGAAAAATAGAAAGAAAAACAAACAAGAACACATCCTATAATACATTCATTACTATGGCATATATGAACATGAATGGGGTAGTAAAAGCCCCTACAGATGTCTGCTTTGTATCTGGGTCTGCTCTGTGAGTCCATCTGAGTTATTTCCAGACCCAGGACAGTTACATTATGTCCTGAGCAAGCCCAAAGTACAGCCACCTGCTTTGAGATTTACCCTTTTATTGTGCCCCTCCCTTAAAGCTCTTATCATTATTTTTTGATCAGCCAGGGAATGTCCTGTGTCAGGTCTTGAGTTGGTTGATAAGCAGTGGCTCTAAGAAAGGTCAGCTAAGTTGGGCTGGTACACTCTCAGCCCTTTGACATCTCCTAATATATTGGCCTAGCAGGAAAAACAGTCAGAGACAAAGCAGGAGTGTACCTGAGATGAAGCGGAATTTAAGAATTGGAAGCTCAAACCCTGACACTTCCTGGCACACACACTGAGCTACGAAGTATTGTGTAATCTCTAAGGTCAGGCTTCTGGGTTCCTGAGAGACTCACAGTGGAAGACAACTGCAAGTCAGGTGCAGGGGTCCTCTGTCTTCTGCAATGGGAAGAAAGGCACTTCTGGAATTTTCTACTCAACTTTTCCCCTGTATTACGTAAAATAGGATTAAGAAGCAAAAAAAAAAATTTTTTTAGACGGAGTCTCACTAGGTTGCCCAGGCTGGAGTGCAGTTGCACAATCTCGGCTCGCTGCAACTTCTTTCTCCTGAGTTCAAGTGATTCTCCTGGCTCAGCCTCCCCAGTAGCTAGGATTACAGGCACATGTCACCACACCTGGCTAATTTTTATATTTTCAGTACAGACAGGTTTTCACCATGTTGGCCAGACTGGCTGGTCTCGATCTCCTGACCTCGTGATCCGCCCGCCTCAGCCTCCCAAAGTGCCAGGATTAAAGACATAAGCCACCACATACATCCCCATAAAAAGCAAATTTTGAGCAAAGTTGTATCTTATCAACCAGGATTCAGATTGGAGACCACCTGGTAATACTGAGTGCTGTATGCTTTTGCTTTCAACCAGCATCATCACAAATGTCTTCCAAAGCCAGGATCCCTCTAAACACTTGCTTCCCTCCACTGATATGCACTGTGACCCCAAAATGGTGGAGCAGAGAGTTAGTGGCATCTCAGTCCTTCAAATGTGCACCACTATTATTGTACAGTAGCAAGGGACTACCAAGTATGGGCAGATTCTTGACATCATACACTTGGACTACTTACTTTAGACTTCTTTTCTCCTGAATACAATTCACTGCCAGTTGACAGACATCCACAAAGTTTGAAAATAGGGACTGTGTGACCCAACTTATGACACAGTCTGAATTACTGTTGGCATGATCATTGCTATTGCTCTCAAGATAATGCAATGATTTTTCATTAGTTGAGAACTCTGTGCAGAAAAAATAAAATAAAAATATATTACTTCAAATTACTAACTTTTCTTCATGAGAAGCAGCCAGAATGGAAACACAAAATTCCCACAGAACATAATTGGTATTCTATGCTTTTGAGAGTAACTGCCAGTCCAAGGAAAGTGATTACAATGTGATTGAATTTTTTTAAAGCATGGCATGTTGTAGCAGTTGTAAGTTAGCATGCCTTCATTATGTTTGTGTCATTGCTGAGGTAAATATTCTACTTCACTGCCAGTCCTGTGAGTCTAGCATATATATATACACACATACAGATACACATATGCACACACACATTAAAATACATATGTATTTATATATAAAAATATATAATATATAAATATATAAATGTATATATGTATTTTATATATATTAAATATATAAATATAAAAAACATAAAATATATCTCATATATAATAGAATAGTATTATTTAATATATTATACATATTTATATATAAAATATATTATCTATTATATATGATATAAAACATATTTTAATATATATTTATATATAAAATAATTACCTGTTATTAAGTTTTATGTATGGAACATTTATATATTTACATAATACAATATATAACATATATTTATATATATAAATGCTCAATACATAAAATTTAATAATAAAATGTAACTATTTTAACAACAAATGACTTACATATTGCCTATATCATACTTTTTTATTATTACCCTAGAATATGTTTCTTCTATTTTTTATTTTAAATTTTAGATTTTGTGGATACATAGTAGGTATATATATTTATGGGGAAAATTACATATTTTGTTACAGGGATGCAGAGAGTGATAATCACAATAATAAGGAATGCGACATACATCCCCTCAGGCATTTATCTTTTGTATTGGCAACAGTTCAATTAAAGTGTTTTAGTAATTTTAAACATACAGTTAAATTATTATTAAATATAGCCATTCTGTTGTGCTATCAAATACTAGGTCCTGTTCTTCCTTTCTAATTATTTTTGTACCCATCCCCCCCTCGCACATCATCCCCACTACCCATCCGAGCCTCTGGCAACCATCTTTCTACTCTTTATCTCCATTAGTCCAATTATTTTGATTTTTAGATCCCACAAATAAGTGAGAACATGTGATGCTTGACCTCTAGTTTCATCCATGTTTCAAATAACAGAATCTCATTTTCTTTATGCATAAATAGTACTCCACTCCATTGTACCACATTTTCTTGATCCGGTCATCTATTAAACAGGAATGTAAAATAGTACATTCCTGGTGAATCACTGATCATCAGGGAAATGCAACATCAACATCATTAATCATCTGGGAAATGCACATTAAAATTACAGGGAGATACCATCTCATGCCTGTTAAAATGGCTTGTAGCAAAAAGACAGGTAATAACAACTGGCTTATAGCCAAAAGACAGGCAATAACAACTGGCTTATAGCCAAAAGACAGGCAATAACAACTGGCTTATAGCCAAAAGACAGGCAATAAGAATTTCTGACAAGGATGTGGACAAAGACAGGCAATAACAATTGGCTTATAGCCAAAAGGATGTGGAGAAAGGCAATAAAAATTGGCTTATAGCCAAAAGACAGGAATAACAATTTCTGACAAGGATGTGGAGAAGATGGAACTTTGTATGAACAGTTTTGAGGTCTCTCAAAAAACTAAAAATAGAGATACCATATGGTCAACTAATCCCATTGCTGGGTATACACTCAAAAGAAAGAAAATCAGTGTGTTGAAGAGTTTGTTATAGCACTGTTCACCATTGCTAATATCTGAAAGCAACCTGTGCCTATCAACAGAATAAACTTCTATTATTATTTAAGTTAAGTTGATGTTAGCCTCACACAGATTCTTCAGCAACTATTCCAGTAGAATACATTGTTGTCATGGGAGATAACAGCTGCACACCTGTCATTCAAAGATGTAAGACAGCTCCACACCTGTTTACTTGAAAAGCTTTCAGTAAGACAAGGTGTGAAGGTGGAAAGTGGCTATATTGACATGTAACACAGTACAGGCCTAGTACAACATGCATGTTTGTAGCTCAGTTTTTATAATGTTGTAAATGTAAAAAAAAAATTAAAAACATTCATAAGAATGTACAGAAATAAGATATTGTTTGTGCACCAGTACAATATACTTGTATTATAATTTTAAGTTAAATTATTAGAATATAAATTTTAACAGAATTTCCAAGTTTATGGAGTGAAAAATCTACAGTATCTGGTAAGTTTTTGAAGAATGACACTTTATAAGATAAATTTAATGCAGCCTAAGTATATAGTATTTATAATGCATAGTAGTGTACAGCAGGGCACTGGGCCTTCACATTCATTTACCATTCACTCACTGACTTACCCAGAACATCTTTCTGTCCTGCATTCTTCTCTCATTGTAAGTACTCTATATAGGTGTACCATATTTCACATCCTACATAACATGTTTACTGTACTTTTTAAATTTTTACACATGCTTAGATGTAAAAATACTACTTTGTTATAATTGGCTTCAATATTTAGTATAGTAATAAATAGGATTGCAGCCTACAATGGATAGGCTATATGTTATAACTTTGGCATGTAGTAGGCTATATTTATTTGTGAAAGTAAACTCTAAATTGTTCACTCAATAATGGAATTGCCAAAAATGCCTTTAAATCATTAAAAAATGCTTTAATGTATTTGTAATTAGTTTGCATTGGTGGTGCCAGTGGGAGAATGGGAAGCTTGTCTTACTTTTTCCTTCAATCCACACACTTTCTGTAGCCCCAGAGTAGTTAATTTATAGTATTTATTTTCTTAGATGATGCATTACTAGGGCTTTTATAAGGGAAAGAGGAAGTGGCAGGAACTCCCAGAGAAACAGGGTGTAACCACACTAAAAAATTGAAAAGCAGTTGCTCTGGTTTCTCTTCTAGCAGGATGCTATATAACATGCTTTTTTTTCTTACCTCTATAGACCTTTGAATTCAATAGCAAATATTTTCTGCAGGACTCCTCCATGTCATCTAGGTTCAGACACTCACCCAGCATCTCTTTATTCAGGCATCAACCTGTACTCTGCATGTACATTGCATGTACATCTACCACAATGTTTGGTCCTTGGTGATGTTGTCGAACCTATCTATAGAAGGAACAGGTGGTCAAATGTTAATATGCTTTTCAACTTGTTCCACTAGTGTATTAAATAGATGCATTTTATCCATATACACTAGCCTCAATGTATTCTCTCTCTCTCTTTCCTTTTATTGTCTATTAGATGAACAAACCGAGGCAGAATATCTTGCCCCTAGGATTCCTGTCTGTAAAAACCAACAGTAGCATTTTCATTTGTTCCTGGGACATTACAGAAAATGGGGGGCACTTGCTCAAGAGATTTCCCACCGTGAACACTGAGAAAGAATCCATGTTCAAAACTTAGAACTACATTACTGTAGGCTTCTAGGGGTTTCTGGGGATAGCAGCTAGGAATGGATGAGGGAAAATCTTAAACTGGATTATCTCAGGTATGGAAGGTTAAGTTATTCTATCCTGCCCTGCTTCTCACTCTATTCTGCCTATTCCTTTTCTTTGGTTTCAGTATTGAATGCAAGACAGTATTCCCTTTGCTAAGTGTACTGCTGGTCTAGAAAATATTTAGTAATATGCAGATTGTCTAGCAGGATGATTTTTAGGGGTTCACATTTTCTAGTTTATAAGATCTTTCCCTGGAAACATCTCTTTCCCAATATTAGATATTGGCCAATATCCAAGTTGCAGCTTTGAAACCTTAGGAAGTCTCTTTGGACCACAGTGCTTATGTAGATTGCCTTTCTTCAGAGGAGATGCAGAGAAATGCTTGGGAAATGCATTTCCCCCATCTTGACATCTAATTTAGAACAAAAATATTTTCTCACCTAGAAAAATATTGTTTCCTTTGAAAGGAGACAGTTCTCAGTCTTCTTTGCAACTTCCTATTAACCAATGACTGCTTTCTTACTTTACCCTATTCAAACTGTTTTCCTGCATGGGAGAGTTGTGCCTTTTTTCAACCTCAATTACCTTTCTGAAATGTAAAGGGAAAGGGAAAGCTTTCTGACTTAATTATAATAACTCTAGGCTCTGGCAATGTGTGTTTGATTCTTTCTGGAGATAAAGTACACTACCATGTGTTTCTTCCTCTTGAGAGCAGTAAAAAGTGGAGTGGGAGCCATTGAGATGAGAGAAAAAGGAAATCATAACTCTCTGATGTATTTTGTGCTGGTGATTTCTCCATCAGGGAGACAAGCTTGAGCTTAATTACTGTCCAATGGAGTTAAACCCCTTGGCTGGGGAAGGGGAAATCTCCCATGGCATGTGGCAGAATATGCCAGCCAGATGCCCTGGGTGCCTTGGGTCATGCATCCCAGCCCAGCAGGGAGGGGAGAAGTGAAAAACTGCTGCTCACTAGTCCGTCTTGTAAAAGGAATGAAGGCCATGTAAAGGACCCAGACCCCTTAAGCTCAGATGTTCGAAGATAAAAAGGCTTACAAACCACAGTGAGAGGTTTTGATTCCCTATTTTCCTCACCACTTCTTCAGGCCCCACATGGCATGCCTAAAAATATCGCAGGACATTTCCTTAGTTCAGCTAAAGATAAGATCCTTGTCTCATAACCACAAAAATTTAGTCTCACAGATGGTTTGAAAGGTGAGTAAAGCAAGGCTTTATTGGGTGAAATTTTTTTAAAAAAGGAAAAATAGGGACTCTCCACAAGGCTAGAGTTCCTCTCATTTGCTTCCCGCCTCACAGTTTGAATCCCAGGTTTTACACAGGAATAGGAGGGGCAAGGCTTCTCCCCACTGCAAATGTCATGAACTTCCGTGGCTCCATCTCAGTGTGCATTCCTCCCAGTGTGCAGGTTCGCTGACATTTTGCAAGAAACCCCCTCACAACTTTCTGTCTCAGCATAAAATCAGAATAAAGCTATCATTCTTTCTTGTGGTCTTTAGTGCAGCTCTCTTTCTAAAGTCCTAAAAGATAAAGACAAATGCAATAGAAATTGCCACACATTGCTTCAGTAATGTTCACAAAACCATAATGTTTTAGAAGCCACTCCTCTCTTTTTTTCCCCTAAGTTGGATACATATTTAGAGTATCCATGAGACAAATTACAGGAATACAAGCTGTCTCAAATCATTAAAACCACATGGGCATCCCACCCAGAAAGCTGGCTAAGTGACTTGGTGTCACCTTGTTCACAGCAGAAGTTGTAGTCTACAGCCTCTATTCTTGCCACCAAACTTTTGATTTCCAATGAGAATTAAAAGCCCACAGTTCCAGCATGCAGGCCACATGTCTGAAAACAACCTTTAAAACTACAACCCAGAACAAAGGAAGGGACTGTGATTCTTAGAGAAGTAAGTGCTTTTCAACTTCAAATCTCAGGCCAAGCATAGGCTCATTTAGGAATTTGGTGCCACTAGCATGAGGCAAAACATATATTAGAGAAGACTCACTCTGAAATAAAACCATGTAACAGGTTTTTACCAGAGAAACTAAGTGACCTAGGCTGAGTAGGCAAAATGAGCCCAGCAGCCCCCAGTCAAACTTGGGCAAAAAAGTCACCAGCCAATAAGTTTTTCTGTGACACTCACAAGGCTAAAGTTTATTTTCCCCTGTGGATAAAGCAGTTTTTATGAAAAGAAAATAGTAAAATAACTATTTCATTGGTCTCTTTTTTCATAATCAAGATAATCTTGAATTAGTTAACAGCATAAAAATTTTTATATCAACACTAGTAGCAAAGTCAGCCAATTCAAACTAAGCAAAAAATACATATGTAAGCAAAAGTATGTATACTTTATAGTTGTAGACTTTTAAAAATAACGATTTGTGGACCAGACACTATGGCTCTCACCTGTACTCCCAGAACTTGGGGAGCCTGCGGCAGGCAGATCACTTGATCTTGGGAGTTCAAAACCAGCCTGGCCAATGGTATGAAACCTGTCTCTAAAAAAAAAATACTAAAAATTAGCCAGATATGGTAGCATGTGCCTATAGTCCCAGCTGCTCAGGAGGCTGAGGCATGATAATCACTTGAACCCAGGAGGCAGAGGTTTTAGTAAGCCAAAATTGCACCACTGTACTCTATTCCAGGTGACAGATGAACATGGTCCTGACATAAAGCAATACAAATAAAAACAAAATAACTATTTGAGCACTATACATGAAATGTTTCTTGATGTAATTTGGCCATTCAATATAAAATGTGCACTAAAACAGGCCATCCTTTGTAACTAGATGAAGTCTAAGAAAACTTGGCAAACAATGTTTAAGAGTTTCATTTTGATAATTTCAATGTCATTTCTCTTTTGGTAAGTTTCTCTAGTTCAGGGAGATATTTGATGGATTGCTGATTAAAAATCAGTTCTCTGGTGCCTTGTCTTTGTTTTGATTTTCATTTTAAATTATTTGTTTCTCATCGGTACAGCTACAGAGAGAATTTTTAAATCCAGACTTTTAAAAATCACAAACTTTATCAATGAATCTTGAGTCCCTAGAAAGAAGTATTATGACACCAGAGTAGAGATGGAGACAGTTTTTGGGTGTTTTGTTTTGTTTTGAGACAGAGTCTCACCCTTTCACCAGGCAGGAGTGCAGTGCCACAATCTTGGCTCACTGCAACCTCCACCTCCAGGGTTCAAATTATTCTCCTGCCTCACCCTCCCGAGTAGCTGGGACTGCAGGTGTGCACCACCATGGCCAGCTAATTTTTATATTTTTAGTAGAGATGGGGATTCACCTTGTGGGCCAGAGTGGCTTCGAAGTCTTGACCTCATAATCTGCCTACCTTGGCTTCCCAAAGTGCTGGAATAATAGGCGTGAGCCACAGTACATGGCTGAGAGTTTTAAGAGAGATGAAATGGGGTGGTTCCAAGATGGCCAAATAGGAACAGCTCCAATCTACAGGTCCAAGCCTGAGCGACACAGAAGACGGGTGATTTCTACATTTCCAACTGAGGTACCAGGTTCATCTCACTGAGGCTTGTCAGCCAGTGGGGGCAGAACAGTGGGTGCAGCCCACGCAGCATGAGCCAAATCAGGGTGAGATATCGCCTCACCCGGGAAGTGCAAGGGGTAAGGGAATTCCCTTTCCTAGCCAAAGGAATCCGTGACAGACAGCACCTGGAAAATTGGGTCACTTCCACGCTAACAAAGTTTTTCCAATGGTCTTAGCAAACGGTACAAAAGGAGATTATACCAGGCGCCTGGCTTGGAGGGTCCCACACCCACAGAGCCTTGCTCATGGTTAGCACAGCAGTCTGAGATCCAGCTGCAAGGCTGCAGCAAGGCTGGGGGAGGGGCGCCCACCATTGCTGGTTGGTAAACAAAGCAGCCAGGAAGCTCAAAATGGGTGAAGCACACTTCAGCTCAAGGAGGCCTCCCTGCCTCTGTAGACTCCACCTCTGGAGGCAGGACATAGTCAAACAAAAGGCAGCAGAAGCCTCTGCAGACTTAAATGTCCCTGTCTGACAGCGTCAAGGAGAGTAGTGGTTCTCCAAGCATGGAGTTTGAGTTCTGAGAATGGACACAGTGCCTCCTCAAGAGGGTCCCTGACCCCCTGAACACCAAGTAGCCTAACTGGGAGGCACCCCCCCAGTAGGGGCAGACTGACACTTCACATGGCTGGGTACCCCTCTGAGAGGAAGCTTCCAGAGGAACGATCAGGCAGTAGCATTTGCTGTTCAGCAATATTCACTGTTCTGCAGCCTCTGCTGCTGATACCCAGGCAAACAGGGTCTGGAGTAGACCTCCAGCAAATTCCAATAGACCTGCAACTGAGGGTCCTGACTGTTAGAAGGAAAACTAACAAACAGAAAGGACGTCCACACCAAAACCTCATCTGTACATCACCATCATCAAAGACCAAAGGTTGATAAAACCACAAAGATGGGGAAAAAACAGAGCTGAAAAGCTGAAAATTCTAAAAATCAAAATGCCACTCCCTCTCCAAAGGAACACAGCTCCATGCCAGCAAAGGAACAAAGCTAGATGGAAAATGACTTTGACGAGTTGAGAGAAAAAGGCTTCAGAAGATCAAACTTCTCTGAGCTAAAGGAGGAAGTTCGAATGCATGGCAAAGAAACTAACAACCTTGAAGAAAGATTAGATGAATAGCTAACTAGAATAAACAGTGTAGAGAAATCCTTAAATGACCTGACGGAGCTGAAAACCATGGCATGAGAACTACGTGACAAATGCACAAGCTTCGGTAGCTGATTCAATCAACTGGAAGAAAGGGTATCAGTGATTGAAGATCAACTGAATGAAATGAAGCAAGAAGAGAAGTTTAGAGAAAAAAGAGTAAAAAGAAATGAATAAAGCCTCCAAGAAATATGGGACTATGTGAAAAGACCAAATCTACGTCTGATTGGTATACCTGAAACTAACGAGGAGAATGGAACCAAGTTGAAAAACACTCTGCAGGATATTATCCAGGAGAACTTCCACAACCTAGCAAGGCAGGCCAACGTTCAAATTCAAGAAATACACAGAACGCTACAAAGATGGAGAAGAGAAACTACAAGACACATAATTGTCAGATTCATCAAAGTTGAAATGAAGGAAAAAATATTAAGGGCAGCCCAGAGAGAAAGGTCGGGTTACCGGCAAAGGGAAGCCTGTCAGACTAACAACGGACCTCTTGGCAGAAACTCTACAAGCCAGAAGAGAGTGGGGGCCAATATTCAACATTCCTAAAGAAAAGAATTTTCAACCCAGAATATCATATCCAGCCAAACTAAGCTTCATAAGTGAAGGAGAAATAAAATCCTTTACAAACAAGCAAAGGCTGAGAGATTGTGTCACCACAAGGCCTGCCCTACTAGAGCTCCTGAAGGAAGCACTAAACATGGAAAGGAACAACCGGTATCAGCCACTGCAAAAACATGCAAAATTGTAAAGCCCTTCGATGCTAGGAAGAAACTACATCAACTAACGAGCAAAACAAACAGCTAACATCATAACGACAGGATCAAATTTACGTATAACAATATTACCCTAAAAGGTAAATGGGCTAAATGCTCCTATTAAAAGACACAGACTAGCAAACTGGATAAAGAGTCAAGACCCATCAGTGTACTGTAATCGAGAGACCCATTTCACATGCAGAGACACACATCAGCTCAAAATAAAGGGATGGAAGAAGATCTACCAAGCAAATGGAAAACACAAAAAGGCAGGGGTTGCAATCCTAGTCTCTGATAAAACAGACTTTAAACCAACAAAGATCAAAAGTGAAAAAGAAGGCCATTACATAACGGTAAAGGCATCATTCAACAAGAACAGGTAACTATCCTAAATATATATGCACCCAATACAGGAGCACCTAGATTCATAAAGCAAGTCCTTAGAGACCTACAAAGAGACTTAGACTGCACACAGTAATAATGGGAGACTTCAACACCCCACTGTCAACATTAAACAGATCAACGAGACAGAAATTTAACAAGGATATCCAGGAATTGAACTCAGCTCTGCACAGAACTCAGTTCTGTAATAGATATCTACAGAACTCTCCACCCCAAATCAACAGAATGTACATTATTCTCAGCACCACATTGCACTTATTTCAAATTTCACCACATAGTTGGAAGTAAAGCACTCCTCAGCAAATGTAAAAGAACAGAAATTGTCAGAAACCGTTTCTCAGACCACAGTGCAATCAAACTAGAACTCAGGATTAAGAAACTGACTCAAAACCACACAACTACATGGAAACTGAATAACTTGCTCCTGAATGACTACTGGGTACATAACGAAATGAAGGCAGAAATAAAGATGTTCTTTGAAACAAGAACAACGAGAACAAAGACACAACATACCAGAATCTCTGGGACACGTTTAAAGCAGTGTGTAGAGGGAAATTTATAGCACCAAAAGCCCACAAGAGAAAGCAGGAAAGATCTAAAATTGACATCCTAACATCACAATTAAAAGAACTAAAGAAGCAAGAGCAAACACATTCAAAAGCTAGCAGAAGTCAGGAAATAACTAAGATCAGAGCAGAACTGAAGGAAATAGAGACAAAAAACCCTTCAAAAAATCAATGAATCCAGGAGCTGCTTTTTTGAAAAGATCAACAAAATTGATAGACTGCTAGCAAGATTAATAAAGAAGAAAAGAGAGAAGAATCAAATAGATTCAATAAAAAATGATAAAGAGGATATCACCACCGATCCCACAGAAATACAAACTACCATCAGACAATACTATAAACACCTCTATGCAAATAAACTAGAAAATCTAGAAGAAATGGATAAACTCCTCAAAACATACACCCTCTCAAGACAAAACCAGGAAGAAGTTGAATCTCTGAATAGACCAATAGCAGGCTCTGAAATTGAGGCAATAATTAATAGTTTACCAACCAAAAAAAGTCCAGGACCAGATAGATTCACAGCTGAATTCTACCAGAGGTACAAGAAGGAGCTGGTACCATTCCTTCTGAAACTATTCCAATCAATAGAAAAAGAGGGACTCCTTCCTAACTCATTTTATGAGGCCAGCATCATCCTGATACCAAAGCCTGGCAGAGACACAACAAAAAAAGAGAATTTTAGACCAATATCCCTGATGAACATTGATGCAAAAATCCTCAATAAAATACTTGCCAAACAAATCCAGCAGCACATCAAAAAGCTTATCCACCATGATCAAGTGGGCTTCATCCCTGGGATGCAAGGCTGGATCAACATACTCAAATCAATAAATGTAATCCAGCATATAAACAGAACCAGTGACAAAAACCATGTGATTATCTCAATAGATGCAGAAAAAGCCTTTGACAAAATTCAACAACCCTTCATGCTAAAAACTCTCAATAAATTAAGTATTGATGGGATGTATTTCAAAATAATAAGAGCTATCTATGACAAACCCACAGCCAATATCATACTGAATGGGCAAAAACTGGAAGCATTCCCTTTGAAAACTGGCACAAGACAAGGATGCCCTTTCTCACCACTCCTATTCAACATAGTGTTGGAAGTTCTGGCCAGGGCAATCAGGCAGGAGAAGGAAATAAAGGGTATTCTATTAGGAAAAGAGGAAGTCAAATTGTCCCTTTTTGCACATGACATGATTGTATATCTAGAAAACCCCATCATCTCAGCCCAAAATCTCCTTAGCTGATGGGGAACTTCAGCAAAGTCTCAGGATACAAAATCAATGTGCAAAAATCACAAGCATTCTTATGCACCAATAACAAAGAGAGAGCCAAATCATGAGTGAACTCCAATTCACAATTGCTTCAAAGAGAATAAAATACCTAGGAATCCAACTTACAAGGGATGTGAGGGACCTCTTCAAGGAAAACTACAAACCACTGCTCAACAAAATAAAAGAGGATACAAAAAATGGAAGAACATTCCATGCTCATGGGTAGGAAGAATCAATATCATGAAAATGGCCATACTGCCCAAGGTAATTTATAGATTCAATGCCATCCACATCAAGCTAATAATGACTTTCTTCACAGAATTGGAAAAAAATTACTTTAAAGTTCATATGGAACCAAAAAAGAGTCTGCATTGCCAAGTCAATCCTAAGCCAAAAGAACAAAGCTGGAGGCATCATGCTACCTGACTTCAAACTATACTACAAGGCTATAGTAACCAAAACAACATGGTACTGGTACCAAAACAGAGATACAGACCAACAGAACAGAACAGAGCCCTCAGAAATAATGCTGCATATCTAGTCATCTGATCTTTGACAAACCTGACAAAAACAAGAAATGGGGAAAGGATTCCCTGTTTAATAAATGGTGCTGGGAAAACTGGCTAGCCATATGTAGAAAGCTGAAACTGGATCCCTTCCTTACACCTTATACAAAAATTAATTCAAGATGGATTAAAGACTTACACGTTAGACCTAAAACCATTAAAACCCTAGAAGAAAACCTAGGCAATACCATTCAGGACATAGGCATGGGCAAGGACTTCATATCTAAAACTCCAAAAGCAATGGCAACAAAAGCCAAAATTGACAAATGGGATCTACTTAAACTAAAGAACTTCTGCACAGCAAAAGAGACTACTATCAGAGTGAACAGGCAACCTACAGAATGGGAGAAAATTTTCGCAACCTACTCATCTGACAAAGGGCCAATATCCAGAATCTACAATAAACTCAAACAAATTTACAAGAAAAAAACAAACAGCCCCATCAAAAATTGAGTGAAGGATATGAACAGACACTTCTCAAAAGAAGACATTTATGCAGCCAAAAGACACATGAAAAAATGCTCATCATCACTGGCCATCAGAGAAATGCAAATCAAAACCACAATGAGATACCATCTCACATCAGTTAGAATGGTGATCATTAAAAAGTCAGGAAACAACAGGTGCTGGAGAGGATGTGGAGAAATAGGAACACTTTTACACTGCTGGTGGGACTGTAAACTAGTTCAACCATTGTGGAAGTCACTGTGGCAATTCCTCAGGGATCTTGAACTAGAAATACCATTTGACCCAGCCATCCCATTACTGGGTATATACCCAAAGGATATAAATCATGCTGCTATAAAGACACATGCACACGTATATTTGTTGCAGCACTATTCACAATAGCAAAGACTTGGAACCAACCCAAATGTTCAACAATGATAGACTGGATTAAGAAAATGTGGCACATATACACCATGGAATACTATGGAGGCATAAAAAATGATGAGTTCATGTCCTTTGTAGGGACATGGATGAAACTGGAAACCATCATTCTCAGCAAACTATCACAAGGACAAAAAACCAAACACCGCATGTTCTCACTCATAGGTGGGTATTGAACAATGAGAACACATGGACACAGGAAGGGGAACATCGCACACTGGGGCCTGTTGTGGGGTGGGTGGAGGTGGGAGTGATAGCATTAAGAGATATACCTAATGTTAAATGAGGAGTTGATGGGTGCAGCACACTAACATGGCACATGTATGTATATGTAACTAACCTGCACGTTGTGCACAAGTACCCTAAAACTTAAAGTATAATTAAAAAGAAAAAAGAAAATGTGGCACATATACACCATGGAATACTATGCAGTCATAAAAAACGATGAGTTCATGTCCTTTGTATGGACATGGATGCATCTGGAAACCATCATTCTCAGCAAACTATCACAAGGACAAAAAACCAAACACTGCATGTTCTCACTCATAGGTGGGAATTGAACAATGAGAACACTTGGACACAGGAAGGAGACCATCACACACCAGGGCCTGTCGTGGGGTGGGTGGATGGGGGAGGGATAGCATTAGGAGATAAAGCTAATGTAAAAGACAAGTTAATGGGTGCAGCACACCAACATGGCACATGTATACATATGTAACAAACCTGCACGTTGTGCACATGTACCCTAGAACTTAAAGTATAATAAATTAAAAAATAAATAAATAAAAGAGAGATGAAATGAAAAGGAGAAGCAAGCAAAGAAGAAAAGAAGTTGTCTGCACCATTTTATTTTATTTTCCTAGTTAATGGAGTATCTTTGTTCCAACTGAGCATACAGGTCAACTAATTTACAGGTTTTACATGGCTTTTGCTTAGACAACCAAAGTCTTCTCCCATTTGGGGCCAAATATTGTTACACAGACTGAAAATACACATAGTTAAACAAAAGTCAGCATTAGATTAGACTGAGTTATAAGTGGTTTCAGCTTTTTAGTATTGCTTTTATTCTGTGAGACATGAACCCAAAGAAAATTCAAAATCTAACCTGACCAGGATCCCATTTTTTTTTGTTTGTTTGCTTGTTTGTTTGTTTGTTTGTTTGCAACTTCCACCTCTTGGATTCAAGCAATTCTCCTGCCTCAGCCTCCTGAGTAGCTGGGACTACAGGCCTGTGCCACCATGCCTGGCTAATATTTGTATTTTTAGTACAGACTGGGTTTCACCATGTTGGCCAGGCTAGTCTCGACCTCCTGACCTCAAATGATCTGCCCACCTTGGCCTCCCAAAGTGCTGGGATTACAGGTGTGAGCCACTGTGCCCCACTGATCCTCTAGATTTTGGCTTGAATCCACAGTCCTGGAAAAGGGTGGAACTGAAACTCACAATCATAGGCCACAATGGTGAGAAACCAAAACCCATAATACCCATAACAAAACACTTCTAGTGTGGGGCATAAGCCCACAATTCTAAAATGCAAGGGTGGTTTCAACCTTATAATCCTATAATGAGATCAAACACAAGTAAAGGTACAGGCATACATTTTAATAAGGTACTTACCAGAAGGCATCTAATATGAAAGCAGTGTCTTTTGCCATAGGAGATTAGACCTGAGGGGGCCTCAGGGAACATAAAAGACACTTAAGAGCATCACAGTGCAGAATCAAAAACTCCACACCAAGCCTCTAGAGAAACTAATGTAGATGGTCACTAAGGGTTGGTGAAATGGGCCTGCATTTCACCAAGGAGCTTCAGCACCCCAGATAGGTTTAGTCTCATCTAAGGTGCCAGGCTGTTATTGAGCAAAAAAGTGTTTGCTACTTAACACATTAGAAGACAATACCATGACACTTTGTTTTTGAGAAAAGAAATGCTTTCTATTTCAAGTCCACTCAAAAGAAGACAAAAATATCAAGCTCAAATATATCTTCTTGTACTGGCTTAAAACACTATTTTTATAAAAAATATTCAGAAGGTGAATACTGAAATTAACAGGAGACTGGCTGGAAGAAAAAGAAAGTCTGGAAAGTCCTTGGGTATGTGTGCTTATTGTTTATGTTGCATGTGGGCCTTACGTGAAAGTTTGAAAAAACTTCTTACAAAATATTTGGTGGAAATTTGGGTTTTGACATCAGCAAGCTTGTTCTGCTAAGATTCACTAGACTGCCTTCATCTTTTGGGGTCTTCCTTATTGTCCTTCAGGAAAGGAAATAGTTGCCACTTTTGAGGATTTGAAGCTCAGGATTTTTCTTTTACTTTATCTACATAAAAAGCATACTAATATAATTTTTTATTCCTTAGAGTAGGTAGAAGTGGAATGGCAACAATGGAGATGAGACAAATATGTCTCCAAATGGAATGGCTACTACTACTTTGATTTGTTTTTAATAATGTTATACGGGAATATAGAAAAAGATGCTGAAAGTATGAAAACTTTCACCAGCATTCCATAATCTCTCCAAAAATAAAACCCCCAATTTACTTTGTATGTATTGGAAAACACAAATAACCTCATAGAAATGGAATAAGGTGAGGTGAGATTTATGTCTATCAGGTAAGAGAAAAAGAGTAGATTGTCATAGAATAAAGAGTTTATTTCATATTTGAACTTAAAATAGTGAGGGCAGCACACCAAAAATAGAAAACAAACCCAGGCAAAGCTGACAAAAAGGCTCTTATAGCTTTAGTTGTATTGTAGGACTACAAAAGGAATAGAGTAATCTTCTAAATTTTGAAGAAATACATTTGTGAGCCAATATAATCTTCTATTCTCATCTTGGGTAAAATAAAAGGAAAATCTTGAGTCCAGATTTCTCAGTGTTACAACAACAGAAATTTCCTTTCATAGAAAAAAATAAAGAAGTCCCAAAAGGTAAATGTAGTAAAAACATTCTGTAAATTACATTGAGGACTTACTGTAAAAAATATATATATATTCTCCTGTTCAAGTCATTCAGTAAATGATAAATTATTATAAATATATAGATAGTCTAGAAATACTAACACAATATTTTTAAAATCATATGTCAATAGTCTTTTTTTTTTTTTGAGAAGGAGTCTCTCTGTCACCAGGCTAGAGTGCAGTGGCACAAACTCGGTTCATTGCAACCTCTGCCTCCCGGGTTCAAGAGATTCTCCTGCCTGAGCCTCCTAAGTAGCTGGGATTACAGACACACCCCACCACACCCAGCTAATTTTTCGATTTTTACCATGTTGGTCAGGCTGGTCTCGAACTCCTGACCTTGTGATCTGCCTGCCTCAGCCTCTCAAAGTGAACAATCTTTTCAAAATGTAGCACTGTATCTTTCTTCTTTTACAGATTCCCAAGAGAAAGAAAGCTGAGAAAGAACTGTTCTCTGTTCAATCCGACAAGTCACACAGATTTCTCATGATTTCCAAGAGACATCTTGTGTCCTCCAATTGTTGAATATCCAAGAGCTCCTCCCTATTTCAGAGTGACATATATAAACCCCCAGAAAGCATCTGGGATGCTGAACATCAGTTTGTTTCTTTGTGCAAAAATTAGTATTAGAAAGAGGACACATCAAATAGCATGACCTCAGGATTAGTCTACCATTCTCTTCTGGTATTCAATACAGGTCACTTTCTAAATCCCTAAGAGAAAGTGGCAATTGGAGTATGATTGCTGCTTCTTGCTTCAATAATCTCACAAATCTATTTTGCTATAGCAATAATTTATCTAATTATTTTCTCTTAACTTGGTCATTTAACAGAAGTAGCTATGGTATGCTCAAGAGAAATACAGCCTTCCAAAACCATTGCAGCCACCTGGGCATTTCACTCAGTTTGCCAGTCAATTTGATCCTGCATTGTTCATAACAGAATTTGTAGTCTATGACTCCTACTCTCATCCCTAGTCCTCTGGTTTTCCCATGAAACCTGAAAAAACACAATTTAGTGTGCAATCCCCAGGTGTGCAAAAATTTAGAACTACAACACACCAGGAAAGGAGGAGCTTCAACTCATGAGCAAGTGCATGGTCTTGAACTTCTTCCTGGACACTTTTAACCAGGAAAACCACAGCCAAAGGAAAACCTCAAAATCAATGCCTACTGTCATGCTAGAGATATGTCTCCAATTTCAATCAGAGCAGTGGACTGGAACTCCTCTACTAACTCAAGAAAAAAGACCTCCAAAACTTTAAACTTGGCCAGGGTGAAATGGCAGATTCTCTGTAGTGAGAAAAGAAAACAGTTAGGCAGTTAGGGTGCATCCTGGATAAAGCTCCTTTAACAGAGAAACAGCCTGAAAAATCAGGCTGCAGGGACAGATAAGGGTGCTAGCACAGGAAACTGGCCCAGAGACATGCATGCAACTGTACTAGTAAAGGAACAAGGTGCAATATAGAATGCCTCAGTCCTTTGTACCATAGACATGCTCACAGCTCAAATGAAAAAAGAATAAGGCCTGACATAGAAACACCTCAGTTCTTTGTGCCTCAGAAATGCCTGAGCTACACTGATAAGAGAGAAGCCCTAACATAGAAAAGCCTTTGCCTTTGGTATAACCATCAGGCTCCCAGAAAATAGTATCTTCTTTTGTGGGCATGTATACGGTGGGGTGTGGTGGGCTCTAGTGGAACTTTCTTTTTTTTTTGGACATGCTTTGGACTGTGATCCCAGCCTCTGTGAATCACCACTTCAGTCCCTGATTGGTCCCAGGTCAAGCTCCAGTATTAAAAATACTGCACTCATTCATACCAGGCAGAAGTCCCCACAGCCCAAGCTTAGTAGCACTTTCAACAAGACTTCCCAGAGATCAATCAGCACATTTCCACCCTTCCCAGTTCATTAAAATCTTGAACTTAGCCTCACTGTTGGCAAACATCTCAAGCCCCCTCTCTCCATCGCAGAGAGCTTTTTTTCCCCACTTATTAAATTTTCACTACAACCTCACCCTTGTTTCCAGACTTCTTAATTTTCTTTATCATGAAAAAAAGAACTCCTGATGATACCTCACAACAAGGGACTGCTACTTTGTGGTGCATTGGTGAGACTGTAACATCTTTGGTTCATTGGCCAGGAAAAAGACCCATCAAAAGAGTGAGTAGAAGTGGATTCTTAACTTTTTACTTTCATTTCTGACATTTCTCAGCCTCAGTATTTTCAAGAGTAAGTGAAACACTGGGCCCCTGTCAGCCAGTTAAAAGCCAGTAGTGTGGCTGCAAGCCCTAAAAGACTAAGGAGACAGGTGTGCTGGAGAGGATTTTGCCAATCCCATTTTACCTTAAAATGTTGAGAATGTTGGCTGTGTTTCAATTTAATTTTCTTTCACTGACTGCTATGGCTGTTGGCTCTGTGGCTTCATAACCTAAAGGCCCATGGACTGGCCCTATTGGCTGATAGTATTTCAGGGAGTTTTCACTAGGATTTCCAGCCTTTCCCATTGCATTTGCTTTCTTTCTTTTCATTACTATTATGGCTTCTATCCCTTCTTTAAGTACAAAGTTGTGAATATTTTTGCAACCTGAGAATATAATCTTCTTGGGTAAAATCAGCTGTTTCTTAGTAATCAGGAATGTAATTCAAAGAGTTACTGATTTTGTGATTTTCTAGAAACAATAGGAACTTAATGTTTTAGTCTAATTTTTCACCTTTAAGGGCCTTTTTGCCTCAATAATAAACATTGATGGCACTGAATGGGAAGATATTCCACTGAGTGAATACCCTTCTATTTGTTTTTTTTTCTTTCCTCCCTGTAAGAATTCAGCACTGCTCAATGAATCTAAATGCCTCCTTTATTTTTTTTTGAGACAAGTTAATTTTCTTTTGCTGCAAGGCATACTGTGGGGACAGGTTTGTCAAGCCCCAAATATCTCTTTCTAAATTCTGTCTGGAAAGAATTTGGAATCAAAGTTACCTAACATTTCAAACCTTACAGCTCCACATAGTGGAGTGGGATTTTCCTCTGTGGGGAGCCTTGTTGACCCCTCACACCAAATCTTTACTTTCCCAATTATTCTTCCTCCTACATTCCTCTAACAGTGATCAGACTCCATAACTGATCTATAGGCAGAAAACTTTCACTTTCAGAAGTCAAGAGGAAGCTGCTCTTCAGAGCAGTACCCATCAAAGAAAAAATACCCATTTATTCCTATGTTCTTTCAGGTACCTGTTCTGCATCCAGCTACACTGGCTTTTAAATAAACAATGGATTTTATATTTGGGAATCAATTCATCCATTTTCTCTAGGATTTCACTATTTCACTAGGGACATGGCAAAGGAAGCCAGGGACAGTATTAAGACACTCTTCATTAAAGGGCCTCCCCAAATTCAACTACTACATAATCCCTCCCAGGCTCCTGGAATACCTCGGGAGCATTTTTGAAATGAGGAATCACCAGCAGAGAGCTAGGGTATCATGCACATAAACATGATTACTCTTGCCAGCTAGTTCCTCCAGATCCATGGATGAAGGTCATGATTGAATTCATGGATGACACTATGATGGTCACCAGGCCTCAGAGGACATTTAAGGGAAGAAATTATGGGAGACACTTTTTCTATTTTCTTTCCTCCTTGGGTAATTACTTCAAATGAAAAAGAAACTAAGGTACACCTTCTTTTCCTCTCTCTTTTAGATGAGTAACAAACCATCTTCAGCCTGCAGTCTTCTCAAATGCATTCTGAAACACTAAAACTGCTGTGACCCTCAGACTCTAAGAAAAAAATTCCTCATTTTTTTTGCACAAGATTGTTGCCATCTTACCAACTGCAGGAAGGGCAGAAGGTCTGGCCTCCTGAGAGAAGTGTTAATTTCAATACTATCCAACAACTAGATCTTTCTGCTAATGGGAGAGAAAATGATCCAAGTTTCCATATGTACAAGCTTTCTTTTCCTTGTGAGACAACCCAGATTTTTATAAGCATTGTAAAATTGACCCTGCCCTCTTGGCAGTCATATCAGACAAACCTACAAATGATAATTCCCCAAAGTCAGAAAGACAAATTCCTGGGGAACCCTCTAATGCACCTTCTGGATGCCCTACCTGATCCCCTTACCTGGGGTTCCATTTACCATTTTATGAGATCCTCTGGATATGCCACCTAAGTAACACACCCAACTTCACTGTTGCCCTTACAAGAAATGTCTGATGGACATGGTGCTACTATACTTAAACTTTCTTTTCCATTTCAGGACCTTAGACAAATAAAGGGGGACCTAGGCAAGTTTTCTATGATCCAGATAGATATGTAGAGGCCTTCCAAAATTTAACCCAAGTGTTTGATCCTACCTGGAGAGATGCTATGTTACTTCTAAACCAAACCCTAACTGTCAGAAATACAGGCAGGCCTACAAGAAGCAGAAATATTCAGAGACAACATATCTCCTGTAGCAGTCTAAAAGTCTACAAGGAAAGATATCTAGAAGAAGATATGCTAAAAGAGCAAAGCAAGGCCAGGCGTAGTGGCTCATGCCTGTAATCCCAGCACTTTGGGAGGCTGAGGCGGGCGAATCATGAAGTCAGAAGATCTAGACCATCCTAGCTAATATGGTTAAACCCTGTCTCTACTAATAATACAAAAAAAATTAGCTGGGTGTGGTGGTGGGCACCTTTAGTCCCAACTACTCGGGAGGCTGAGGTAGGAGAATGGCATGAACCCAGGTGGCAGAGGTTGCAGTGAGCCAAGATCCCACCACTGCACTCCAGCCTGGGCAAGAGTGTGAGACTCTGTCTCAAAAAAAAAAAAAAAAAAAAAAAAAAAAAAGAAAGAAAGAAAAAGAAAAAGAAAAGAGAGAGAGAGAGGAAAGGAAGGTGAACAAATAGCAAAATCTCCATTCCCAATAGGGAGGAAGGCAGTGCCCCTTTGAACCTGTAATTGGAATTCCATTAATTATGTAGATGAGCGGAAAAGAAAACACTTTCTAATGTGCATACAGGAAGGCCTATGAGGGACTATAGCCAGACATTTTCATTACTCTCAGCTATCCATGATATATCAAAAGCCAGATGAAAATCTGTCAGCTTTTGTGTAAAGGTGGAGAGAAGCTTCAGTGAAACACATCTCTCTGTATTTTGATTCTGTTAAAAGACAGTTAATCCTAAAAGAAAAGTAAGACAAGTTCAAACAGGCCACCTGTTCAAACAGCACCCTAGAGAACTTCCTAAAAGTGGCTACCTAAGTCTTTTACAAGGAGCTAGGAGGAGGTCCAGGAGAAAAAAGAACAGAGGCTCCAGTGGCCTCATTATAGGCCTAAAAAATCCAGGATTCATGAGGTGTGCCTGCTAACTGCTACCAATGTGGAAAGCCAGGACATGTTAGCAAGAACTGCTGTGACAAAAAAAGGAAGCCATCTTGACTCTGTTCAGCCTATGATGGGGTCCACTGGAAGTAAAACTGTCCCAGGAAACATAAACCAGCAGGTCTGTGGGTGCAGTCTCCCAGATAGTACAGCAAGATGGAGAAGTCCCAAGACTCAGTTCCCTTGCACCAACGGCTCAAGCTGCCATCACTATCCAGGAGCACTGGGTGATTCTGGAGATGGAAGGGAGAAAGGTAGACTTCTTTCTGGACACTGGAGTTTGTCTCTCTGTTCTCCTTTCTAATCTAGGCCTTCTATTCTCCCATAGCACAAATGTGGTGAGCATTTCCAAAAAAAATTCCTTAGCTATCTCTTTCTAAGACCTTTGTCATAGTTAGGGAAACCTGCTATTTACCCATGTTTTTTAAAACCATGCTTGACAGTCACAATTCTTAACTAGGTAGAGATATCCCAGCCTATATGTGAGCCAGCATCCTAATGACTCCAGAACAAAGTCTTTATCTTCATTTCATGGAAACCTGTATTAACCCAGAAGTATGGGCAACTCCAGAAAAAATTGGCTGGGCTAGTCATTGTACCAGTACAGATTCACCTTAAGTATCCCACTTATTTTACTAAATATCTCCTAAAGTCAGAATCTAGGAAAGGGCTAAAAGCCTTCATTGATAACCTAAAAGCACAGGGCTTTCTTAGGCCCTGAAACAACCCTTGCAACACCCCAAAATTAAAAGGGCGGAAACACAATAGGAAATGGAGGCTAGTTCAGGACTTCTATCTCATTAATGAGGCTGTGGTTACACATCATCTGCTAGTTCCTAATCCTTATATATTGCTAACTTTGAGGGAATCCAAAGTTTCACAGTTCTAGACCTGAAGAATGCCTTTTTCTGAATACCATTGCACCCTGACTCTCAATACTTGTTTGCCTTCAAAGATTCCCCAAAAGACCACCCAGTTAACCTGCATGGTGCTGCCTCAGGGATTCTGAGACACCTCTCACTTGTTTGTTTTGGCATTTCCAAAAGACCTCTCTGAATTCTCTCATCTTCAGATTAAAATTTTACAGTATGTTGATGACATTCTACTTTGTGTCTCAATTGACAGGGCTTTGCAGGAAGGCACTAAAGCTATTCTTAATTTCCTAGGTGACAGAGGGTATAAGATTTCAAAATCTAATGCTCAGCTTTGTCAAATTTCAGTAAAGTATCTAGAGGAGATCAGAACATTGGGTGAAGAGAGAATTAAGTGGAAAATTTCCCCTTTTCCCCTTTCCAAGCCCCTCAGCTAGGTGGCTTTTTGGGCATTATAGGTTTCTGCAGGTTGTGGATACTGGGGTACAGCAAAATACCTTGCCTCCTACATGGCTTTGTGAAAGAAACTCAGAAAGCTAAAATTCACTCCCTGACCTGAGAACCTGAGTTTCAAAAGGCTTTTAACCAATTAAAACAAGCCTTACTTAAAGCACCTGTCACCAGCCTTCCCATAAGAAATTCATTTAATCTTTATGCCTCAGAAAGGAAAGGGATAGCCTTGGCAGTTTTTACTCAGGCCCAATGTCCAGCCCAGTAGCCAGTCAGTTACCTAAGCAAGAAGATCAACTTGGTGGCCAAAGGATACCTAGCTTGCCTCTAAGCAGTTTCAGTAGTGGCCTTGTTTGTTTCAGTAACTAATAAGGTGACCATGGGGAATGTCTTAACTGTTCACACACCCGTCATGTAGCAGGACTGCTGCACTCTAAAGGAAGATGCTGGCTAGCAGAAAATTGCCTTCTCAAATATTAAGCTTTGCTGCTGGAGGGATCTGAAGTTCAGTGAAAAACCTATCCTTGCCTAAACTCAGCCAACTTCCTCCCAGAGAAAACTAAACAAGCTGAACATGACTGTGAACAGATAGTAGTCCAAACCTAAGAAGCCATGCAGGACCTTAAAGAACTTCCCTAGAAAACCCAGACTAGACCACTTTTAATAATGACACCTCTTTTGTAGAACAAGGAACCCAAGAAGCAGCATATACTCATGGAACAATAGCAACCCTGGGTGAAATTATTGATGGTATGTCTCTCTCACAGGCGCCAGTGCTCAATTAGCTGAGTTAATTTGCCCTCATGAGGGTGCTCAAACTAAGGAAAGGAAAGGTCGTAAGCATTTATACTTATTCTAGATATGCTTTTCTGGTTTTTCATGCCTTTTTGGAAAGAAAAACACTCACTAACTCCTAATGGTTATCCCATGAAATACCATCAGGAAGTTGACAGAATGTTGTCCTGTTTTTCTTTCACAGAGAATGGCAGTAATATATTGCAGAGTTTACCAGAAGTGGATAGATAACATCACTGAGGGAAACAGACTAGCAGATTAAGCAACTTAGTCAGCAACAAAAAGATTAGAGTGATGTTACACACTCGAAGCTCTTCCAAAGTGGGAATTTTCCAAAGAGAAAATAAAGCCTCAGTATTTCCCTGCAAAGATAGAATAGGCTACTTCTGAAGGATACATTTTTCAGTCCTTGGATGGTTACAGTGGATGGAAGGAAAATTCCACTTGTCATCCTCCAGTCAGTGAAAAGTTCCTGATGTCCTTTACCAAGGTTTTCACTTAGGAAATGATAAAACCTACCAAGTAGGCCAGAGATTGTTCTCAAATAAAAATATGATAAAAACAGTAAAACAGATTTTTAATACTTGTGAAACCTGCCTTAAAAATAATTCCCTCTAGAGATGGCTTCTCTGCCAGAGCTCAACTTCACTAACTAGGTAAAGACATTTCCATGCCAAACAGAAAAGGGCTCTTAGTAAAAGCAGTAATCAATGAGATAATTACTCTCTTTGAACTCCCTCAACACTTCCAAAGAGACAATGGCCCCTCATTTAAAGCAACTATTACCCAAGGTGTCTCAAGAGACCTGGGCATACAATGCTATCTTCATTGGGCCTGGAGACCACAGTCTTCAGAAAAGACGGAGAAAATAAATAATATTATTAAAAGACTTACCAGGAAGCTGTCTCAAGCAACTAACTCTCTCGGATTACTCTTCTTTTCATGGCCTTAATCTGGATGAGAAACACCTTTTTAAACTTGTTGAGTCACTTTAAAAATGGTATATGGACAGGCTTAAATAAACAAGATTTCTCATTAGATCAGGAACTTATGAAATGGTTAAACATATAACCTCCCTAATCCACTTCCAATGTGAATTAAAACTATTATCAGAATTCCATCCGTGAGAACTGCACCTAACTCGTTTTAACCCAGAAGACTTGGTACTGGTTAAGGCTCTTCCCTTTTTTTCCCTGTCTAGACCCAGTTGGGAGGGACCTTATACTGTCCTCCTCTCCAACCGCTCAGTGGTGAAGTTTGCAGGAATCAACTCTTGGATTCATCATGATCTAGTCACAGCTTGGAAAGCAGAGACAGCAGCCCCTAACAATCAAGAAAAATTTAAATGAGTAAAACTTCAGAAGGAAATTATCTACTACATCATACTTATAGGAATTATTTTGCTTACTTTTTTTTTTCAGTAGGGTTTTACACTGTGGCACCTTCTGAGTGGAATATTGACCAGAGTCTCAACAGCCATAAACTTTTGCTGAATTATTATCCTTATAGCAGAAATAGTAGTCACAGATTAGATTATGTTACTATCAAGTTTACTAACATTCACTGTTAAATGGAGCAACGTTTCACACCCCTTGGCTCTTACAAAATCAACAATCACTCATCTACACAAAAAGACTAATTTCTGGGTTTGCCCTAATTGTTGAGTTCAATATCAGTGAGGGATCTTTTGCTGTTTCAGAACTCACTGTTAGCTCTACCTTTATACATTATAGACTTTCAAGGTATAAATAGAACATGGTATGAGTGCACTTTTGACTCCAGTTGAAAGATACATCCCTCCAGGGTAAGAAATTGGCCAAGCTTTCACTTCAGCCCGTGACTGTTCCCAGGCCTAGGTTCTGGGCCAAGCTGAGTAGGCTTCTCCAAGACAGGCTGCAGAGCAGACAGCACATTCTTCCCTTTCTCAGTTCATAGAAACCCTTGACTCAGCCTTATATTGGGCAATCCTCTTAGGCCTCCTCTCCAGTGTAAAGAGCTTTTTGTTGTTGTTATTAAACTTTTGCCACGACTTCACACTTGTGTCTACACTCCTTAATTTTCTTGGTTGTGAGACAAAGATCTCTGGGTCTACTCACAATGAGAGACAAGGAGAGACTGCTACATTGTCTTGCATTGGCAAAACTGTAACAGTAGCATCTCAGTCCCAAGAGCAGTTTTATCTGCTAAAGTTCAGAGCCACCAAGAGTAGGCATAGTACATCCTGGGGAGGACTCATCCCAAAAGTAATGCAGTAGAACAGGCTTTTGTGCCACAAGCAAAGAGGCAATTTTTATGTACCCAGGCAATTTTAAGTGACCCAGAGTAGTAAATTCAAATATTTTAGTACACTGAGTAACTGAGTAGGTGCAGAAGGCAGGCTTCTCAAATTTTTTTATCCAAAATACAGTTTTATTCAAACAGAAGACAGTCTAATATAAATGATAACCATGCTCTGCTGAAGCAAGAATAGGTAATGAAATTCTGCAATTACAGTAAACTCTTCTGCTTAAAAAAGCAGTGGATTATATGAGTTGCTGATAAAGTGCTAGAGGATAAAGAAGGGTAAGATGATATAGACAAGGCCAGGATCTGGCTATTTTGGGAAACAGGAACAGCTCTAGATGTGGCTGAAGGCCATATAGACATATTTGATATTTAATAAACTAAAGTGTTATTTTCTTTTGCTCAGTATATCCCAGGGCTTTGGACAAGAATAACTTGAGTGTCACTACTTATAAAATCAGGCGATATCAATTTGGAATGAAGGATAACTTACTTCTACATCTAGCCAAGCTAAGCTAGGGTATAACTTCACTAGCCAAGTTAGATGCAGGCAGTGAACTACATAGTCTGCTGTAAGTATATTTTTTGTTAGATTATATAACTATATTTTGCCAGCACAGAGGAGACCCTGAACTAGTTGCCCACTAGAAGGCCAGTTCTGGGGTTTTCGTGAATTGGAAAGGATAATTAATGTGTTTAGTCTGTGGGCTGTCTTGGAGATTATGTGACTCAACTTTGCCTGGGATGAATCAAGGGGACAAGTGAAAATTTATAGAGGTTGATTAGCTTGGTCAGGACCTATTAGGAGCTGAAGTAAAAACTTGCCCCAAGACCTTGGCCCAGGACCAATCAGAGGCTGAAGTGATAATTCATATAAGGCCAATTCTCAGTCCAAGAAAAGGAAACTGCCCACTGAAACTACTAAAGCCCACTGTGTTCATGCCAAAAAAAGGGGAAGACACTTTTTACTGAGAGACCACTGACTATACAAAGGGCAAAGTCATCATTATGCCAGGTCTTGTTCCCTATCTGAATGAGCTGAAAGTTTGGGTAAATTTTTATCCAGTTGGACTGGTGGTACTTTTATTTTGCAGCTGCAGGCATGTCTCCAGGCAAAACATCCTGTGTTACTTTCCTTATCTGTGCCCACAGGTTGATTTACATTCCAGGCTGCTTTTTATGTGTTGTGGTGATGAGGCATTGACTTACAGGTTGGGGGCTGAGGACCCTTCCCTTGCTATCTACCTAACACAAGCCAACTAACTTGTTTCAGTCCCCCCTCAGTAGTAGAGACAATAATTGCTGTTAGGGAAATTGGGTCTTGATCTTTTTGGCTACTTCCTGCTGGAAAGTAGTGTTGTATAGGAAACAGCAGCTTCTGGGGCCAGTTTAAGGGTCCTCAGAAGAGAGGCACATCCATACATGGTCTCAATTGAATTATCCTTTGGAGCTCGATAGTTTTTAGGTGAGAGGGAATAATTCAAGTTATAGTAAGTATGCAAGCTCCAAACATTAACAGAAAACATAAAAAAGAGAGGTCCTAGTAGAAGAGCTAACCAGGTCCAAAATGAAGACGAATCCATTCAAAAGGGACTGTACCAACTGGAAACAGAGTTTTAGTTTGTCCTTAATTTGTTAATAATTGTAATTTGGTTTTGACGCATTTGTAAATTTTTCTTTTCCTGACTGGAACTGTTGACCCAGAAACAGTATGTTTTATTTAAGACTGCACAGGCGCCCCCTACTTTAGTCATAAAGACATTAAGAGTTTGTTTATTTTGCTTTACACCAAGTCTAAAAAATGTAGGGATTATTGTTGGGCTTCTATGGCTGCTACAGTTGCTTTCCACCCTTGTACCATGACAGAAATATTAGGAACCGATATTTCAAAAAGGACATATCACCAAACTAAAATAGTCCTGTGGCTATTGCATGTCCTAGTTCTGTTTTTTTTTTTAACATTAAATCAAATTGTCACATGTATGTCCTTTTCAGTTTTCTGTTTTAGTTAAATTTTCATATGATAGCATAAGGATAAGTAATCTTTAGTTTTGCTGTGTGTAAGAGAATGCACTCTCTCTAAAAAAAAAATAAAAAAATGTATTAAAAAAATAAAAAAATCCCAGATTGGGGATTTCACCCGGCAATGCTACCGTGATAGAGGGGTTTAAAAATAACAGAGTGGAAACCACTGCCACTATAGTGTATGTTCCTTTTTAGTGCCTGGGGAGGATTAAGTGTAGCCGGGAGTCAAAAATAAAGTCAAGTCCCATTCCCTGGAGAAATAGTTCTATGCTGTAGTTTAGGGAGATTTTAGCTGGATTTAGTTCAGGCCTTTAAGGTCACCTTCCCTACATTTAATGGGAGTATTCTCAAGATAAGTATATTTATACAAGTATAAGCATCCATGGTACCATTTTGAACTTTACGTGTTGGATGGAAAACTTTTTTGGCAAATATATATTTAAGATTATGAACACAATATGTCCTGGCTAGTATCTTAGATAACCCTTTTTACAGGGGTTATTGTTCCAGATATCCCCTGTCCATTCACAAATTTGCAGAGTACTACCATTATTAAATATTATACAAGAGTCTGGAATTTCATGTGTGGGCAAATTTTGGAAAGACCATATGTTATTTATTACCTGATAATACAGTTGGCAGGGGGTGGCATTTTTGCCCAGGGTAGCAATTCCCAGTGAGAATTCCACCTGGGAAGTTTGGCTAGATTGTTAGAGAAATTTCCATAATCTAGCCCAATGTTTGCTATTACCCTTGTTTCTTCTTAGTCTCTAGATCACTGTGCTTTTAGCAATTATAAGCATAGTGTTGCAATATTTAGTTTCCAAAGTCTGGTATTTTTCCTCTGCTCTTAAAGCACAGGGAGGTTTTTTTTTAAATTAGCTTAAGAACGTGAGTTTTACCTTTGGGGTGTGTGTCTTTTTGAGTGGAGTTAAAAATGCTTTCATACAATGTTTTATTTATACCTATTAAATCCTTAATTGTTAAATATAAAGCCTGCAGAGGAAACACTAAGATAGTGAGTCCCAGAGTATTAAAGAGTTATTTGGTGTTATTAAACTGAGAAAATGATTAAGGGCAAACTTAGCAATCAGCCTTGCTGTATAGATGAGCAATGGCTGATACTATGTGGTCCAAAGGATGTGAAGCATTACTACATCTAACAGTGAATGTTAGTAAATTTGGTAGTAACAAAATCTTCATGTTTATTTTTATGTTGACTATTATACCTGCTATAAGAATAATGACTAAGCAAAAGATTATGGCAATTGAGACTCCTATCTGCTATTTCATTTAGAAGGTGCCACAGTATAAAGTCCTACTGCAAAAAGCAAAGTAAGCACCACAATTTCTGTAAGTATGATGTAATAAATTTCTATTTAAAATCTTAATTACATGGATATATAATTTCCTCTTGGGGGTCTTTGTGGTTACAAATGTAATCACGTGGATTGGTAGAATCTTACTACAAGTATACATTAAAGGAAAGTTTTAGTATTTGACAACACATCTCAAGAAAAAGGTAGAAATGACTAAATGTATCTGATAAGGTAAAGTTGATATTGAGCTGAACAGATAGTTCTTAGTAACTTAATCATTTTTTGTAATTTTTGATGGAATTTTCTGGCTTTTTGAAACTAATATTTGAAATGCTTTTTTGGGCTGTCAGGGGTCATTCCCCCTGCATTCCAAGACTTTATTCCAGTGTGATGAATCTATGAGTTGAGTCCCACAATCTTTACCACCGAGCAAGGGTGGAGAAAGATGGTGTGAGGTCCCTACCAGTTGGAACATAGAGAGTGAAAAAAAGGGAAAAGCCTTTGCAAGTATCAACTCTCCTGAGTTGAACAGAGGTGGCACTAGTTTTGGGGATTTTATTTTGATAGCTTTTTTAATTTCTGCTAGAAGTAGGACAGGGAGATTACATATTTAAAAATATAGAAGTTTCTTGATATAAAGTTATTGGTAAGGAAAGGCTGTCCATACACTATTTTAAAAGGGCTCCACCCCAACCTTAAATGGGTGTTCTTTCCCCACATTAAGACTACAGGAAGGAGAGCAATTCAGGGGAAATGAGTTTTTTGAGAAACTTCCCTAAGTGTCTTTTAATGGTATCATGTTTTTTTTATCTTCCCTGAATACTGGTCTCCTAGCACAATAAAGGTCATATTGTGGCCAGACGTGGTGGCTCATGCCTGTAATCCCATCACTTTGGGAGGCCGAGCTGGGCGAATCACTAGGTCAAGAGATTGAGACCAACCTGGACAACATGGTGAAACCCTGTCTCTATTGAAAATGCAAAAATTCCTCTCCCTCTCCCTCTCCTTCTTCGGTCTCCCTCTGTTGCCGAGGCTGGACTGTGTTGCCGAGGCTGGACTGTATTGCCGTGGTCTCGGCTCGCTGTAGCCTCCCTGCCCTGGGCTCCCGTGGTTCCCCTGCCTCGGCCTGCCAAGTGCCTGGGATTGGAGGCGCGCGCCGCCTGGCCTGACTGGTTTTTGTATTTTTGGGGAGACAGGGTTTTGCCCTGTTGACTGGGCTGGTCTCTGGCTCCTGACATCGAGTGGTCTGCCCGCCTCAGCCTCCTGGGGTGCTGGGATTGCAGAAAGAGTCTCACTCACTCAATGCTCAGTGTTGCCCAGGCTGGAGTGCCAGTGGCGTGATCTCGGCTCGCTGCAACCTCCACCTTCCAACCACCTGCCTTGGCCTCCCAAAGTGCTAAGATTGCAGCCTCTGCCTGGCCACCACCCCGTCTGGGAAGTGAGGAGTGTCTCTGCCTGGCCACCCATCGTCTGGGATGTGCAGAGCCCCTCTGCCCGGCTGCCCCATCTGGGAAGTGAGGAGTGCCTATGCCCGGCTGCCCCGTCTGGGAAGTGAGGAGAGCCTCTGCCTGGCCGCCACCCCGTCTGGGAAGTGAGGAGCGTCTCTGCCTGGCCACCCATCATCTGGGATGTGAGAAGCACCTCTTCCCAGCCACCCCATCTGTGATGTGAGGAGTGCCTATGCCCGGCCGCCACCCCATCTGGGAGGTGAGGAGCACGTCTGCCTGGCCGCCCCTTCTGGGAGGTGAGGAGCGCCTCTGCCCGGCCGCCCGATCTGGGAAGTGAGGAGCGCCTCTGCCCAGACGCCACCACGTCTGGGAAGTGAGGAGCATCTCTGCCCGGCCGCCCATCATCGGGGATGTGAGGAGCGCCTATGCCCGGCCGCCCCGTCTGAGAACTGAGGAGCGCCTCTGCCCGGCTGCCCTGCTGGGATGTGAGGAGCGCCTCTGCCCAGCCGTCACCCCGTCTGGGAGGCGAGGAGCGCCTCTGCCCGGGCGCCCTGTCTGGGAGGTGGGTGCCTCTGCCCGGCCACCCTGTCTGGAAGGTGAGGGGTGACTCTGCTCGGCCGCCACCCCATCTGGGAAGAGAGGAGCACCTCTGCCCGGCCGCCGCCCTGTCTGGGAAGTGAGGGGCGCCTCTGCCCGGCCGCCCTTCGTCTGGGAGGTGAGGAGCACCTCTGCCAGGCCACCCCGTCTGGGAGGTGAGGGGCGCCTCTGCCTGGCCGCCCCGCCTGGGAAGTGAGGAGCGTCTCTGCCTGGCCGCCCTTTGTCTGGGAGGTGGGGAGCACCTCTGCCCAGCCGCCCAATCTGGGAAATGGGCACCTCTGCCCGGCCGCCCTGCCTGCGAGGTGAGGGGCGTCTCTGCCCGGCCGCCCCGCCTGGGAGGTGAGGGGCGCCTCTGCCTGGCTGCCCTTCATCTGGGAGGTGGGGAGCGCCTCTGCCTGGCCACCCTATCTGGGAAGTGGGCGCCTCTGCCCAGCTGCCCCATCTGGGAGGTGAGGGGAGTCTATGCCTGGCCACCCCGCCTGGGAGTTGGGGAGCGCCTCTGCCTGGCCGCCCATCTTCTGGGAGGTGAGGAGCACCTCTGCCCAGCCACCCATCATCTGGGAGGTGAGGAGCACCTCTGCCCGGCCACCACCCTGTCTGGGGAGTGAGGTGCGCCTCTGTCTGGCCACCCCTGTCTGGGAAGTGACGAGCGCCAGGCCGCCCCATCTGGGAAGTGTACCCAACAGCTCCGAAGAGACAGAGACCATCAAGAACGGGCCATGATGACGATGGCGGTTTTGCCGAAAAGAAAAGGGGGAAATGTGGGGAAAAGAAAGAGAGATCAGATTTTTACTGTGTCTGTGCAGAAAGAAGTAGACATAGGAGACACCACTTTGTTCTGTACTAAGAAAAATTCTTCTGCCTGGGGATGCTGTTAATCTATAACCATACCCCCAACCCCGTGCTCTCTGAAACATGTGCTGTGTCAACTCAGGGTTAAATGGATTAAGGGCGGTGCAAGATGTGCTTTGTTAAACAGATGCTTAAAGGCAGCATGCTCGTTAAGAGTCATCACCACTCCCTAATCTCAAGTACCCAGGGACACAAACACAGCCGAAGGCCGCAGGAACCTCTGCCTAGGAAAAGCAGAGACCTTTGTTCACGTGTTTATCTGCTGACCTTCTCTCCACTATTATCCTATGACCCTGCCACATCCCCCTCTCTGAGAAACACCCAAGAATGATCAATAAATACTAAAAAAAAAAAAAAAAAAAAAAAGAAAATGCAAACATTACTGGGTGTGGTAGTGTGAACCTGTAGTCCCAGCTACTCGGGAGGCTGAGGCTGGAGAATCGCTTGAACCTGGGAGGTGGAAGTTCCAGTGAGCCGAGATCATGCCAGTACACTCCAGCCTGGGTGACAGAGTAAGACTCCGTCTAAAAAAAAAGGTCATATTGCATGCTTAGTGCTTTTGGGACCCTCAGGGTAACACCCACTTTAAATGAGGGGCTATTGTCACTTCGGAGGTATTTAGGTAGTCCAAAGTGTGAAATTATTTTATTGACTATTGTTTTTATCACCTTAGAGGCCTTTTCTGTTAGACATGGAAATGCTCTTACCTGGTTAGTGAAGGTATCCACCCACCCCAGGAGGTACTGAATCTCCTTTATCTTTGGCATATAGGGAAAAGCCATTTGGCAGTTATCCCTTGGACAACTTCCCATTTTTTGAGTTGCAGGGGGTGGGGGGAAAAAGCCAATTGTTGAAGGGATTGTTTTTGAGGCAGGTGTCACAAGCATTAACAATGTGTTTGACTGTTTTGGTAGATTTTTACCTGAGGACAATCTCTGGGCAAGTTGATATTTTATCATTTCCCAACTGAGAAGATAAGGATCTTAAGAACTTTTCACTTACTGGATGATGGGAAGTAAGGTTTGCCATTCTCTGATTACAACCATCCTGAGGGCTAAAGAGTGTATAATCAAGGGGTAGCCCATATTTTCTTTGAAGGGGAATACTGAGGTTTTATTTTTCTCATGGAGCTCTCCCAAATTAGAGAAGCTTCAAGGGCACAGGTACCTTGGGTGTTGTTGCTGCTGACTTATCTGTATTTTGTTATCAGCTACTTTATCTATCCCCTTATGGTGTCCTTTGCAATGCAATGCTGCCACTTCCTACTGAAGGAAAACTGAGGACAACAATCTATTTAAATAGGAGACCCATTAACAGTCATAAAATGTCTTTCTTTCCAAATAGCGGCATGCGCATGGAGATCTATGAAAACATACTTGGAATCAGTATATGTCTTATCTGCCTTTCTTTTGCTTAGTTCAATTACCCTTATGAGGTCAATGAATTAAGCTAATTGAGCACTTGTACCTGATGAAGGAGATGTGGTTTTAGTAAAGTTATTCAGGATGACTATTGCATACTCTGCCCTATGGGTTTCTCATTCTACAAAATAACTTCCATCTGTAAAAAGAGTACAGTCTGAGTTTTCTAGCAGAATTTCCCTGAGGTCTTCTGAGGCCTCATATGTTTGTATCACTATTTGTTCATAATCATGTTTATGTTCTCCAGTTTCCCTTCAGAAGAAAGTGACTGGGTTTAGGCAAAGACAGGTCTTCAGCTGAACTGCAGATCCTTCCAACAGCAAAGCTTAATATTTGAGGAGGTGATTATTTGTTAGCCAGAGAATTCCTTTAAAGGACAGCAGTCCTGCTACATTATGGGGGCATGTAAACAGCTAAGTCATTCCCCATGTCACCTCAGTAGCTTCTGGCACAAGCAAGGCCTCCACTAAAACTACAGTCGGGGCAAGCCAGCCATCCTTTAGTCCCCAGTTTAAATTCCTTGTTTAGGTAATCAACTGACTGCTGGCTGGACCTTAGGCTGATGTAAAACTGTCATGGCTATCCCCTTTCCTTCTGAGACAAAGATAAAATGCATTCTTTATAGGAAGAGTGAGGACAATTACTTTAAATAAGGCTTGCTTTCAATGATTGAAAGCATTTTGAGCCTTGTTTCCAAATTAGGGAGTTTTAGCTGCTTGAGTTTCTTTCATAAGGTGTTATTAACAGCAGTTATTTTACTATACCCAAGTATCCACAATCTATGGAAAACTGTAATGCCCCAAAATTCTTTTAGCTGTTTCATGGTTTGGGGAAGGAGAAAAAACTCTATAGGCTTACTAGTCTTTTTTCCCCAATATTTTGTTCCCTTCTGACAAAATTAGACCTAAGTACCTTAGATTTTACTGAAGTTTGTCAGAGGTAAGGTTCAGATTTAGAAATTTTTTACCTTGTATATGCTAGAAAATTAAGAAGAACCTCAATACCTTCTTAAAAAAGACCCACAGCTGGAGCACAGAGGAAAATATTATTTACATATTGTGAAAGTTTAATCTAAGAATAACAGAACTTAGAAAGTCTTTTGATAATGCTTCCCCAAACAAGTGGGGGTTGTCTCAGAACCCTTGATGCAGTACTGTCCACATTAACTGGGTAGACTGGCTGCAGGGATCCTCCAAAGCAAACAAGTATGGGGTGTCAAGGTGCAATGGTATGCAGAAAAAAGCCTTTTTAAGGTCCAAAATTGTGAACCATTTAGTTCCCTCAGGTATTTGAGTTAGCAAAATATAAGAATTAGAAACTATCAGATAGATCGAAACTACAGCTTTATTAATGAGATGAAGTCTTAAACTAGCCTTCATTCTCCACTGGGTTTCTGTATCTCTAATATTGGGATGTTGCAAGAGCTGTTGCAAAGTCTGAGAATGTACTATTATTTTAAATTATTAATAATGGCTTGTAGTTCTTTTCTAGCTTCTGGCTATAGAAGGATACTGCTTCTGCTTAGGAAAAGAAGTGATGACTTTACAGTGAATCTGGACTGGAGTGGCTGTAGCCCAGCCTCTTTAACATTGCTTTTTACTAAAAAAGAGACAAAGAGTCTGTACGGGAGCTATAAATACGATGGCTTCCATACAAGCTAGAATATCTCTACATATTTAAGGAGTCAGACTCTCAGGCATAATTAAAAACACATGAGTAAATAACAAGTCTCCCCAGCTACAACTAAGAGACTGTGAAAAATATCAGGTTAAGAACTTTCCAAAGATGCCTACCAGGGTTGTGACATGAGAGAAGGGGAGGCCTGGATTGACAAAGAATGCAAAGAGACTGGCTCCTGATTCCAGGTTCCAAAAGGAAGTCTACCTTTCTCTCTTTTACCTCCAAAATTACCCGGAGCTTCTGGAGAGTGATGGCAGTTTGAGCCACTAAAGCTGGGAAATTGAGCACTAGGACCCTGTAATCCTGCTGAATTATTTTGGAGACTGGGTCTAGACCTTGTGAGCTACATATCAAAGGAAAATTTGACTTCTAGTAGTCTTTACCACTGGCTGGACAGGGTTGAGGTGGCTTATTCCTGCTATCTGGAAAATCCATTTTGAAGTGTCCTTGTTTGCCACATTGGTAGCAGTTAGAAGACGCAACTCAGGGATTCTGAATTTTATATTCCTGTAATGTGGCCACTAGAGCCTCTCGTTTTTGTTGTATTTTCTCACTTTCTCCTGGGCCTCCTCCCAGTCTCTGCTGTATGAGACCAAAGTAGCCCCTTTCTAGAGATTATCTAGAGAGCTATCTGGACCTATGACCAGTTTCTTCAACATCTTTTTGATATAAGAAGCTGGTTGTATAATAAACTTGTTTTTTTTTAAATTAATTGTCTCTCAACTAAATTAGGATATAGATAGGTGTGTTTTACTAATGCCTGTCTCAGCCTTTCTATAAAGGCTACGGAGTTTTTCCATCTGATTTTTTGATTTATTATGAAGAGCTTATATTAATTAAGAGGTTTGATCCTGGAAGGCCTTTTCAAGCCTTCCAGTATGCATATCAGATAATTCTTTTCCATTCATTTATAGAAATATTGGGATTCCAATTGGGATTTTCAAGGGGTATTGCATCCTTTCCTATTGGGAATGAAAATTTTGCTACCTTCTCACCCTCTTCTTTCATTAGAAGAAATTTTGCTACCTTCTCACCCTCCCTTCTGCTAGATTTTTCCCTTGCAAACTTTTAGACAAACTCTAGGGGATGTGTTGTTCATCTCCAAATGTTTCTGCTGCCTGTAAACCTGCCTGCTTTTCTGCAACAGTTAGGTTTGACTTAAAAGTATTATAGCATTTTTCTACATAAGATTAAACACTTGGGTTAAATTTTGGCAAGCCTGTATATATCCATCAGCATCATTAGAAAACTTGCCCAGGTTCCCCTTTATTTATCTATAATCCTTCAATAAGAATGGAACACAAATCCTAAAGCACTATGGACATGTGACATTTTCTGCTATGGCAAGAGTTAAAGAGGGAATTTCTTAAGTGACACAACTGGGGCAGCTAATAATTTGGTTATTAAGATCCCAGAATAAGTGAGACAGGGCACCCTGAAATTCCATTTGGGGTTCCCTGAGGGTTTGTCTCTTTGACTTTGGGGAACTGTCCTTTCTAGGCTTCCCTTACATGGTTGCAAAAAGGTCAGGGTTAACTGTACAATGATTACAAACATTGAGTTGTTTCACAGGACAATGTAAGCCTGTACATAGGGAAGCTCAGACCATTTTCCCTACCACCTAGAGAAAATATCTAGTTGTTAAATAATATAGAAATCAAGACTTCCTTTAGAAGGCTAAGTTTATTCATTTCCAATATGGTAATATTGTTTTATAAGCCTTATGGGCAATAGAATATAAGCGATTTTATTTTCAGGATTTTAGGTCCAAAGGAGTTTCAGGGATTCAGAATGCAGTCAAGGGGAGTACAGACTGCAAATGGTTTATTACCCAACTAAAAAAAGAGGAAAAAACAATGAGTTTATCAATACTCTTCCTTCTACTGGTGTCCCCCAGAGTGAAGAAAGAGAGAAAGTGCATTTCCCTTCTCCTCCTTCTCCCTCTCCTGTGGGTCCTGGTGACTGTCATGAATGCTGTCCTATGAATGCAAGTGTGACCTTCACCCAAGAACCCAGAGGAGCTGGTAGGCAAGACTAGTCATGCCCATCTGCATAAGCCCTTGGTTTTCTGCCCTACTGGAATCTTAGACCCACTCAGCCCAAAAGGCTTCTAAGGTACTCCACACGCCTGGAAGAGATAATGTAGTATTTGGACTCTGGCAATACTTTTTTAATGAAGGAAGTGTTTTAATACCATCCCTGCTATGGTACCGGTTAAAAATCAGAATCCCACAAAATAGGAGGGACTAACTTCCAAACGTAAATTTTCTTTTATGTTTACATCCCAAAGTAGTCGAATGCAGAATGGGTGCTTCAAAAAAAGCATACAAATTAAATAGCTTCCCTTCCATTGATGACATCATTATTGAAGCAAAGTCTGTCTTTTCAGGATGGCTTTCTCTCGGCTGTTGAAAGTAGAGTTTTCTTGTCTACAAATAGGAGATGGGCCTGATTACCGATAGACAAAAGTAAAAGGGGCTGGGCATGATGGCTCATGCCTGTAATCCCAGCACTTTGGGAGGCCGAGGCTGGTGGATCACCAGAGGTCCAGAGTTCAAGACTAGCCTGAACAGCATGGAGAAACCCCATCTCTACTAAAAATACAAACAAAATTAGCCAGGTGAGGTGGCACATGCCTGTAATCCCAGCTACTCAGGAGGCTGAGGCAGGAAAATCACTTACACCTGGGAGATGGAGGTTGCACTGAGCCAAGATTATGCCACTGCACCCAGCCTGGGCAACAAAAGTGAAATTCCATCTCGGAAAAAAGAAAAAAAGAAAAAAAAAGTAAAAGGAAAAAGGAATTGGGAAACTAGTCGTTTGTGGTAGAGTGCTGACAAGACTCCACATGGAGAAAAATTTCACTCCACTAGGTGGTGATGTAGGGTTAGATATGTGAGATAAAACTCTGACTTCAAATTCTTTTCAGGAAAAAGTTTGAAAGAGAGGTTTGGGGTTTAATAGGCTTTCCCATAGCATGCTCCCCAGAATAAGAAAATTAATTTATCTCATATAGAAACTTTAGATTCATTGGACTATGCTGGAAGCATCCTCCTCAGAATAAGAAAATTAATTTATCTCATATAGAAACTAGATTCATTGGATTGTGCTGGAAGCATCCTCCCCAGAATAAGAAAATTAATTTATCTCATATAGAATCTTTAGATTCATTGGATTGTGCTGGACTCTTATACAGAATAAAAAACAATACAAATAGAAGAATATTCACTCAGGAAGAACTATTATCCCACATGGTGCCATGAGTGTCTATTATTAAGGGATAGAAGGGTCCTTATAAGGTAAGAATTTAGATGGAAATTTGAATCCCTTTGTTTCTAGGAAACCACAAAAATAACAATTTTTTTGAATTACATTTGTAATTATTAAGACACTGACTAACTCTACCCAGCAGGATTATATCCCTAGCTTGCAAAAACACTCACAACACTGAATACAAAATAGGGATTAGAGACAAGATATCCACAAGAAAAAAAAGAATATGTGACGAGAAAAGACTAGAAGTTTTTTTGCTGACACCCTGATGGGCTGTTGGGAGCTAGATGTTAGTCCAAAGACCCTCAGGTAACACCAAGATATAGCCCCAGCTGGAAATCTTCAGTTGGCCTAGAACCTCCTTTCAATCCCACATCATGGCTAGGCCCTCTGTGAAAGGAAACTGGATTGGAATAGACAAGAAGCCTCAGAAATGAAAGTAAAGGGTTAAAGTTAAAAATATGCTTTTATTCAACTTTCTGATGAATTCTTTTATTCTCGATCAATGTACCAAAATATGTTGCAGTCTCACCAATGCACCAAGATTTAGCAGTCTTTCATTGTTTGAGATAATCGTCAGAGTTTTTTTTTTAATCCAAGACAATAAAGGAGTGCAGGCAAAAGGATAACGTAGAAGCAGAAGTTTAATAAGCAAAAAGAGAAAACTTTTTGTGAGCAGTGGCTGAGGCCTGAATTGGTTTCCCACTATGAGGCCAGTTCTAGGATTTTTATAGACTGGAAAGGATAAGGAATGTGCTTAGTCTTGGATAACAGCTTGGCCTGGGACCCTGGTCTGAAGCCAACTGGAGAGCTTGGCCCAGTGCCAATCAGGGTCTAAAGTGATAATTCACAGAGGCCAGAATTGCTGTCCACAAAAGAAAATAAAACTACCCAGTGGAACCTGCTGGAACCATCATGCCCATGTCCACAAAAAGAGAAAAAAAAAATGTCCTGATCATGCTGACTCCACAAAAATAGGATTTTTATGCCATGCCTTCTTCACTTACCTTAGTGAGCCTAAGGTTTGCATAAGTTCTTATCCAAATGGGCCAGAGGTTCTGTTTTTTTTTGTGTGTGCCAGCCACAAACATGTCTCCAGGCACAGCACCCTGTGCTAGTTTTCTTATCTGTGCCTTCAGCTTGATTTGTTTTTTCCAGGCTGCTTTTTTTTTTTTTTTTTTTTTTTTGTGAGATGGGAGTCTCGCTCTGTGTCCAGGCTGGAGTGCAGCGGCGTGATTCTCGGCTCACTAAAATCTCCGACTCCCTGGTTCAAGCAATTCTCCTGCCTCAGCTTCCCGAGTAGCTGGGATTACAGGCAGGCGACAACACGCCCAGCTAATTTTTGTATTTTTAGTAGAGACAAGGTTTCACCATGTTAGCCAGGATGATTTTGATATCCTGACCCCGTGATCTGCCCTCCTCAGCTTCCCAAAGTGTGGGGATTACAGGCCTGAGCCACCACACCCAGCTCCAGGCTCCTTTTATGTTTTATGGAAATGAGGCACTGACATTCCCTGCTCTGGAGGATCTCTGGGGACCCTTTTCTTTCTATATAACTAAGGCCAGCTAACTATTTTCATTTTGAGAACTCACTATCACAAAAAGAGCAAAGGGATGTATGTGCTCCCATTATCACATTACCTGTTAAAAGGCCCCTTCTCTTATATTCTTTATTACAATTTGACATTATATTTTGGCAGAAACATAAATCCAGACCATATTATACTACCCCTGACCCCTTCCAAATTTCACATGGCAAAATACAGTTGTTATCTATTTCCAAGAGTCTTTCTAGTGTTAACTCTTTTTGGCATTAATTTAAAAGGTCCACAGTCAAAAGTTTCATTTGAGAAAAGACAAGTTATATCTGCCTATGAGCTTGTAAAAAAAAAATTATATACTGATAGGATACAATGGGGATACAGGGGCTGGCCGTGGTGGCTCATACTTGTAATCCCAGCACTTTGGGAGGCCAAGGCAGGGGGATCATGAGGTCAAGAAATCGAGACTATCCTGGCTAACCAACATGGTGAAACCCATCTCTACTAAAAATACAAAAATTAGCTGGGCACAGTGGCACACGTCTGTAGTCCCAGCTACTCAGGAGGCTGAGGCAGAAGAATCGCTTGAACCTGGGAGGCAGAGGTTGCAACAAGCCGAGATCGTGCCACTGCACTCCAGCCCGAGAGTGAGACTCCCAGGCTCACTCTCAAAAAAAAAAAAAAAAAGAAAAAAAAAAAAGAAAAGATACAATGAGGGTACAGGAGTTGGGTAAATACATTTGTTCTCAAAGAAATAAATTAGCCCAAACAAAGGTATAAAAGCCCCATGCAAGTTCTAAAGCTAGCAAAGCAATTATTAAATTTCAAAGTTCCAAAATAATTTTTTGACTCCATATCTCATATCTAGGCCACACTGATGTAAGAGATGGGCTCTCAAGGCCTTGAGTAGCTCCACCTCTGTGGATCTAGAGGCCACAGCCCCCACAACTGCTTTCATGGGCAAACATTGAGTGCCTGAAGCTTTTTCAGATGCATAGATTAAGCTGTCAGTGCATCTAACATTTTGGTGCTTGGAGGGCAGTGGCCTTCTCATAGCGCCACTAAGCAGTGCCTCAGTGGGGACTCTGTGTTGGGACTCCAACCCCGTATGTCCTCTCTACACTGACCTTGTAAAGGTTCTCCATGAGGCCTCAGCCCCTGAAGTGGACTTATGGACATCTAGGCATTTTTATACACTACTCTGACCTTGCAGAGGTAACATTATTTATGAAAATCAATTTTAAATAACGATAAATAATATTGAAAAAATAACTATGCTCTTTTATTTACAAGTGGAGAGTTCAGCATTTACAACAGAGTATCTAGAGCTCTCATTTCTTTGGACTGTTGCTTGGCACACTACCAATCACAGTAATACAGTTATAACTCAACAGTTGCGAGGGCCATGTGGATTCCATAGGGTTTCACTTTTTCTTTTGCTTCTAACTACTACACACAAACACACACACACACACACAGACACACAAATTGGTGATGTGTCAGACATGGTACATAGTGAGTAAACTTGTGTTTAACTCAGTAAATGTTTGTGTATATTGTGCAATAACATGATAACTGTTCACAGAATATAAAATACAGGGTGACCTCAGCAATATGGTGGAAAAAGTGGTCACCCATTTATATCCCCTGACGACAATGATTCTGTACCCATCCATACAAAGAAGTATCTTTCTTGCTCTGTGGGAGTCTTGGGATTCAAGTAGGTGGTTGTGAAACTCTGGTGGAGCCCAAGGCCTAAAAACGGAGATATTGGGAGTGCAGACATATACCCGTGTGGCAGATTATTCATTCTAATTTATTCTATTTATTCCAATTTATTGTAATCCGAATGGCTACTTTGGCTCAGCTACAGCCTTATATGTTCTTGACACTGTGACTGAAACCATAGGTCAAGAAAGGGTCACATGAACTAGAGCGTAGGCAAAAAGATTTTTCTGTATCCCTACCTTTGTCTTGGCAGTAAACCCAAATATCATTCTATAACTTGACTGCAAATTCTTTCTCCACCGTGATCCTAGCTTAATAGTGCTCACATAAGGACCCAAAGGGAAATGCCCATCTGTGCCATCAGAACAAGCTAGCCTTTCTTTATGCCACAACAGTTTCTGTTGGGATGATGCTATTATGGCTCCAGACCCCTCTGCTACAGTCACATAGTTACTGTCATTTTTGAAAATGGCTATGAGATGTACCTGGATAGTCTTGCAGTTCTGTCACCATGCGTACTCACAATGGTACACAGTGAGTAAATTTATTAAAGTTTGGGCAATTTTGTGGCACACAGAGATATTATCTAGTAGTGTCTCTGCAGATAACACTCTATACTAGACCCCACTGTGAATCTTGAATGAAGTCTGTAAATTAGCTGCAGGTATTCTTACCTTCAACGTGAGAGTGGTCCCGTTAATACTGGTACCCACCAGAAGGCAGTTTATTCCATGACATGTGCAGCTAGCTTAGACTTATCAGCCTTTGCTATAAACAAAACAAAACTTTGTATTTCAAGTCAAGACTATCTCAGCCATAGACTGAAGTAGTGTGGTTATCCTGGGGACTTATTCAAACTTAAATAAAGCCCTTCTAGAAATCCAAACTAAGCCACATCTGTCAGTGAACTCAAAACAGAGCTACTTTCTGCAAACCTAAAGATGAGTCCAGACTTGAACTTTGAAGTAATTGTGGGGTAAAGGGATCCCTAATACAGCATGGCTGCTCTACCAAAAAGCAGCAAAACTGCTTCTTTAAGTAGGTCCCTGATTCTATTCCACCCAATAGGGTAAGACCTTCCAAGTAGAATCCCCAGCCACTTTCTACAGCCAAGTTTGAGTGGGTAACAAACCAATACCCATCTGGGGTAAAACTCCTGGAAGAAGGGGCATGTTGGCATCTTTGTTGTTTTTCAGTCTTCACAGGTGATACCTCTAAGTACAGAAAATCTCACACAACTAGAGTCTGAAGAAGACCTCTAGCAAACTTCAGCAGCCCTCAGAAAGAGTGGTGAAACTGTTAAAAGAAAAACAAACAAACAGAAAACAACAATAATAAAACCACGTCCAAAAATCAGCAATGTCATTGTAGGTAGATAAGCCCACAAAGATGGGAAAAAGAGCAACACAAAAATGAAGAAACTCAAAAAGTCACAGTGTTTATTTTTCTCCAAATGACAACAACACATCTTCAGCAAGGGTCAGAACTGTAATGAGTGTGAGATGGCTGAATCAAAAAAAGTAGGCTTCAGAATGTAAATAAAAATAAACTTTGCTTAGCAAAAGGAATATAGTGTAACCCAATGCAAAGAAGCTAAGAATTATAATATAACAAAACAGGAGCTAACAACTAAAACATCAGATCTAGAAAGAAATATAACCGACCTGATTAAGCTGAAAAGCATACTAAAAAATCTTTACAATGCAATCACAAGTATTATAGTATTAGTAGAAATATTAAAATAATAGACTGAGTAGAGAAAAGAATGTCAGAGCTTAAAGAATACCTTTATGAAATAAGACAGGCAGAATATATACAGAGAAAATAATTAAAAAGAACAAAACTTCTTAGAAATATTAAATTATCTAAAGTGAACAAATGTAGAACTGATTAAGGTATCTGAAAGAGTGGAGAATGAAACCAATTTGGATAACATACTTCAGGATATTTCACAGTAGGAGTTCCCCAACCTAGCAAAGTAGGCTAACGTTCAAATTGAGAAAATGCAGAAGACCCCAGAAAGATACTCCATGAGAAGACAAGGTTCAATACATACAATCATCAGATATTCAAAGATAAAAATGAAAAAGAAAATGTTAAAAGCCACCAGAGTGAAAGACCAGGTCACCTACATAGGGAAGACCATCACACACAGCAAGCCTCTCAGCAGAAACCTTACAAGCCAGAAGAGATTAGGGGCCAATATTCAACATGCTTTAAAAAGAAATGAACCTAGAATTTTACATCTGGCCAAATGAAGCTTCATAAGTGAAGGAGAAAATAAGATTCCCTTCAGACAAGCAAATGCTGAGAGAATTGGTAAGCATCAGACCTGATTTATGAGAGCCCCTAAACAAAACACTAATTGTGGAAAAAAAATTACCAACCACTACAAAAGACACTAAGTGAACACAACAGGGACACCATAAAACAGCCTCATAAACAACTCTGCAAAATAAAAAGTGAGCATAATTATAACAGAATAAAATTTACGCATAACAATACTAACCTTAAATGTAAATGAGTTATCTGCCCCAATTTAAAAACCCAACATGGCAGGTTGAATAAAAAACCAAAATCCATTAGTATGCTGTCTTCAAGAAACCTGTTTTATAGGCAAAGACACATATAGGCTGAAAATAAAAAAATAGAGAAAAATTTACCAACCAATTGGAAAACAGAAAAAAAAAAACAGGGGTTGCAATCCTAGTTTGTTTAAAAGTTGCTTCAACTTTAAACTAATAAAGACTTAAAAAAAAACACACACACATACACAAAGAAGGGCATTACATAATGTTGAAAAGTTAAATTCAACAAGCAAAGTTAACTATTCTAAATATATATGCTCACACTACAGAAGGACTCACATTTATAAAACACGTTGTTAGAGATCTTCAAAGAGACTTAGACTCTAACTCAATAAGTGTGAGACCTTAACATCCCATGGAACATATGAGAGAGATCATTGAGACAGAAAATTATCAACAATATTTAGGACATGAACTCAGTCCTAAATCAACTGTACCTAAGAGATATCTTAGGAACTCTGAATATACATTCTTATCATAACCACATGGAACTTACTCTAAAATTAGTTACCTAATCAGAAGTAAAATAGTTTTCAGCAGATGCAAAAAGACTGAAATTATAACAAATAGTCTCTCAGAGGACAATTACAGAGTGCAACAGCCACTACAGAACACCAAACAGGTTGGCGCATAAGTAATTACGTTTTTTTCATTGTTGAAATTTGTTGTTTGATACCAGAATTTATTATTTAATAAATGTGGTTATCATTATCATGCGCATTTCACTTTGTGTTTCTTTGTTACTTATTACTTGATGTTTATTTTAGACTATGCAAATAATGTTACACAAAAAACAAATTTGAGGAATTTTCTTATTCAAGTTCAAAATGGGTCACAAAGCAGTAGAGAAATTTTGTAACATTAACAATGCATTTGCCCCAGCAACTGCTAATGACCGTACAGAGCAGTGGTTGTTTGAGAAGTTTTGTAGAGGAGACTAGGGCCTTAAAGATGAGAAGTGAAGTGGCCAGCCATCAGAAGTTTACAATGACCAATTCAAAACTATTATTGAAGCTGATCCTCTTACAACTTCATAAGAAGCCACTACAGCCACTACTAAACACACTGAAGTAAACAGAACAGTGAGTTGCCAAGAACTCAATGTCAACCATTCTATAGTAATTTGGCACTTAAAGCAAATTGGAAAGGTGAGAAAGCTCTGTAAGTGGGTGACTCATGAACTATTTAAAAGGTAATTTTTAAGTGTCATCTTCTCTTATTCTACAAAACAACCATTTCTCAATTAAGTTGTGACGTGCAATGAGAACTCGATTTTATATAACAACCAGCAAAGACCAGCTCAGTGGTTGGATGCAGAAGAGGCTCCAATAAACTTCCGAAAGGTTAACTTACACCAAACAAAGGTCATGGTAACTGTCTGATGCTCTGCTGGCCTTATCTACTATAGCTTTCTGAATCTCAATGAAACTATTACATCTGAGAAGCATGCTTAGCAAATCAATAAAATGCACCAAAAACTGCAATGCCTGCAGCCTCACTGGTCAACAAAAAAGGCTCAATTTTTTTTCTATGACAATGCTTAACTACACATTGAACAAACAATGATTGAAAAGTTAAACAATTTGGGCTACGAAGTTTTGCCTCATCCATCACATTCATCTGATATCTTGCCGACTGACTAACTACCACTTCAAGCGTCTTGATAACTTTTGACAGGGCAAATGATTCTACAACCAGCAAAATGAAGAAAATGCTTTCCAAGACATTACTGAATTCTGAAGCATAAATTTTTATGCTACAGACATAAAAAAAATTTCTTATTGGCAAAAATGTGTTGATTGTAATGGTATTTATTTTGATTAAGAAAGATGTGTTTAAGCCTAGTTATAATAATTTAAAATTCACAATCTAAAACTGCAATTACTTGCCCTCCAACTCAGAACCCAATATCCAAAAATTTATGCAAAGCCATACAACTATGTAGAAATTGAGCAACATGCTCCTCAGGGATTAGGAGTAAATAATAAAATTCAGGCAGAAATTAAAATTTTGAGACTCTATCTTAAATGCAAGAAACATCTCAAGTTAACCTAACATCACTATGAAAAGGACTGGAGAACCAAGAGCAAAGAAAACCCAAAGCTAGCAGAAAAAAAATAAACAAATAACCAAGATCAAAGCTGAACTTGCAGTGTTCAGACGACAGGAGTCACAAAAACGTCAAAATATCAACCAATTAGGAGACTTTCTTGAAAAAAAAAAAAAGACTTCTACCTAGACTAAAGAATAAGAAAAAGAAATTTCAAAGAAACACAATAAAAAATTATGAGAGATATGGCCATTAGAGAATACCACAAACACCTCTATGTACTAAACTAAACAAATCTAGAAAAAAATTAGATAAATTTCTGAACATATATACCCTCCCAAGCTTGAGCCTGAAAGAAATTGAATTCCTAAAGAGAACAATAACACATTCTAAATTTAAGGCAGTAATAAATTGCCTCTGAAAAAACAAACAAACAAAAATGCATTACCTGATAGAGTTGCAGGTGAATTCTACCAGAAGTAGAAAGAAGAGCTGGTACCATTTTTCTGATACTATTTCAAAAACTTGAAAAGGAGACATTACTCCCTAACTCATTCAATGAGGCCACAATTACCATGATACCAAAACCTGACTGAGATACAACAACAACAACAACAACAAAAAGCTTAGACTAATAACTTTGATGAAAATTGATGAAAAAATTATCAACAAAATACCGATCAACTGAATCAAGCAGCACATCAAAAAGATTATCCTCCACGATCAAGTATGTTTTAAAGAGTATCCTCCATAATCAAATGTGTTTTATTTCCCAGATGCAAGGTTGGTTCAACATACATAAATTAATAAATATTTGAATTTATTAATATTCAGATTAACAAATCTAAAGGCAAAAACCAAATAATTATCGTGATACAGGCAGAAAAGGCCTTTGATAAAATTTAATATTCCTTCACGTTAAAAACTCTCAGTGAACTAGACATTGAAGAAACATATCTCAAAATAATAAGAAACCTGCATGATAAATCCATAGACAATATCACACCTAATGGGCAAAAGCTGGAAGCAATCTCCTTGAAAACTGGCCCAAGACATCGATGTGCTCTCTCAGCAGTCTTATTTGAATCAGTATTGAAAGCTCTGATCAGAGCAATCGACAAGAGAGAAAAATAAACTATCTTTAAATATAAAGAGAGTATGTTAAATTGTCTTTGTTTCCAGATGACATAATCTTACGTATAGAAAAACCCAATCATCTCAGCCCCAAAGATTTTAAGCTGAAAAGCAACTGCAGCAAAGTCTCAGCATACAAAATCAGTGTATAAAATTGCTACGATTTCTATACACCAACAACAGTCAAGCCAAAAACAAAATCAGAAACAAATTTCCATTCACAATTATATCAAAAAGAATAAAATACCTAGGAACAGCTAACAAAGGAAACGAAGGAGCTCTTCAAGGTGAACTACAAAACACTGCTCAAAACAATCAGAGGACAAAAACAAATGTAAGAACATTTTATTCTCGTGCACAGACAGAATCAACATTGTAAAAACGGCCATACTGTCCAAAGTAATTTATAGATTAAATGCTATTTGCATTAAACTACCATTGACATCATTAAGAGAATTAGAAGAAACTATTTTAAAATTTATATGAAATAAAAAAGAGCCCAAATAGCCAAGGCAATACTAAGAAAAAAGAAGAAAGCCAGAGGCATCACATTATTCAACCTCATACTGTACCACAAGGTTACAGTTAAAATATTAAAGTCATCAGGAGTAGGTGGAAAAGCATAAGAGATTCAATTGATGTTAACAGAATGTGGTTACTGAAGGGGACTGAGAAGCACAATACAGTCTCTATGATTAGACAACCCAAAGAGACACAAAACAAGAACCATAAATTGATTAAAATTTTATGCTGGTTTGCCTAAAATATTTACACATCAATTCCACTGAATTCTTACAATGAATGAATGGCATTAGATGTTATAGTCACCTTTTGAAAGAACAGAAAATACCAAGGCAGATAACTTGTTCAACTCAATCAGTTTTAGGATGCAAAAGCAGCTGCATATTGCAAAAAAGAGCCAGGTACTAGACTTATTAAACCAATCTGAAGAAGAGTAAAGTTAGAGAAATTTGTCTACTGTATAGACTTACTGTAAAGGTATAGTAATGAAGACTTTGTTATTTGGCAAAAGGGGACAGACATAAATCAAGAAGCAACACAACAAATAACGGAGATATTGACTACAGAAGTCCAGCCAACAGATTTTTAACAAAAAACACAAAGCAATTAAGTGTAGCACAGATAACTTTTCTATTGCTGGTGCTGGATCAGTAAGCTGTCCATTGAGAAAACCTTAACTTTGGTCTGAGTCTGACATGTTTTGTAAATAAAACTGATTTTTCTCTACTCTTCCTTCCCAAAATTGTTAAAAACTACATTGACCATGCTACTGTCGTAGTGTTTCCTAACCTCAGTTCTTCACTCTTACATTCCAAGAAGTGCAAATGATATCCATAGTCTCAAAACACACATATTTTATTTTTAATAAAAAGAATTGAGTTAAAAATAGACAATAGGTAAGTCACTAATTTCTCTTTTTACTCTATTATTTTTGGCCTCAACATATAATTAAATTATACATTGCTTTTTCCTACAATGAGAACAAAGGGGAGAAAAAAATAGAATGAAGGTCGAGTATTGAAGCACTAAAATATTTTAAAGATACAGAGACAAAATAGTGGAGTCCAGAAACACAGGGGAAAAAATTAATAAAGTAAAGGTATATACTTGGTCTTTCTCAAAATTTATTTGTTCCTATTCAGAATAGAATGAAACTAATTTAGGAAATTACTCCCATAAGCAAGCAGGAATGCTACTGGCAAGAGATTTCTCGGCATCAGGGCATAGACTTTAAGAACCGAGCTTTATTCAAAAACCACTAAGAATTAGTATATAAAAAAATTGGAAGTGAAAAATTCTAGATAGGAAAGAAGCTTTTTCTGAGGTCCTGACCAGGGATTTAAGAAGACAAAAAATATTGCTGCTGTCAAAATTCTTGCTGAGGAGAGCAGGAGAGTTGTAGAAAAGGCATCATTGAAGGAAGACAAGCAGCTGAGGAGCCTGAATCCTTGTGTTACTATTCTTCCCTTCAAAGATATGGATGTGGTCTGTGAGGAGTGTTAGGAATGTATTTTTATGGTTTGCTTTCTCCCCAGAATGTTCTGTTTATTGCCCTTCCTCTGACATTATTCCTGAGCTCTTGGCATTTTTTTAACGTACCTCTTCTTGAACAAGATTCACACCCTCTTTACCCTGACCCAGCTTCTGCCACCACCGTCACCTCTCCAGGGGATGGTCTCTTGCCGAGCCCTTTAATGTTCGGGATTCTCCAGTATAATCATTTACAAACAAGCAGAAATAGACTGTTGACCAGTGGTCAGTCTTACCTCAATTTAAAATGTACAAGTTTTAGGCTAGGTGCAGTGGCTCACACCTGTAATCCCAGCACTTTGGGAGGCCAAGGTGGGTGGATCATCTGAGGTCAGGAGTTCGAGCCCAGCCTGGTCAACATGGTGAAACCCCATCTCTACTTAAAAAAATACAAAAATTAGCCAGGCGTGGTGGTGACAACTGTAATCCCAGCTACTCAGGAGGCTGAGCCAGGAGAATCACTTGTACCTGGGAGGTGGAGTTTGCAGTGAGCCGAGATGACACCACTGCACTCCAGCCTGGGCAACAAGATTAGAGTGAAACTCTGTCTCAAAACAAACAAACAAACAAACAAAAAACAAACAAATATACAAGTTTTATTTGGTCTCAGCTTCCATGTGTTTTGGGATCTTTCTGCTTCCTTAAATTTTTATGTTGATTACGTGGCTGTGCACAGGTTGGCCTATATCAGTTTGGTCTGGTCTACTGGGGCCTAGTTCTCAAGATCACTCTAAAACTATGTCTCTCATAATTTTGTTTAATAATCCCCATCTTTGATTATATTGTCAACTAGGTAAGAGTGTGTCAAAACAGTGACATATTTGTTAGTATGTCATTTCATTTGAAGAGGACTATTTGACATATTACAGATGCTGCATGCAAACATTTAAAAGTTTTGAGAGAAGCCAGGCAGACTGTTTTATGGTGAATAAGGTCTTGTTATTGGAAGAACAAAAAGATTTTAAATAATCTTCTTTTGTCTTATATTCAAAGGACTTTTAGTATGTTCATGTCCTCATGAACAAAACCAAATGAAACTTTAAGGTAAAATAATGATCCAAATGAGATGACTCATACTAACCAAGCAGCTTGTCAGTTAGTCTACTGTAATTGCCTTTGCAAAATAACCAATGTATTTTTCTATGGCCAAAAAGCAGTCTCAGTACTGATAAGCACTTACATAAGCATAGCTCGCTCTGCTCTCTTTTGATTATTGTTTGCTTGGAATAGATTTTTTTAATCCCTTTACTCAAATATTTTGTGTGTCCGTAAGTATAACGTGAGGCTTTTATGCAGCACATTGTTAAATATTGGGAGCATTTTTAATCACCTTTTTTTTACACTGTCATTTTACTGGATAATTTAATTTATGAACATTTAAAACATTTAAACAGCACAGGAGAAACTGCCCCCATGAGCCAATCACCTTCCATCTGGTCCCTTCCTCAAAACGTGGGGATTACAATTTGAGATGCCATTTAGGGGGGAAGAGAGCCAAACTATATTGTTTCACCCCTAGTTCCTCCCAACTCTCATGTCTTTTTCACATTTCAAAACCAGTAATGCCTTCCCAATAGTACCCCAAAGTCTGAACTCATTTTGGCATTAATTCAGAAGTCCAAATCTAAAGTCTCATCTGAGAAAGGGGAAGTTCCTTTCGCCTATGAGCCTGGAAAATTAAAGCAAGTTAGTTACTTCTAAAATATAATGGTAATACAGGCATTGGGTAAATGTTACCATTTCAAATGGAAGAAATAGGCCAAAGCAAAGGGGCCACAAGCGCTATGCAAGTACAAAACATGGCCAGGCAGTCATTAATCTTAAAGCTCCAAAACCTCATTTGACTCCGTATCTTACATCCAGGGGATACCGATGCAAGGTGTGAGCTCCCACAGCTCTGTCCCTGGGGCTTTGTAAGGTACACCCCCTGTGGCTACTTTCATAGACAGGTGTTGAGTGCCTGCAGCTTTTCCAGACACATGATGCAAGCTGCCTGAGGATCTACCATTCTGGGGTTTGGAGGATGGTGGTCCTTTTCTCATAGCTCCACTAGGCAGGGTCCAGTGGGAACTCTGTGTGGGACTTCCAATCCCACATTTCCCTTCCACACTGCCCTAGCAGAGGTTATCCCTGGGTGCTTCACCCTGAACAGACTTCTGCCTGGACTTCCAGGCATTTCCATATATCTCTGAAATTTAGGCAGAAGTTCCCAAGGTTCAACTCTTGTCTTCTGTGCATCCATAGGCCTAATACCATTGGCCTAACTGCCAAGGCTTGGGGCTTGCACCCTCTGAAGCAAAGACCCAAGCTGTACTTTGGCCCCTTTGGGCCACAGCTGAGGCTGGAGAGGCTGGAATGAAGGGTGCCAAGTCCCAAAGCTGCACAGGGCAGCACGACTCTGTGCCCAGCCCAAAAAACTATTTTTCTTCCTAGGCCTCTGGGCCTGTGATGAGAAGAGCTCCCTTGAAGATCTCTGACATGCCCTAGAGTAATTTTCCCCATTGTCATAGCTATTAACATTAAGCTCCTCATTAGTTATACGAATTTCTGCAGTCAGCTTTAATTTCTCTCCAGAAAATGCTGGGTTTTTTCGTCTTTTCTATCACATGGTCAGGCTGCAAATTTTCCTAACATTTATGGTCTGTTTCCCTTCTAAACATAAGTTCCAATTTCAAATCATATCTCTCAAATTCAAAGTTCCATAGGGCAGGAGCAAACTACCACCATTTGCTGTGCTAAAGCACAGCATGTGTTTCCTTTACTCCAGTTCCCAAGAAGTTCCTCATTTCCATCTGATACCATCTCAGCCTAGACTTCATTCTCCATGTCACTACCAGTATTTTGGTTAAAAAATTCAAGTCTTTAGAAAGTGCCAAAATTTCCCACATAATCCTGTCTTCTTCTAGGCCCTTCAAACTGTTCCAACCTCCCCCCATTACCCAGTTCCAAAGTTGATTCCACATTTTCAGGTTTTCCACAATACCCCATTCCTGGTACCAATTCTCTGTATTAGTCTGTTATCACACTACTCCAAAAATACAACCTGAGACTCGGTAATTCATTAAGAAAGGATGTTTAATTGACTCACAGTTCTGCATGGTTGGGGAGGATTCAGGAAACTTAAAATCACTGTAGAAGGTGAAGGGGAAGAAAGACACATCTTATATGGAGGCAGGAAGCTGAGAGAGTGAAACTGCAGAACATTTTTAAAACCATCAGCTGTTGTGAGAACTCCCTCACTATCATCAGAACAGCATGGGGGTAACTGACATCATAATCCAATAGCTTTGCATCAGGTCCCTCCCTTAACACATGGGGATTATAATTCCAGATGAGATTTGGATGGAGACACAAAGCCAAAGCATATCAACAACACAGCAGTATTTATCTAATGGACCTAGGAACTATCTCTTTGAAACGTAAACATAAAGAGAGAAGGTGCCCCTCTGTTTCCAGTTTCAGTAAAAGGTAAGAACTTAACCTCAGTAGGTGCTTTTCTCTGAACTGCAAAACAACCTCTTGAGATTAAAAATATGAGAAGTCAGTTTCTCTTCTGATTAAAGACAATTAGCTATATAACATGTGGTCCCCTGTTACCATTGTAAACTAAGGGTATGTGACAAATGGTGCCGTTAAATTTTCTTTATTAAAGACTACTGATCAACCAGTAATTTCTTTTAAGAAAATTTGTCTATCTTGAAGACTACCTTGATGCTTAGCTATATAAAAGGCGAGATTTGTTTTTGACTTTGTAATCTCTTGGTTGATTTTCTACAATGTACATTAAATTCATATTTCATATTTTTAACAGTAAAACTGATTTCATTCTCTACTGTCTTTGTGGAGAGGACTTCTGGGTTCAGAGAAAATTTTATTTTTAATGTTATGGCTTCATCACTAGGCTTTTAAAAACAAAACCATGAAGACTTAAATTCCTTAAAACCAGTAGTGATGATCAGGGTACTACCACTTACCTTGCAGAAAAAAAGAAAGAAAAAAAAAGGATTAGGAGGATACTACACTATGTATATGATGGCCAATTATATGCCCAACAAGTAAGATAATTTAGAATAAATGAACAAAGTCCTGATACATACATACTATTTACCTTGCAGAAAGGGAAAAAAAAGGATTAGGAAGATACTATACTTTGTATATGATGGCCAATTATACGCCCAACAAGTTTTATAATTTAGAATAAATGAACAAATTTCTGGTACATACAAACTACCAGAACTGACTTGGGAATAAATACAGCACGAATTCATAATCCAAACTAAGGCCTAGGACCATTTAAAAAATTTACATCAATCCTCGAATGTGTCCAAAAACACAGAAGAAAAAGGGACACTACACAGTTCATTCTGTGAAGCCGGGATTATATTGATCCTAAAGTCAAAGTCATCACACGATACAAGCCAATATATCTTAACACAGATGCTAAGATTCTAAACATAATAGTACACACACAACAAATCCAGTAAATTAAATGATTGTATACCATAATCAAATGGAATTTGTCTTGAAATAATTTGACCTCCACAGCCAGTCCATTTGAGACATTCGGTTAAGCCATGATTTATTATAAGATTCAGATGCTTAGTCTCACTCCTTCCTATGTATATTTACTTTCCATTTCCTGTATATATTTACTGTCTACTTTTTGTCAGTATTCCGCTGGGTGCTAGCAATTGTAAGCAACAGATGCGGCCTCTGTACTTACATGCTTTACTGTGAGGTGGTGAGGTAGAGAAGATAAGACTGAAAAAAATAGGCCGGGCGCGGTGGCTCACTACTGCAATCCCAGGAATTTGGGCGGCAGAGGCGGGAGGATCACTAGGTCAGGGGTTTGAGAGCCTGGCCAACATGGTGAAACCCCATCTCTACTAAAAATACAAAAATTAGACGGGCAGATCGCGCCCCTGCACTCCAGCATGGGCAACAAGAGCGAAACTTCGTTGTCAAAAAAAAAAAAAAAAAAGAGAGAAAAGTGATAAACATTCTGAACATAGAGGGCCTTGTCCTAAGCCAGTCCTCCAAATTCACTGTATAAGAGTAAGGGCTCTCTTAAAATTTAGGCGTTTACAGTTAAATGACCCACGAACTTCTGAAACTGGAAGACCGTTTTTTAGCAAAGGAGAATACTCCAGGGCCCCGCCCATTTCATCCTTGACTCCACCTTCTCCATGCTGAGTCCCGCCCCGCTTCCTGTTTATTCATCCTGCAGCAAACTCTCCGGTATCCTGATGGAGTCTACTAGGTGTCAGTCATTTGGCCGTGCCTCAGCCGAAGAGAGGCGGGGAAAAGCATCGTAATCAGCTGCGTCGCCTTTTGGTGACGCCAGAGAGTGCGCGTCAGCAGTTTATTAGAGAGCTCTGTAGCCAGCCTCTTCTGCGCACCCACCTGCTGCATCTTAGTTCAGTCGGCTCTTAGAGTAGTAACCGCCAGAAAGGAGTCGGAAGAGGTCTCACGAGGCTGTCATCACCGCCATGCCCAAGAATAAAGGTACTGCTGTAAGCCTCTGGGACTATACCTCGGCTTGCTCTGCCAGTAACCCCGACGCCTGTTCCAGGCCGCAGTGACTGTTCTAACGGCGGTACTGGCCACTGCGACCCCAGCACTGTGTTCGGGAAAGGAGCTGGGAATGCCCTATTTGGTCACATTGGGGTGGGACAGACGCCATTTTTGTGGGGCCTCCTTCGGAAGATAGCGGGCTTTTGCTGCTGATTTCACGCCAGACGGAAAACGTATAGGTAGGGACGGTTGAGGGACCTTAACCGGACGGCCTGGCTTTCCAGAATAGGCACATGCAAACACTTCCCTGCTACTTTCCTGGAAGCGGTTCTTAACTTTGAAGACTTACCTATCTGGACAGTTAAAAGTATTGCTAAGGATACTCCCTTTTCCTTGTTAAACAGTGGGGAAGCCTTGAAGCATGTTTAGGTTCATTTCTGGCGTTTTACTCTACCCCATCCCTTTATAGAGTGTAACATTCTTTTGCAGAAGATTTGTTACCTATTTAGGCAGGTTTTCAACTTCCGTATCCGATAAATATTGTGGGAGTAAAGATATCAACGTTCCCTTCATTCTGAGGCTAAACTTTCACACGAAACTTAGACTTGAAAATAAGTTTACTCACAGCTTCTAAAGTAGGAGGTCTAACCTCGGTAGAACCCTTTCTCAGTCATTTCTGAAAGAAATTCTCGTTTTTATACACCTGAGGTAATCTCTCACTTTTAGTGCCCTTGTAATTGCTTGAAGAAAACTGTAGGTGGAAACAAAATATTATTTTCCACAGGAGGGGACCATGTTTTATAGTCCACAAAAACTCTGTTTAGATTATTCCTTCCTGGGACCCAGACCAATTTGTCTTCTTTTTACTTGCCTGTTGGCAGCATGGAATCTGTTTCATTTTCTCTTTTTAGCTGTCACGACACACAGCTCTTGAGGTACTTGGTGACAGTACAGTGCAGTCTTTCCTGGGCATTACTCTTTGCTCTCCCGAAAACCCACTAACGGGTTGTGTGTATAATAAGGTTTTATTTTATTTTATTTTATTTTTTACTGCAAAATTATTGGAGGATAAAGTGTATTCTGGGAGAAGTCTAATTAGAAAGAGTTAGCAAAGGCTTATGCTTTTTCACTAACATTTTCTCAGATGGTACTGAACAACTTCAGTAGGTATCTTGTTCTCACCTTTATTTCTAGTGATGAGATTCCCAGTTCTCTAAGCCATCAGCTCTAAAGATCAGAGTATCTCCCTTTGCAAAATGTCCATTAAATCTTTGCTGATGTTATTATCCCTGTACCTGACTCTATCCTTAAATAGTAAGGCTTCCTTTATTCTTGTAGGGTAGAACTTTTAAACTGAGTGATGCCTAAAAATGTTCTCAATAAAGAGAGTATCTCCAAAACACGTCGGATTTGTTTAAAGAGGAAGTGTGGATTTTTTGATCTTAGAAAGGAAACGAGATAAAATATTAAACGACTTTAATTTTTGTATGATCATGCCTAGCCTCATTCCTCTAAAATATAATTTAAAGTGGATTCTGTTACATGGTATCACAATAGAAGGGGAATGATCAGGGTTTGGTTAATCCTGGTAAATTGAAAACAATTTTTTTTTTATCATATGTGCCTCAGAAGGCACACAAAAGAAGTATAGTGGCCGGGCGCGGTGGCTCACGCGTGTAATCCCAGCACCTTGGAGGCCAAGGCGGGTGGATCACGGGGTCAGGAGATCGTGACCATCCAGGCTAACATGGTGAAACCCCCTCTCTACTAAAAATACAAAAAAAATTAGCCGGCCGTGGGGAGGCTGAGGCAGGAGAATGGCGTGAACCCGGGAGGCGGAGCTTGCAGTGAGCCCAGACCGCGCCACTGCACTCCAGCCTAGGCGACTGAGCAAGACTACGTCCAGCCTAGGCGACTGAGCAAGACTACGTCTCAAAAAAAAAAAAAAAAAAAAAAAAGAAGTATAGTAATACAGTGAACTCCTAGAAATCCATACCTCTAGGAATTATAACCTAGATTCATTAAAGTCCTCTGTTACCCTTCCCAAATTTATTTTTCTTAAGATAATACCCATCCTGAATTGAATGTTTTTATTGTTGTGTAAAATTAGTGTTATCTTCTGGGCTACTTACTTGAGGGATACTTTTGAAGACCCCTAAATATTATGAGATGAGACTTACTAATGTAGAAATAAAACTTGCTCATTTGGTTTTCTGTGTCTTTTTTGTTGTTGTTTTTTTCGTTTGAAAATCCAGATGCCTGTCAGTATTGTCGTGGTGAGGTTTATCCAAATAAACATGTAAATGAGCATGGGCCATATGTGGAATTACTTTTTCTTTGCATGCATTAAGCTGGTATTCTACAAAAATCTTAGAAACCCATCCTCACATCAGGAAAAGGGCATCCTTTGGCCTATACTTGTGAAGAGCTAGAGTAAGGTGCTCCCCACCTTTGAGATTGCTAAAGTTGTCATTCTTTTGGAAATTTATGAGCTAATCATCATTTAGTCATTTGAAAAGCTGCCAAACTTTTGTAAAACCCAGTAAGGAAAGCAGGTATGATCTTTGTCCTGACGCAGCTAAGTTCAGGCACGATTAATTGCTCGAAATATAGAATGTGTTTTCCTTTGTAGAAATTTAGTTTTGGCATGCCCTAAAATGCATCAGAATCTGGATAAATCACAGAGTTCTGGAAGCCCAATTGTCTTCTATAGTGGCACAGAACAATGTGAGACTGCCCCAGAGGTAGTGGGTGAATTCAAGAAGTTAGATGTCTGGCTTTATGGTGGCCAGGTATATGTTTTATTCTATTTGCAGTGTTAACATTTTTATTCAAATTCTTCAATCGATCCCTTAATATTACTGTAATTTGTAGCCTTTCTCCCTCCTTTTGGAAACGGCCGCTACTTTGGTTTACGTTCTCTAATGGGGATACAATGTTATGGAGAAGTACCCCAGTCCCTTGATAATTCAATAGAAAATATCACAAGGAAATACTCTGGATGTGTTTAGTAATAAGCAAAAACTTAAAAATAGAGTGAAACATGATGGCAGTTGAAACAGTTATCAAAAGTCTAAGGAAGTGTGTATGTAAACTTTAAACTAGAAATTATATTTCTATTCATTTATCTTGTGAAATTTGTTTGTAGAATAATATTCAATGCAGCATTATATAATAAAATTAAAACATTGGAAGAAATTAAATTATTAAGTATACTTTAACCATTAAAATGTTGGTCCAGATCTGCAGTTATTGAAATGAAAATGAATATTCAGGACAAATTATTTAGTGTAGTTAAAATATGCTGTAGAAGAAAATGAATGAAGTCCTGTTTTTATTTGGAAAGCGTGAACAAAATATTCATAATAGTTATCTTTGGGTGATAAAATGTTTCTATTATATAGTTTCATATAAGATGTATTCTTATTTCAGAAGTATCCAAACAAATGTCCAAGAAGGATAGTATTGATATATATCGGGTAAAAGACTTAAAGAGAACCTTTGACAGGTCCTGTTAATGAGGTAATATTAATGTTGTAATGTAAATAAATTTAAACACATTTATTATGTGTTTAAATGATATATTTTTAATTTTCCTGCAAGTGGTTTCAAAAACACACTTCAAAAGCCTTATTTTGTTTTATAGTTTAGTTTATATGATATTATGTAGATTTTTACATTAATTTTTTATCTACTCTTTTAATTAATTAGGTAAAGGAGGTAAAAACAGGCGCAGGGGTAAAAATGAGAATGAATCTGAAAAAAGAGAGTTGGTGTTTAAAGAGGATGGACAAGGTAAGACTTTTCAACTTAGGCTTCTTTCATTAATATGTTTTGTTGTTGCTGTTAATATAAATTTCAGTCTTTCTCCTAAAGGAATCTTAATCATTATCCTGAGCCGTTGTCCCTGTGTTTCCATTTCTCTTTTCCTCATTTCTCATCATCTACATTTCTCCTGTACTTGTTCATTAAATAATGATTCCTTGGATATACCAAGTCTGGATAGCGGATTCGATGGAAGCATTTTTGTAAATATACGTTCAGTATTTTGTGTGGAAGAACACAATCTAGCTGATGCCTGCAATCCCAGCCCTTTGGAAAGCGAGGTGGGTGGATTGCTTGAAGCTACGAGTTTGACACTAGCCTGGGCAACAGGGTACAACCGTGTCTCTACAAAAAAAAAAAAAAAAATTAATGGGGCATGGTGTTACACAACTGGAGTCCCAAGTTCTCTGGAGGATGAGGGGAGAGGATAATTTGAACCCAGGAGGTCTAATCTACAGGGAACTGTGAGGGTGCCACTGTATTCAGCCTGGGTGACAGAGCAAGACCCTGTCTCAAAAAAATACAAAAGTTCAGAGCAAATTAAGCATAGACTGTGATCATTAAATATTCCATACATTGGTAATGAGTAATGTTGTACACTATTAGACCATGGTTATTTATGAGGATAAAACCTCAAAACCTTTTTGAACCACAAGTTCTTCAATGCAGCTAGCACATAATCATAAAATGTAATACAATTCTAATAATTGACTAACCCCTTGAATTGATAAACGATGTACAGACTAACATACAAAAAAAAAATAAAGTAAATTTATTGGGCCACTTGCTTTTTTTCTTCTTTTTTTTCTTTAAGTGATGAACTTAAGAAAAATTTGTGATATTAGTACACAAAAAAGTTGCATGTATTCTTCACCTAGATTCACCAATTTTTAACCTTTTACATCTTTTACTTTATTTCTATCTCTGAGTATCTGCATGTATACACGTTTTTCTAACTATTTTGAATTTTTATACAGATAACTAGTAACATGAATTTACAGACTTTAGCGCTAAATACTTCAGCATATGTCTCCCAAGATGAAGCACTTCTCCTTTACTAACTACAAACAACATATTTAACTTTAATGTAATACTGTTATCTGCTTTATACCATGCTGTTACAAATAGGTAACCACTAACCGCATGTGACTATGTAGATTAATTTAACTTACAATTTAGATATGTAATAGTTCCATCACAGGCAAGTTTTCCTGAAGAGTGCTAACCTCATAGGTAATCTATATTCAAATTTCTTCACGTTTAATTATTTTCACCATGAATACATTTATTGTTTAATAATTTATAAGAACAGCTAGGTATGTTTCTATAGAATTTTTGGTTGTCATTTATGTTCTAAACAGAAGCCACTAAAAAATCAACATCTTTTAATTATATGAAACATATTTTCTGGCAAAAGACGTTTATTTAGCCTTCATCTTTTTCACTTCTAATATATGTTGACTTTACTTTCAGGACCAGTTTTTTAATTTTCATTCTCATTTTGTTTTTATTTTTCTCCATGTTTCAAAAGTGCTTAATGATAAGCTGAGCTCACTGGATTTTTGTAAAATGGATCAGTTGCCACATATATAACCCCTCAATGTAGCTTTTTTTTGTTTGTTTTTTTTGAGGCGGAGTCTGGCTTTGTTGGCCAGGTTGGAGTGCAGTGGCATGATCTCGGCTCAGGGCAATGTCCGTCTCCTGGACTCAAGCAGTTCTCCTGCCTCAGCCTCCCCAGTAGCTGGGATTAGAGGTGTGTGACACCATGCCCGGCTAATTTTTGTATTTTTAGTAGAGATGGGGTTTCACCATGTTGGCCAGGCTGGTCTCGAACTCCTGACCTCAGGTAATGCACCCGCCTCGGCCTCCCAAAGTGGTGGGATTATAGGCGTGAGTAACCATGCCTGGCCTTTCACTCTTATTTTCTAAGAACTTTAGAATAATCACCGAGATATTCTAAAGTAAACAGGAATTTTTAATGGTTAAGCTATTATTTGTCTTTGTCATTTCTGAGTTTAGGGATAGTGAAGATAGAGTTAGGCCTCATGTGTGAGAGACTGATGTAGCATTATAGTGTATATTTTGAAATGTGCCACCGTGATGTTCAAAAGTAGAGTGTACAGTCGTGAAAACAACAGTTGACTTAATCAAAATGAGTGGGTAATTAAAATGCCTCTAGTAACAGAAATAGCTTGTCATGGAAATGGCATTTGTAACCCTGAACAAGTTACTTGACTTAGTCTTTTATTTATTCTAAATATAAACGTGTTAAAGCATATGAGCATAGCTGGAAGAGGTGAAGAAGTTGACAGATAAAGAATTCTCTGGTTTCCCTAAATAAAGTTAGAATATGTGTCATTTTGAAATATGACTCTGAATAAATTACTCAAGCTTTTTGCTATTTGTTTTTTCCTGTTTTTCTTTGTAAGTAGTTTGATCTAATTTAGCAGTAAATGAAGCTTTTATTAACAGGTAAATTTCTTTTTTTGTTGTTGTTATTGTTGTTGTTGTTGAGTTTTGATCTTGACATCCAGGGTGGCGTGCAGTGGTGCTATCTCAGCTCCCTGCAACCTCTGCCTCCCGAGTTCAAGCCATTCTCCTGCCTCAGCCTCCTGAGTAGCTGGGATTACAGGCATCGGGCACCACACCCAGCTAATTTTTCTATCTTTAGAAGAGACAAGGTTTCACCATTCTGGGCAGGCTGGTCTCAAACTCCTGACCTCAGGCAATTCACCTGCCTTGGCCTCCCAAATTGCTAGAATTACAGGCATGAGCCACCATGCCTGGCCCAATAGCTAAATTTCAGTCATTACATTTTAACAAATGTGGACCAAGATCTCAACCTTTTTTTTTATCTCCTCTCCTCAGAGTATGCTCAGGTAATCAAAATGTTGGGAAATGGACGATTGGAAGCATTGTGTTTTGATGGTGTAAAGAGGTTATGCCATATCAGAGGGAAATTGAGAAAAAAGGTAGGTGTGTAGGTTACTTTTCAATAAAAATTTGCCGCAAAAAATGTCTCTGCTTTAAATACATGGTCCAAGCAATTTATTTTTGTGAGTTCCCAAAATAATTTATACAGCAATGATTCATGTGACAATGTGAATAAATAGAAAAAGTCTTTGATAACTTTTAGATTTACTTTTAAAGAATAATTTGTTTGTTTAACTTCTGTTGTATTCCTACCAGAAATGTTTACTCTGATATTAGTATTGAAGAAACCAGACAAATCTAATATATAACACAAATGGTCTTGACTCAGATGTTAATGCTGTGAAAGAATGAAAAATCTGGGAATTACTTTAGCTTAAAAGAGATTGATCGGTGCATATCCCTTTGTTAGGTTTTGGATTGGGGGAAATAGTTTTAGGTGGTACTAGGAAAATTGGAATATGGAATATGTTAGAAACTCTATTTGTTAGTAATACCACATCAGGTAGTTTTATAAATTACACTGATTAAAAGTCTCTACTACTCAGATTTTTAATTAAAATAATAAAAACTTATTTTTGGCTGAGCTCTGTGGAAGTATTAGCCAGCATACACCTGTAGTCCCAGCTACTGAGGAGGCTGAGCCAGGAGTTCAAGGTTCCCATGAGCTAAAAATTGTGCTAATGCTCTCCAGTCTGGGTGATAGAGCGAATCTCTATCTCAAAAAGAAAAAAAAAAAAATCTTTCTGGTATGTTAACATTCTTTCTTTTCCAAATTAGTGGCATTTTAGGGATTCTCTTAGTCCATTTGGGCTGTCACTGACTGGGTAGATTATAAAAAGCAGAAATTTTATTTCTCATAGTTTTGGAGAAAGAGAAATCTATTTAATATTTGGTGAGGACCCATTTCCTGATTATTATGTGGTGCCTTCTGGCTTAGTCCACACATAGTGGAAGGGATGAATAAGCTGCCTTGGGCCTCTTCTTTAAAAGCAAAAATCCCATTCATGAGCGATCAGCTGTCATCACGTAATCACCTCCCAAAGGCCCAACCTCCTAGTACCATCACCTTGGGGATCCAAATTTCAATATAAATCTTTTGAGGAACACAAACATTAAGACAAGAACAGGTGCTGTATTTATGTAGATTGGGTGCTTTATAGTCATTTTGTGTAGATACATCTTCTGTATTTGGGACAATTATATGTCTCTCAATTTCTGAGACAAAGGATCATCTGACATTTTAAACTCTTGAGTAATTGAAATAAAATTGCTGTATATTTTTTAACATTCTAAATAAGAAAATTTTAAGAAACTCAACTGGGTACTATAGTTTTTTCATGCCATACCTTAACTATGTACTACATACAACTATACTACAGATATATATATTTCAGGGTTTTTTTCTAATTTATTTTTATTTTTTGAGGCAGGGTCTCACGCTGTTGTGTAGGCTGGAGTACAGTGGCACAATCACGACTCACTGCAGCCTTCACCTCAAGCAGTCCTCCCGCCTCAGCCTCCTAAAGTAGTTGGCAGGCACATGCCACTACACCCAATTTTTTTTTTTTTAACTGTTTGTACAGTCTAGGCCTCTCTGCGTTGCCTAGGATGGTCTCAAGCTCCTGTGCTCAGGTCATCCCTGTGGCTTAGCCTCCCGGAGTGCTGTGATTATAGGCATGAGACACCTCTCCCGGCATCTAATTAATTTTTTTTTTCACACTTGGTGAATAGTATACCTGTCTTGTGGGAAGATTCACTAAACATTCTTTTTATTATTTGTTTTTATTTTTAAAATAATCTGCAGTAAATTTCTTACAGGTTTGGATAAATACATCAGACATTATATTGGTTGGTCTACGGGACTATCAGGTAAAAATAACATTTAAAGTTGTGGTATGTCTGTGTTTAAGCAGTTGTTAATGTTTGGAAGGTAACTATACTAGCATCTTTGACCCATTCCAGCCCAGGTTGCTTTCTCACCATTCTGCCTGCCATCATCATTTATTAAGGGCCAGTTGTATTTCAGACTATAGTATTTTTCAAATTTGACATAATTCTCACTGATAGTAAATGGTACATATATTTTTGTGGAAAGACATAAAGTTTTTAATTCTTTGTTTTCATTGTTAATATAATGTGCAGTAAATATTTTCTTGCAGGCTTGGGCAAGTACTGTAGACCATCTGTCCTCATCCATTTAAAGGCCAATGGTGTTTCAGGCATTCAGCTAGGTATTTCAGACATTGTAGTTCCCAAATGCCGGTCTGTTAAATAGTATTGGTGCAGGCTGAATTTTCAGTGCTCTGAAGTCAAATTAGAAGATACATAGTTACGATGTTTTTCATGGAGCACAATTGTTTGCTTACCTTTTTAAATATATATTTTAATAACTTTTTTAAATGAGAAAGTGTATAAGGTAGTAATTTTTATTAGTGTTCTAATTTGGCAAAGCAAAATTGAATAATCTGGAGACTCATTTACCTAATATTATTTTTAACATTATTTTAATATTTTGAAATTTAAAGTTCTTGAAATCCAAATCTGGGAAACCACAAGTCTAGTTGATGCAGCTGAATAAGTCTGTTCTCCTCTAAAAGTTTTATAGTTTGGTAGTGTAAAGTTAAGGCATACATACCAAGTAGTTAATGGTACAAAATGTTGTAAAGTACATGCTATAAAGTGAGCGGTATATAACAAAGACAGTAGTAGCTGTTTAATCTCCAACCTTCATACTATTTACATGTTGTAGGTCTGTAAAATACATTTGATTTCTACTCATGGAATTCATCACCATTGTTTAACCACATTGAGAAACTACTGCTATGTCTATATTTTTATTCTCTTGATATTAGGTGAAGTTTTCTGTAGTCATCTGTCAAGTCTAAGTTGGTTTGTAATGTTCAAGTCTTCTGTTGATCTTTTGTCTGATTGTTCTTTTCATTACTATAAGTGGCATATTGAAGTTACTTTACTTTTCATCTTGAGAATTTCTACTTTTTAAATTACTTCAGTGTCTTTATTGACTTTTTCTGTTTAGTGAAATACCATTTTCATAATTTCCTTAATATTTTTAGACATTATTTCTTTTTAAGTCTTAGATAAACTAAGTCCAACTTCTGGGATTCCTCAGGAATAGTATTTTTTTTTTCCCTGTGTTTGAGCCACTTTTTTAAATCTTTTTTTTTTTTTTAAACCGAACAATTTAACTACAACATAGCAGTTCTGGAAATCAGATTGCTGCCTCTCGGGGCTGTTGTTGATACTGCTTGTTTGGTGACTTTTCTGAACTAATTCTTTGGCCATTGAATAGTTGGTTAGTTTAGTGGGCAGTTCATGTTTGAACTAAGATTTCATTAAAACCACCAAGAATTTAATCATTTAAAGAGGAATCTTGTACATGTAGAGGAATACTTTGAGCATTCAGCCAATGTTGGTAAACTGACACCTCTTCCTTAGTCTTCATTTCTTGCTGTGCAGGATCTCAAGTTCAGTCAGGGGTAATATTAGGGCTTTCCTATGTCTTTCTTTATCATGTGCACTACTCTGAACGTATATTTGGCCTGTTAGATTTGTAGAAGTATGTTGGACTTTACAGATTTCCTATGGATATCTCATTCCAGAGCTTTTGCGAGTTTTTTGGTTTATTTTTTGTCTCAACTGTTACTACCACTTAAGGCATGTTAAAAAATTGCCACAGATTATTTTTTCTACAAAAGCCCTGTGGGGTAAACCACAGTGATTAAGCTCTGAATCAAGTGAGTTAAAGAAAAGTTCTTAAAATGGAAGTTTCCGGGAACTGCCAGGAAATTCTCTATAGAATGGTGTTATCAAAGAACTTCGGACTTGGTCTGTGCTTTTCAGTAGCTGCTATTGTGTTGGTTTTTATTAAACTGAGGTAAGGAATGGGAATAGGGGAACTTAAAAGCCCACACTGCTTTTTCTTAGTAAGGTTCACCTATTTTTCGTGAATAAACGCTCCTTAGTGTTTATTGCATTCATTTGGTTAATTTTCAGATTTCTGATATATGGATTTTGACCATGTTTGTCAATGTTCTTATTTCTTTTCTGAAGGAACAAATTTTAGCAAGTCCTTATTCTGCCATTCCTGCAATCACTGCAAGAAAGCATTTATTTTGATAAGACTTAATTACACATTGACTTTGTTTCTTTTTCATATATCAAATAAAAAGTTGTACTGTGCTTTTAAAATGTTATTTTTATGTCCATTATATTATTCGAATTATCATTTTAACAAAAACTGGTTTGCACATTACAGTTTGAAAAGTGTTGGTCTATTTCATACTGCCATTGTGACAGATCACTTTAGTTTACATCTTACTTATATTGTAAATTGTAAGCAATCAGAACCCCTCCTCACCCCAAGTTGGATAAAATACTTTCAAATGGGGAACTGTGAACATCTGAGGAAAGTGATTCTTAGTGTTGGCATTAGAAACACCCACCCAGAAGAACTTTTAAAAATATGCATTCATGTACTACACCCCAGGCAGGTCTACTTTCAATCTTAAGGAAGTAGGTATGTATTTTTAAAATCAAGCTATTTTTCAAGTTCCATAGACAATTCTGTTAGATAATCTATACTAAGAACTACTGATGCATAGAAAAGTTTATTATTGTTGTTTTTGTTTTTTTGAAGGAGTTTCGCTCTGTTGCCCAGGCTGGAGTGCAGTGGCTTGATCTCGGCTCACTGCAAGCTGCGCCTCCTGGGTTCATGCCATTCTCCTGCCTCAGCCTCCTGAGTAGCTGGGACTACAGATGCCTGCCACCACGCCCAGCTAATTTTTTGTATTTTTAGTAGAGATGGGGTTTCATCATGTTAGCCAGTATGGTCTCGATCTCCTGACCTCATGATCCGCCCGCCTTGGCCTCCCAAAGTGCTGGGATTACAGGCGCGAGCCACCGTGCCTGGCCTAGAAAAGTGTATTACCTTTTTAACATCATTATTCTTTACTCCATTTTTAGTTTTGAATTGCAGTGTTTGACCTTAAAAGTTTTATATTACAATTTTTTTAATTAGTCTTTTATTTTTTCCAAGAGACTTCTAATTAAAAGGGAATAGTAAATAAAAGCACTGTGCTTGCCTTTTGTGCTTTTATTAAAGTGAAATCTCTACAATCTTTCCTAAGCTGTTAATCACTGTTTACTAATGAACATAAACCACTTCCTAATTATTCAGACTCAAGAATTTTTTTCTAGAGGGTATTGGGGTAGGCAAAGAAAAGCAGGAGAGTTTGTAACAAACAGTATGTGGGATTTTTTTAGATGTGTTCAATTTGAAAGTAACTTGTGAAACAACTGGTGATATTTTGGTATAAGACGTTTTGAAAGTTATTTGTTTATTTCTAAGGATAACAAAGCTGATGTAATTTTAAAGTACAATGCAGATGAAGCTAGAAGCCTGAAGGCATATGGCGAGCTTCCAGAACATGGTAAGATCAAAATGATTTTATCTCCTCATTATTTGATATTAATGTTTGTTGGTATTTAGGTGAAGGTATTTCCGTAGAACTCTTGTTTTACATACTGTTTTAGTGTATACTTAAAAATTTGTTATAAGTAGTCTTGCCTATACTTCAGTTTACTTATGATACTTTGGAAAAGATATTAATAACTGGAAATCTCTAATAAAAACGTTATGAACTTGAAAGTAGAAGTCTCTAATAAAGAGATTATGAATTATGAAAGTTCCTTTAGTGACAACTTTATAAATTCATAAGCTCTGGATTTGTATATAAGATCTGTCAAAGAAATACGTTTTTTATAGTGTTTTTCTAAACAGTTCTCAAGACTGGCAGTTTTCATTTAAGCAGAGGCAACAAATGTAATACTAATGTTTGATTATTATAGAAAAAAGTATTCATCTTAGCAAAGTTTTAACTATGGGATTATTTTTAACAAACAATTGTGTTTTCTTTTTCTTAAAGACAAACACAATGCATACTTACTGCCGAAAGCTTGACAAGATTAAAATAAGTCCCTCATGACACCATCAAAGAGAATATGCACTGTTGTAAAGCCTGAGTATTTTACTTGGCAGCTATTTTCATTATTTATCATATTGCATTTTATGAAAAGATTTTTATATAAACATGAAGATCTTGATGAAATTATTGGCATTTCAGGAAGTGCTGAAATGTTATTGGAAGTGATGAAATTATTGGCATTTCAGGAAGTGCTGAAAGTTTCGCTTTCATTACTTGGGGATAAGCATGATCATGATTTAACCAAGTATTTCTCACTGATTTGATAAGTCTGTTTAAATAATTGGTTAACTAGTTGTTGTAATTTCAAGAGAACTTTATGTATTTTGAGGATAAGTTGTTAACCTGTGCTCAAATCCTTTTTGAAGGCTACATGGAAATGGTTGGCTATTGAGTTAGCATAATCAGTCTGCCTACCATACTTAAAGTACCTTTTGTATATGTGCTAAGTGAGAATTAAAAATACCTTTTAAAAACAAATGAAAAATACAGCACAATACAGCACATTCGTTCTTTGTTTTTTGAAACAGAGTCTTGCTCTGTCACCCAGGCAGGAGTGCAGTGGCACCATCTCAGCTCCCTGCATTCTACGCCTGCCAAGTTCAAGCTATTTTCCTGCCTCACCCTCTGCACCCTCTGAGACTACAGACATTTGCCACCATACCTGGTTAATTTTTTATTTTTTTATTTTTAGTAGAGACCAGATTTCACCATGTTGGCTAGGCTGGTCTCGAACTCCTGATCTCAAGTGATCTGCCTACCATGGCCTCCCAAATTGGTGGGACTACAGGTTATATAATCAGTATGTCTGTTATTTTACCTTTAGCTAAAATCAATGAAACAGACACATTTGGTCCTGGAGATGATGATGAAATCCAGTTTGACGATATTGGAGATGATGATGAAGACATTGATGATGTAAGTAAATAAACCTAACAGGTATTTTGTTTTATCTATGCATTATCTATAAACTTTACAGTCCTTTGGGATAGTATTTACTGCAAAAATCAATTTTAGCTTCGGCAGTAGGCACTTCATAATCAACGTTAAGTAAGAGTGTCTAAAGAGATAGTTTTGAGAACACGTCCTCTATTAAGAGAAATGCTTAGTATGTTAAAAGAAGAATTTTGTTTGAACCAGTTTGATGCAGCACTGAAATTACAACATACTTCAAAGGTTTGTTAAAATGAAGGGCCTGTTGCCAGGACATGTAATAGAATTACATGGTTGAGCATCAGTTTGTACTGGCCAGACTCTTGTTTTGGAGTTAGTTTGTGCTTATTTTGTGGAAATGATTGTTTTTCCTAGTAACAAAGCAGCGCAGTTCACAAAGCAGTAAATGCTTCAGCTCTCTTTTTCAGTTAACTATATTGAAATTAAATTCACTTTGATTTTTCTTCCCTCTCTTGAGAGAGAGAGAGGGAGAGGGGGAGAGAGAGAGAGAGAGAGAGAGAGTGTGTGTGTGTGTGTGTGTGTGTGTTTATTGGATATGGAATTTGTTGGTATAGCTTAGACTTCATTTGGGCTTAGGTTTTTTTGTCAATATCCCTATAATAAAATTGTTGTTCAGGAACCACCTGTATATACACACCCAAAAGTTATGATTAACTAGGTACTGAGAAGAAATTATAGAATACCTAAAGCAGTCATTCTTGATGTAATCTGTGCAATTTACCAGAGCTTTTAAAAATTATAAAGTCCAGCGGGCGTGGTGGCTCACCCCTGTAATCCCAGCACTTTGGGAGATGCGGGCAGATCATGAGGTCAGGAGTTCGAGAACAGCCTAACCAACATGGTGAAACCCCATCTCTGCTAAAAATATAAAAATTAGCCAGGCATGGTAGTGCACACCTGTAGTCCCAGCTACTCAGGAGGCTGAGGCAGGATAATCACTTGGACCCAGGAGACAGAGGTTGCAGTGAACCGAGATTGCACCACTGCACTCCAGCCTGGGCAATAGAGCGAGACTCCATCTCAAAAAAAAAAAAAAAATTACAAAGGCTAAACTTTGGAAAGTCTAAGACAGACATAGGTGATGGTCACACACTCCATTGAGAACCATTGTTCTACATCAGGGTTCTCTACAGCTTTTGTTTTACCAACATGTTTATTAAGATTGTTTCCAGACTGTTCAGAGGAGTAGAAGGATTTTTAAATTTATTTGTAAACATTCAAATACTCACCAACAATATTGTACAATTTACAGTTTTTCTCTGCTTCATCTATCACACCCATCCTTCTATTCATCTGATATTACACCTTATATTTTGGCACATTTCCAAACTATTACTTACACTTTGAGTTGAAGAAAATAAACTGAGTCCTTAATTGTATTGTATATATGCATTTATAAATTTTTACAACATAAAGTACTCTATATTTACAAAATTTTTTAGTTTTTTTTTCTTTGGAATTGTTTCTGAGTAGTACTTAGTAACACTACTCTAATGTAATATAAATTTTAAAGTATACCCAAAAAGAAAATGAAAAGAGATGAAAAATGCATTGTTCTTGTGATCCCAGGAAATCTGAGACAGGTCTCAGTTAATTTACAAAGTTGATTTTGCCAAAGTTGAGGACGCACCCATGACACAGCCTCGGGAAGCCCTGAGGACATGTACCCAAGGTGTTTGGGGCACAGCTTGGTTTACTACATCTTCAGGGAGACATGAGACATCAATCAATATATGTGAAAAGAACGTTGGTTCAGTTTGGAAAGGGAGGGCATCTTGTTAGCCTTTCTAAAGGAGGCAGTCAGCTATGCATCTAACTCAATGAGCGAAAGGATAACTTTTGAATAGAATGGGAGGCCGGTTTGTCTTAAGCAGTTTCCACCTTGAGTTTTTCATAGTAATTTTGGGGGCCAAAGATATTTTCGTTTCACATTCTAATATTTTCTTCATGTACCTCCCTTTGGGGACCCTGAGCCAGAGGTTTTTTGGGGGATTAAACAGAATTGGCATTTACTTCATGTTGCAATAACCAAAAGCATAAATATTTTGTTGTAGATTAAGGGCAAATCTGAACATTTCCACAGTTGGTGGCCTTGGAGGCCTCTTTGGAAAATTCAGAGAACCTATCCAGACTACCTAGTGGAACACAAAGCTACAAACACAGATGTTAGAATAAGGATCTAGACATGGCTAAGATTTTTCTCAGGGAGTGGGGGGGAGTATCTTAGAGTTATGCCATTTCCTTTGGAACTAGGCCCATTAAGGTAACGGGAAGGAATGTAAAGACAATGGCTATTAAAGGAAGTTTAGTTTCTTTTGAGTTTCTTTTGCTTATTACAAGAGAACACTGTAGATTTATAGATGTTCTAGTTTTACTTCTGTGACTACATGGACTCAGAATTTGGTTACGACCATATTTATCCCATTTTTAAAGGAATTACATCTATTTTGTCTGTGTCCACCCTCAGAATATAAGATCTGTAACCACTACCACAAAAGGAAGTAAGGACATGCAAAACTTCAAAAATGTTCTGATATATGATATACAATAACATTCCAAAAGAGCATAAAGATTTACTGATAACAAAAAGGAAATAAGAAAATCTAATATACAGAATACTCAGTTCAAAACGATTTACTTCACAGTTTACCACTGGGAGTCTTTATATGCAGTAGAATGTTGTAATAAGAGTTATTTTTCTATGGATCTGATGTTCTTTTCAATTACAGATCTAAATTGAACCAAGTGTTTTTACATGACAAGTTCTCTGAGGATGGTTCTACAGTTGGGATTTTGGCCATCATCAACCAAGAAGAGAAATTCATTTAGTGTGTAGTTTCTGAAAGCAAACTGATTTATTTTCATTGTTTTAAAGTATTTATTTCTTTAAAAGCTGAGGACACTGAATTACCTTAAGTTAAATGTTAATACTTTATTGTTTTGATGTAATGGAACTTAAGGATAAAAGACCATAATATTTGCTGTTAAAATAAATAAACGAGTGCCTTTCCTACTGTGATAACGTCAAGTAATTGGATATTTTGAATACATTTCTGCCTGATAATCATGCTGGGTTCTAATAAGCCCTACTTCCACCTAATCTGTTTACAGTCTTTTGGTATGTTTCAGTTACTTAGATGGTCTCATAAGGTTTCTGATACAATTTGAAGACAGAAATCTGCATTTAGAATCAGAAAACATGGACATATTTTTCATATTTATCTAGTCATATGTAATTTTATGCTAACATTGATAGTTTATAAATCCTTTTCATCCTTTGTGCCTCGGTTATTAAGGAAAAAAAAATGTCCAACATACAGTTTTTAAAGTGTGGCAGTTTTGAGTAGTAACTTAGAATGTATAAGATTAAGAGTTAAAGAAACCGAACAATAAGTGGCAACCAATTATCTTAACATTGGAAATACTGGGGTGCCATTTTGTTTTCAAAAGTTATTCATTGTAATCCACTGTTTTGGCTTTCATGAACAAGTAAATTACAGTGTATAAATGAAAAGCAATTTCATAATAAATTCTATAAACTGAGCCATTCTCAGACTGTCTCTAAACTGCCATAGGAGGAAGCAACCGTACTGAATGGAAAGATAGTTTCAGCCTAGGTGCAGTGGCTCACACCTGTAATCCCAGCACTGTGGGAGGCCTGTGGGGGCAGATCACCTGAGTTCAGGCATTCAAGACCAGCCTGACCAACATGGCAAAACCTCATCTCTACTAAAAATACAAAAATTAGTGGGGCATGGTAGTGCACCCCTGTATTCCCAGCTACTCAGGAGCCTAAGGCAGGACAATCGCTTAAACCTGGGAGGCAGAGGTTGCAATGAACCGAGATCTCATCACTGCACTCCAGCCTGGGCGACAGAGTGGGACTCAGTCTCCAAAAAAAAGAAAAAAAAAAAAAAGGTCGTTTCAGTTACCTGAATGGAAGAGCCACAACAAGTAATGTAATAAAAAAAAGAGCCATGTGTAGCGGGGGGCAGTGGCTCAGGCCTGTAATCCCAGCACTTTGGGAGGCCGAGGCGCGTGGATCACGAGGTCAGGAGATTGAGACCATCCTGGCTAACACGGTGAAACCCATCTCTACTAAAAATACAAAAACTTAGCCAGGCGTGGTGGCGGGTGCCCCCAGCTACTCGGGAGGCTGAGGCAGGAGAATGGCATGAACCCGGGAGGTAGAGCTTACAGTGAGCCAAGATCGTGCTACTGCACTGTAGCCTGGACAACAGAGCGAGACTCCGTCTTGAAAAAAAAGAGCCATGTTCAGTATATTTTTGGCCTAACTTTATGTTGTTACTGCATTTCATTGTGCGTACCGATTTATTTATTTATTATTTTTTGAGTCGGAGTCTTGCTCTGTTACCCAGGCTGGAGTGCAGTGCAGTGACCCAATCTCGGCTCACTGCAAGCTCCGCGTCCCGAGTTCACGCCATTCTCCTGCATCAGCCTCCCCAGTAGCTGGGACTACAGGCGCCCGCCACCATGCCCGGCTAATTTTTTTGTGTGTTTTTAGTAGAGACGGGGTTTCACCTTGTTAGCCAGGATGGTCTCGATCTCCTGACCTCGTGATCCACCCGCCTCGGCCTCCCAAAATGCTGGCATTACAGGCATGAGCCACCGCGCCTCCCATTCCCTTCCCTCCCCTCCCCTTCCCGTGCCCGGCCGATTTTTTTTTTTGGATACATGCTAGTAAGAATTTATATCATAATCTTCCCTTTTAAAGTTTTGTTCTGAAAGTTATAAGGTGAATATAAAGGCTGGACTTGTTAAGAGTTTACTGGGTACTGTTAAATCTTACATAACTTTAAAAGGAGAGTCTTTGTCAGATGAGTAGGTTGCGAAAATTTTCTCCCATTTTGTAGGTTGCCTGTTCACTCTGATGGTAGTTTCTTTCGCTGTGCAGAAGCTCTTTAGTTTAATTAGATCCCATTTGTCAATTTTGTCTTTTGTTGCCATTGCTTTTGGTGTTTTAGACATGAAGTCCTTGCCCAGGCCTATGTCCTGAATGGTAATGCCTAGGTTTTCTTCTAGGGTTTTTATGATTTTAGGTCTAACGTTTAAGTCTTTAATCCATCTTGAACTGATTTTTGTGTAAGGTGTAAGGAAGGGATCCAGTTTCAGCTTTCTACATATGGCTAGCCAGTTTTCCCAGCACCATTTATTAAACAGGGAATCCTTTCCCCATTGCTTGTTTTTCTCAGGTTTGTCAAAGATCAGATAGTTGTAGATATGCGGCGTTATTTCTGAGGGCTCTATTCTGTTCCATTGATCTATCCAGAATCTACAATGAACTCAAACAAATTTACAAGAAAAAAACAACCCCATCAAAAGGTGGGTGAAGGACATAAACAGACACTTCTCAAAAGAAGACATTTATGCAGGCAAAAAACACATGAAAAAATGCTCACCGTCACTGGCCATCAGAGCAATGCAAATCAAAACCACAATGAGATACCATCTCACATCAGTTAGAATGGCAATCATTAAAAAGTCAGGAAACAACAGGTGCTGGAGAGGTTGTGGAGAAATAGGAACACTTTTACACTGTTGGTGGGACTGTAAACTAGTTCAACCATTGTGGAAGTCAGTGTGGCAATTCCTCAGGAATCTAGAACTAGAAATACCATTTGACCCAGCCATCCCATTACTGGGTATATACCCAAAGGACTATAAATCGTGCTGCTATAAAGACACATGCACACGTATGTTTATTGCGGCATTATTCACAATAGCAAAGACTTGGAACCAAGCCAAATGTCCAACAATGATAGACTCGATTAAGAAAATGTGGCACATATACACCATGGAATACTATGCAGCCATAAAAATGATGAGTTCATGTCCTTTGTAGGGACATGGATGAAATTGGAAACCATCATTCTCAGTAAACTATCGCAAGAACAAAAAACCAAACACCGCATATTCTCACTCATAGGTGGGAATTGAACAGTGAGATCACATGGACACAGGAAGGGGAACATCACACTCTGGGGACTGTTGTGGGGTGGGGGTGGGGGGAGGGATAGCACTGGGAGATATATCTAATGCTAGATGATGAGTTAGTGGGTGCAGCACACCAGCATGGCACATGTATATGTATGTAACTAACCTGCACAATGTGCACATGTACCCTAAAACTTAAAGTATAATAATAAAAATAAATAAATAAATAATAAATAAATAAAAGGAGAGTCTTCAGTTAGTTTGTGAAACATGGTATTTGTTCTCCTGAAAATTTTTCAATAATGAAAATATAAAGGGAATCTGTCATCCCATGGTTTTAGTAATACAAATATATATGTGAGAGAGAGAAAAACTTCCTATGGCTTCTTAAAATCTTGCCATTTTATTTATTTAATGTGAAAACTCTGGATTCAAAATCTAAGGCCAGAAAGTTGGTACATTATTAAATCTAAGAATAAGAAATAAAAGCTCACAGTATATGCAATAATCCCACTTACAGTAACCACAAATAAAACAAAATAGCTAGGAATACAGGTAACCAGAGGTGGAAGATTCCTAAAAGGAGACAAAACACTGTCAAAAGAAATCAGAGATGACACAAATAAACATTTCATGCTACTGGGTTGAAAAAGTCAATATTGTAAAAAATGGCTATACTGCTGAAAGCAATTTTTAGATTAAACTACCAATGCCATTCATTCTTCACAGAACTAGGAGAAAAAAAAATTAAAAATTCATGTAGAAACAAAAAAGTACCCAAATAGCCAAGCAATCCAAAGCAAAAGGAACAAAGCTTCAGGCCTCACACTGTCTGACTTCAAAGAATACTACAAAAGCACAGTAACCAGAACAGCTTGGTACTTGCGCAGAAACAGACACATAGACCAATACAATAAAACTCAGAAATAAAGCCACACATGCATAATCATATGATCTTTGACAAGGCCAACAAATGGGGAAAGGACTTCTCATTCAGTGACTGATGCTAGAATAACTGGCTAGTCATATGAATGCAGAATATTAAAGCTGGACTTGTGTCTTTCACCATATACAACAATTAAGGCTTCAATCTGGGAAAGCTGACTGGAAAGAAAAACTCAAGATGGATTAAAGATTTAAATGTAATACCACACACTAAAAATTCTGGAAGAGAGTATTTCTGCTACTGATGAGCAAGATTGCTGAATGGAAGGTTCCACTTATTTTTGCCACCACAGGAACACCAAATTTAATAACTGTCTCAAAAATGAAATGAAAAACCTGGTGAGCTCTCACAGTACCTACTTCTAAATTAATACTGCTGGAAATGGAACTAAAGAGAGTAAGACAGACAGTCTTGAATTACAGACCCCACCTCTGCCCACCCACCAGCAGTGGCTGTGTGGCATGGCAAGATAATGTGTGCTAGTGAAAGGGAGAACACAGTGATTGTGAGACTTTGCATTTAACTCAGTGGTGTCTTGTCACATTGGAAAGCAAAACTGTGCTAAACTCAGCTGATGCCTGTCTATGAAGGGAACATTTAGACCAGCCCTAACCGGAGAGGAATTGCCCATTCCAGCAGTCAGAACTTGAGTTTTGGCCAACCTCACCACCAGAAGCCAAAGTGTTCTGGTGACCTACATAATCCTAAAAGGTAACCTAGGCCACAAAGACTGCAAATCCAAGACAAGTGCTAGTTCTGGGTTAGGCTGAAAACCAATGAACTTGGGGGCCACATGAGACAACAGCTGGGTTGGCTGAGGGAGTGCTTTCACCATCCCTCCCTCAACCCCAGGCATCACAGTTCATGACTCTAAAAGATACCCCTTATTTCCACTTAAGGACACAATAGAAAAAAGTAGAAAAGACTTTGTCTTGCATCTTGGGTACTAGGCCACAGTAGGATAGGGCAACTGGTCAGTGTTGTGAGGCCCCACTATTTATAATAGCCAAGATTTTGAAACTACCTCAGTGGCCATCAACAGAAGGATGAATAAAGAAATGTGCTACAGATGCGACAGATTTCTATTTAGCTATAAAAATAATTAGATCCTGTAACTTGTAACAACCCAGATGGAACTAGAGTTTATTATGTTAAGTGAAATGAGTTGGGTACAGATAGAGAAACTACACATGGTCTCACTTATCTGTGTCGGAGCTATAAGTTAAAACAATTGATATCATGGAAATAGAGCATGGAAGGGTAGATAATAGGCTGGTAAGGGTGTGAGAAAAGGGGGACAGTTAATGGAGCTATAAGTTAAAACAATTGATATCATGGAAATAGAGCATGGAAGGGTAGATAATAGGCTGGTAAGGGTGTGAGAAAAGGGGGACAATTAATGGATACCAACACTATTTGCAATGAGTGAATATTATCTAGTATATGCTACCACAATTGAGCATAGGTGAAAATAATTGTATTTTTAAAAAATAACTAGTCAAAATTAATTACATATTTTTAAATAACTAAAGGAATAGAAAGATTGTAACACAAAGGATAAATGCTTGAGGTGATGGATATGCCATTTGCTATTATGCATTTCATGGCTGTATCAAAATATCTCAAATAAGCCATTAAATGTGTGCACCTTGTTTGTACTTCCCCCAAAATTAAAAATTAAATTCTGAAAGACAAGCTAAGAAATACTCTCCTTGATGTCAATTTTGGCAAATAATTTTGGGCTAAGTTACATATAGCAATTGCAACAACAAAACAAATATAGGCAAGTGGAACTAAAAGACTTATGCATGGCAAAAGAAATTGTCAACAGAGCAAACAAATAACCTACAGAATCAGTGAAAATATTTACAAACTATACATCCAACAAAGGCTTAGCATCCAGAACATGTAGTAAACTGAAATGAATCAACAAGGGAAAGCCTCATTAAAAAAATGGGCAAAGATCATTAACACTTTTTATAAGATGTACAAGTGGTTAACAAATACATAAAAAAGCGGTTCAGCATCACTAATCATCACAGAAATGCAAATCAAAACCACAATGAGATATCAACTAACACCAGTCTGAATGGCCATTATTAGTAAGTCAAAAACCAACAGAGGCTGGCAAGGCAATGGAGAAAAGGAAACACATATAAACCCTGTTGGTGATAATATAAATTAGTCCAGGCACTGTGGAGAGCAGTTTGGAAATTTCTCAAAGAACTCAAAACTGAACTACCATTCAACCCAGCAAGCCAACTACTAGGTGTATACTCAATAGCAAATAAATTATTCTACCAAAAAGACACATGCACTCATATGTAATCACTTCTGTTCACTATAGCAAAAACATGGAATCAACCTTGGTGGCCATCAGTGGTAAACAGGATAAAGAAAATATGCTGTATGTATGCTGTGGAACACTATGCAGCCATAAAAACAATGAAATAATACTGTTTGCAGCAATATGGATGGAGTTAGAAGCCATAATCCTAATCAATGCAGAAACAAAACCAAATACCACATTTTCTCACAAATTGAAGTTAAGCATTGAGCACACATTGGCATAAATATAAAAACTAGATGACTGGAAATGACAGGTGGGCGAGGGGATTGAAACCTACTTACTGGGTACTGTGCTACCCACCTGAGGTGATGGGATTTGTACTCCAAAACAGTATCCCACGATATTCTCATGTAACAAATCTGCACCTGGACTTTTATATCTGAAAGTTAAGATTTAATAATAATAAATAAGAGAAGACATGAATAACCAAAATCAGAAATAAAACAATTACAATGATTAGAATAGAACTACAGAAAATTATTACAGACTGTTATGAGCAACACTATCAAACTGGAAAATTTTAAATGACATTGATAAATTCCTGGACATGTAAAACAAAATCAGAAAAAAAATAGATAACCTCAACAGACCAGTAATAACAAAACTGACTCAGTAATAAAATATTTCCAACAAATCCAGAACCAAATGGCTTCATTGCTGAATTCTACTAAACTTTAAACATAGAACTAACATTAATTTTACCTGTCTACTCAAACAAAATTAAAGAGGCATGGCTTCTCCCTAATTCCATGAGGCCAACATTACCCTGATACCAAAATTATACAAAGATTTAAGAAAAAGAAACAACTACAGGCCTATATTGCTGATTAGCAGAGATCCACAAATTCTCAACAAACTACTAGCAAAGTGAATCTAATAATACATTTTGAAGATAATACCCCATGATCAAGCAGAATTTATCTGATGAATGAAAAGATTTTCAACATATACAAATCAACATGGACACATCACATTGAGAGAATAAAAGACAAAAATGACATTATCTCAATAGATGCAGAAAAACATTTGATAAAATTCAACATCACTATGATTTATGAAAACACTTTGGCATGGAGTGAATATACTTCAACATAGTAAAGGCCATATATAACAAACACATAGCTAATATCATGAATGTGGAAAAGCTGAAAACATTTTCTCTAAAAACTAGAATAAGACAAGAATGCCTTCACTCAGCACTCCAGTTCAATATAGTATTACAAGTCCAAAGCAGAGCAACAAAAGAAATTTAATTCAAATTGAAATAAGGGCGGTCAGATTATCTCTTTGTAGAAAAATCTAAACCAATTGCATATTGAAGAAACCTAAGAAAGCCTGCTTAAAAGCCAACACCTAACACTAATTAAAAGAGTTTTCTGTGAGATCCAGTAAAGACGGCGATCCCCCTTTTTTTTTAATCACTTGTATTTAACTTATTCCTGCAATTTTTAGTCACAGATACTAGGAAGAAAGAAATGCATTCAAATGGAAGGTTTGGACATCTTTTATGTCTTCCAAAGGGAAAAGGTAAAATTATCTCTAGATGCAGATAGCACGTTCTTACATGAAGAAGAGCCTAAAGACTCTATCTCCCTGTCCCGTCCCCACAAAATACCCACAAAACAAAACTATAAACACTAGTAAATGGACTCGGTGAAGTTCCAGAATACAAAATCAACATACAAAATTAGTGACGTTTGTATATATCAATAACAAACTGTCTAAAAGTAAAATATAAAAGTATTCTTTGAAAAGAGTGAAAGACAAATGAAAAAATCATTTCATTTGTATTAAGTACTACAGTTGGAGCAAGCAATAAAAATGTTCAAATTCTAAGAGAACAAACTAGTGAGAAAGTTAGTTTGGAGACTGAGGACTTTGAAGAGTTCCACATACAATGAAGTTTCTAAAAAGCCATCTGCATTTTCAGGGAAGGATACATGCTCAGAAAGTCCCAGTAGTTCTTTCTCTAACCTTTGTTTTATCTAAAATGTTCAATATAAGCAGAGAGAGTAAATATTGATAAGGAATTGTAAACAACTGTCCAATCATTGAAGAAGTACGCTACAAGGAAAAAAAAAAAACTCTTTGGACAATGGAGAATATTTTTCTACTTTTTCTTCCTATCTTCCTACAGGTGTGTAAAAAATTTCTGTCAAACCTCAAACTAGTAACAAGCAAAATGAACAAAGGTTTTATGACCCTGAGGGACAAAAAACAAATAGAAAGCCTTCATTATTGTTCACTTTATTGCTATGAGATGCCTTTCAGCCTGTAGTGGAGAGAGTGAACACTGAGATAAAAGTAGTGGATTTCCTGATTTAAGGATATGGACATACTGGTACTGGAACCAATCCCTCATGGATACAGAAATATGACTGTGTAGACTGTTCTCAAAAACATTAAAAATAGAACTATCATATAATTAAGCTATCCTTTTATGTACATTCAAAGAAAAAATAATGGAATACAGTTCAGCATTAAAAATAAAGTTCTGCTATTTGGGAAAACATGGATAAACCTGGAGAATATTAACAAGACACAGATAATGCAAATAGAAAAAATACTAATATTGGATGATCACACATATGTGAAGCTTTTATAAGTGAACTAGATAGAAGATAATAGTAGAATTCTAATTACCAGGGAGAGGATAGGTGTGGGAAAAATTAGGAGATGTTAGTTAAAGGGTTTTAAGTTTCAGTTATGTAAAATAAATAACTTCTAAAGATAATTGCACAGCTTGGTGACTAGAGGTAATACTGTATGTACTTCAAATGTTAAGACAGTAGATGTTAAGTATTTTTTTGCAAACAAAAATAGTAACTTTGGAAATCTAAATATGTGAATTAGAGTGACTATAGTGATTATTTTGCCACAAATAATGTATATCAAAACATGCTGTACCCTTCAAACATACAATTTCAATGTCATTTTTAAAAAAAATTATTTGCGTATATTTTCATCAGGAATACATTTGTTGATAGTTTCCTTTGTTGTTGTGTCCTTGCCTGGTTTGAGAATCACAATAATAATAACTTTGTAGAATGAATTAGGAAGAAGTTTATTCTCACTGACTTTTTGGAATAGTTTTACCATAAATTTTATCAAGTCTTCTTTGTGTGGTTGTAGAATTTGGCTGAAAATTCATTCATTCCTGGTCTTTTTTCTTGTTTGGGAGATATTTATTACTTACTTAATATTCCTACTCATTACTTTATTGCTGATTCACTCTTGCTACTTGTTGCTCTGTTCAGGATTTCTCTTTTTTCCTTGTACAATCTTGGTAGCTTGTATGTTTCCAAGAACGTATCCATTTACTCTTGTTTTCTACTTGGTGAGCATATAGTTGTTCATAAAAACCTCAACAAAATACTCTCAAGTAAAATCCAATAATACATTCAAATATAATATACCATGACGAGTGATTTTATACAAAAATGCAAGGTCAAGATATCCAAATGAATAAATGTGATTTACCACATAAACATAATTAAAACAAAAACCATGTAATCAGAACAAATGCACAAAGAAGATAATGCCTCAAATTTTTTTCAAAAAGGTCATAGACAACAAACTCACAGCCAACATCATACTGAATGGAAAAGTTTGAAAGCATTATGTCTAAGAACTGACACAAGATAAGGCTGTGTCTACTATCACTCCTAGTATTTATCGTAGGAATAGTAGTTCTAGACAGAGAAGTCAGGCAAACAATGGAGACAAAAAGTATCCAAATTTTTGGGAATGCAAAAGTTATACTTGCTTGCTGATAATATTTTATATGAAGAAACATCTTAAAAGTTCCACCAAAAACTGTTTGATAAATAAATTTGGTTTCAGGATACAAAACCAATGTACAAAAATTAGTAATGTTTCTCTAAACAAATAACGATTCAAATCATTCATTCAAATAAGCACTCTGACTTTCCAGTGCCAGGCTTTTTTGGTTACTGAAGCCATGAAGTATTGTTTGAAGTTGAGTAATGTGATGTCTGCAGCTTTATTCTTTCTGCCTAGGATTGGTTTGGCCATTGAAACTATTGTTTGATTTTAAATAGATTTCAAAATTGATTTTTCTAATTTCTGAAAAAAGTCATTGATAATGTGATAGAAATAGCATTAAACCTGTAAATTGATTTCGGCAGTGTGACTGTGTTAAAAATACTGATTCTTGCTCTCCATAGCATGGAATATATTTTTTAAAATCTCTGATTCCATTCATTAGTTTTGTAATTTACCTTGTAGACATCTTTTACCACCCTTGTTAGCTTTACTCATGAATATTTTACTCTTTCTGTGGCCATTTGATAGGATCATATTATCAGTTTGTTTATTAGCTTGGACCTGCTTGCTTTATAGAAAGCTATAGATTTTTGTGTATTGATTTTGCATCACAAAACTTTGCCAAAGCTACTTATCAAATTTAGAAGCTCCGGTCACAGATTATTAGGTTTTGAAAATTGTCAGTTCATGTATTTTGCTAGGGTTTTTTAGGTATAGAATTCTAAGATCTGTACAAAAAGGTAGTTGGTTTCCTCTCTTCCTATTTGGAAGCCTTTATTTATCTTACCTGATTTATCTGGGTACTATCTTGAGTAAGAGTAGGAATCCTTTACAAAATCGATGTGCAAAAATCACAAGCATTCCTATTCACCAATAAACAAACAGCCAAATCATGAGTGAACTCCCATTAAGAATTACCACAAAGAGAATAAAATACCTAAGAATCCAACTTACAATGAATGTGAAGGACCTCTTCAAGGAGAACAGCAAATCACAGCTCAGCAAAATAAAAGAGGACACAAACAAGTGGAAGAAAATTCCATGCTCATGGATAGGAAGAATCAATATCATGAAAATTGCCATACTGCCCAAGGTAATTTACAGATTCAGTGCCATCCCCATCAAGCTACCAATGAATTTCTTCACAGAATTGGAAAAAAAAACTACTTTAAAGTTCATACAGAAACAAAAAAGAGCCTGCATTGCCAAGACAATCCTAAGCAAAAAGAGCAAAGCTGGAGGCATCACACTACCTGACTTCAAACTATACTGCAAGGCTACAGTAACCAAAACAGCATGGTACTCGTACCAAAACAGATATATTGACGAATGGAACAGAACAAAAGCTGCAGAAATAACACCACACATCTACAACCATCTGATCTTTGACAAACTTGACAAAAACAATCAATGGAGAAAGAAGTCCCATTTAATAAATGGTGCCGGGAAAACTGGCTAGTCATAGGTAGAAAGCTGAAACTGGATTCCTTCCTTACACTGTATACAAAAATTAACTCAAGATGGATTAAGGACTTAAGCATAAGGCTTAAAACCATAAAAAGCCTAGAATAAAACCTAGGCAGAGAATGATGGTTTCCAGTTTCATCATGTCCCTACAAAGGACATGAACTCATCATTTTTTATGGCTGCATAGTATTCCATGGTGTATATGTGCCACATTTTCTTAATCCAGTCTATCGTTGTTGGACATTTGGGTTGAACCATCATTCCCAGCAAGCTATCGAAAGGACAAAAAAAACAAACACTGCATGTTCTCACTTATAGGTCGGAATTGAACAATGAGAACACATGGACACAGGAAGGGGAACATCGCACACCAGGGACTGTTGCGGGGTTGGGGGAGGGGAGAGGGATAGCATTAGGAGATATACCTAATGCTAAATGACGAGTTAATGGGTGCAGCACACCAACATGGCACATGTATACATATGTAACAAACCTGCACATTGTGCACGTGTACCCTAAAACTTAAAGTATAATAATAATAAAATTTAAAAAAAAAAGTATGGAGATTTCTCAGAGAATTAAAAGTGGATCTAACATTCAATTTAGTAACCCCACTACTGAAAGGAAAAAAATCAGTATATCAAAAGGACACCTATGTTTATTGCAGCACAATTTACAATTGCAAAGATAGGAAATAAGCCTGAGTGCCCATCACCTCATGAGTGGATAAAGAAAATATGGTGTATCTATACCATGGAATACTACTCAGGCACAGAAAAATGAAATAGTGTCTTTTGCAGCAACATGAATGGAACTGGAATCCAGTTATTCTAAGTGAAGTAACTGAACTCAGGAATGGAAAACCAAATATTGCATTTTCTAATTTATAAGTGGGAACTAAGCTGTGGGCAAGCACAGGTATACAGAGTGGTATAATGGACATTGGGGACTCAGAATGTAGGAGGATGGATGGAGGATGAGGTATGAAAAATTACCATTTGGGTACAATGTACACCAGTCGGGTGATGGGTGCACTAAAACCCCAGACTTCACCACTGTACAATCTATCCATGTAAACAAAAACAACTTGCACTCCTAAAGCTATTGAAAATTAAAAAAAGGTAACATAGATGTTAAATAGAAACAACTAAATGTAAATATAATTATGTTGACTTATGTGGGGAATATTTAGAAGAATAACAAACAATAAAAAGTACAATTTTTGGTTAAAAAACAAAAACAAAAACAAAACACCAAACCTAGGCAATACCATTCAGGACATAGGCATGGGCAAAGGCTTCATGACTAAAACACCAAAAGCAATGGCAACAAAAGCTAAATTAGACAAATGGGATCTAATTAAACTAAAAAGCTTCTGCACAGCAAAAGAAACTATGATCAAAGTGAACAGGCAACCTTCAGAATGGGAGAAAATCTTTGCAATCTACCCATCTGACAAAGGGCTAATATCCAGAATCTACACAGAACTTAAACAAATTTAAAAAAAAAAAAAAAAACCCATCAAAAAGTGGGCAAAGGATATGAACAGACACGTCTCAAAAGAAGACATTTATGCAGCCAACAGACACATGGAAAAATGCTCATCATCACTGGTCATCAGAGAAATGCAAATCAAAACCACAATGAGTTATCATTTCATGCCAGTTAGAATAGCAGTCATTAAAAAGTCAGGAAACAACAGATGCTGGAGAGGATTTGGAGAAATAGCAACACTTTTACACTGTTGGTGGGAATGTAAATTAGTTCAAACATTGTGGAACACAGTGTGGCAATTCAGCAAGGATCTAGAACTACAAATACCATTTGTTTTACAAATAGAATCAGCGATCCCATTACTGGTATATACTCAAAGCATTATAAATCATGCTACTATAAAGACACATGCACACATATGTTTATTGTGGCACTATTCACAATAGCAAAGACTTGGAGCCAACATCAGTGATGGATTGGGTTAAGAAAATTTGGCCCATATACACCATGGAATACTATGCAGCCATAAAAAGGATGAGTTCATGTTCTTTGCAGGGACATGGATGAAGCTGGAAACCATAATTCTCAGCAAACTATCACAAGGACAGAAAACCAAACCCCGCATGTTCTCACTCATAACTGGGAGTTGAACAATGAGAACACATGGACACAGGGCAGGGAGCATCACACACCAGGGTCTGTCACGGGTGGGAGCCTGGGGGAGGGATAGCCTTAGAAGAAATATCCAATGTAAATGATGAGTTATGTGTGCAGCAAACCAACAAGGCACGTGTATACCTGTGTAACAAACCTGCACATTGTGCACATGTACCCTGGAACTTAAAGTATAATTAAAAAAAAAAAAAAAAATAGAAATCCTTGTCTTGTTGCAGTTCTTAAAGAAAATACTGCAAGCTTTTGCCTTGAGGATGTTGCTTGTTACTATTTTGAGGTATGTTCCTTTAATACCTAGATTTTTTCTTAGGATCCTTAACATGAAGGGATGTTAAAATTTATCAGAAGCCTTTTTTTAATCCCTTTAGATAACTGATTGAGTTTTGCTTTTAGTTGTGTTTATGAGATGAATCACATTGATTGATTTGTATGTGTTGTACCAACCATTTCAGAGATTAAGCCTATCGGTGGATTAATCTTTTGATATAATATTGGATTTGGTTTGCTAATATTTTGTTGAGAAATTTGCATATATGTTGATCATAATGATAGCCTGAAATTTTCTTATTTTACTGTTGCTTTAACAGGATTTTATTATCAAAATGCTCCTGGCCTCATAGAAATAGCTGGAGAGGAGTCTCTTCTCTTCTTTTTTTTTTTTTTTTTTTTGAAATAGTTTTAGTGGAATGGCATCAACTTCTTTTTTATATATATCTGGTAAAATTCAGCTCGTCCTGGGCTTCTTTTGGCTCATAAGCTTTATTACTGGTTCAGTTTTGTAACTCATTTTTACTTTATTCAGGATTTCCATTTCTTCCTGGTTTAAAGTTGTGAGTTTGCTGGTTCTCAGACATTTATCCATTTTTATAATAGTCTCTGAGGGATTCTTTGTTTTTTCTCTCTGGTCAGTGGTAGTGTCATTTCTTATTATGTTTATTTTGATTTTTTTTGCTGTGTTAATTTAGTTAGTGACTGCTGATCTTACTTATTCTTTCAAACAACAAGCCCATGAATTGGTTGATCTTTTGTATGGTACTTCACATCTCTATTATGTTCAAATCAGCTCGGATTTTGGTTATTTCTTCATTTCTGCTAGATTTGTGGTTGGCTTGCTTTTTTTTTTTTTTCTGGTTCCCCTAGATATGGTGCTATGTTGCTAATTTGCAGTCATTCTCACTTTTTGTTGTGGGCATTTAACACTGTAAACTCCTTTTAACACTGTTTTAGCAGTGTCTCAGGGGTTTTATTATGTTGTACCTTTCTTTTCATCAGTGGCTAATAAATTCTTGATTTCTGCCTTATTTACTTAAAAGGTCCTTCAGGAACCAGTTGTTTAATTTCCATGTAATTGTATGGTTTTCCACAATATTCTTAGTATTCTTAGTATTGATTTCTTTCTTTCTTTTTTCTTTTCTTTTGTTGCTGTTGTTGTTGTTGTTGTTGTTGTTGTTGTTGTTGCTGTGGTTCCAGAGTCTGGTTAGTATAATTTTGTTGTTGTTGTATTCTAATTTGCTGATATTTGTTTTACAGCCAGTTTTTTGGTTGGCTTTACAGTATCTGTTGTGTTCAAATGGGAAAAAAAATGTATTCGTTGGGAGTTTTGTAGGTATCAGGGCATTTGGTCAAGCATTGAGTTCTGATCTTGAATATCTTTGTTAGCTTTCTGCCTTAATAACTGGTCTAATACTGCCAGTGGTGTGTTGAAGTCTCCTGTTATTATTGTATGGTTATCTAATCTCTTCATAGGTCTACAATAACTTGTTTTATGAATCCTTGTGCTCCTGTATTGTGTGCATGTACATTTAGAATAGTTAGATTTTCTTGAATTGAACTCTTTACCATTATATAATGCTTTTTTGGATAATTGTTTAACATCACTTTTGTCTGAAATTAGAGAAACAACCCCAATTTTTCAATCCTTTTCATTTGCTTGAAAGATTTTTCTGTTTCTATTTATTTTGACCATATGGGTGCTAATGCATGTGAGTTGAGTCTCTTGAAGACAGCGTAGAGTTGGATCTTGCTTCTATATCCAAGTTATCACTCTCACCTTTTAATTGGGCATTTAGTCCATTTACATTCAGAGTTAATAATGACACGTGAAGATTTGGTTCTGCACCATGTTGCTAGTTAATATGCAGAGTTGATAGTATACTTGTTGCTTTTTAGTGCTAATAGTCTTATGTACTTAAATGTGTTGTTGTCCATACTTAGCACTTCTTTAAGGATCTCTTGTAAGGCAGGTCTGGTAACAAATTTTCTTAGCATTTCCTTTTCTAAAAATAATCTTTTTTCTCTTTCACTTCTGAGCTTAATTTAGCTGGATATTAAATTCTTGGTTGGAGTTTCTTTTCTTTAAGAATGCTAAATATATGCCCCAATTCTCTTTTGGCATATAAGGTTTCTGCTGACAGATGAGTCACTTGCCTTTTCTCCCTAGAAAACATTTTTTCTTTGATTTCAACCTAGGAGAATCTGATGTCTACATATCTTGCAGATGGTCATCTTTTATACTATCTTGCAATTGTTTTCCGCATTAGTTGGATTTGAATGTTGGACTTTCAAGTGAGATTAGAGAAATTTAAATGGATGACATCCTTACATATGTTTTGCGAGATGCTTGCTTTATCTCTCTTTTTTTTCAAGTAAGCAAATGAGTTATAGATTTTGTCCTTTTTCCATAATTCCATATTTCTTGGTGGTTTTGTTCATTCTTTTTCATTTTTTATTTTTTTGTGACTGAATTATTTTAGAGAACTGGCCTTTGAACTCTGAGATTCTTTTCTCCTGTCAGTCTTTCCTGTGGTAAAAGTTGAAATTCTATTATGATATTCTTGAAATTTGATTTTCAGCTTTATAAGATTTTTTTTAATGGTCATTTTTTCTTTCAATTTTCTGTGTCATTTTATTGTATTCCTTCCATTCCTTTGATTGGGTTTTGACTTTCCCCTGAATCTCAATGATTTTTTTTTAAATCTATATTCTGAATTTTCTGTCTGTTTTCTCCGCCATTTCAGCTTACCTAACAACCACTACTGGCAAACTACTGCAGTCATTTGGAGATAAGGAGACACTCTGGCTTTTTGAGTGCTATAGTTTACATGCTAGTTCTTTATCATCTGTGTGGACTGATACTTCTTCAATATTTGAAGTTGTTGTTATTTGGGTGCTTTTTTTTTTCATTTCTTTTTCCATGCAAACCACCATGGCAAGTGTATACCTATGTAACAAACCTGCACATACTGCATATGTACCCCAGAACTTAAAGTTTTACAATAAAAAATAAAAACCTGTTCAGTTTAATTAAAATGGACATTCAAGCTTTGAGTATATTCAAAAGGCCTTTATGTTTCTCTCTTCCTAAATCCTGTTTTCCTCAAAAAGATTTTTTACTCAGTCAAAAATTACTTTCCTCTTCTCTGTCTTGCTACTCTTGGTGGATGCATAAAAGACCTAGAATTACTTCTGGTGACCTGGGACTCCCTTGGAAAACAGAAAAGCTGCCACAAATTCCATTTTAGGAAAAATATCTGTTGTCCTTATGGAGCCCCTGGAATAAAGGTAAGTACCTCTTAAAATCTGTCTTTGTCTTCCAGCTATGCTTTTGTATTAGGCCCTGAAAATTGTTTTCTTAGCTGTGTTCTTAAAGGGACTCACCTGAAGGCCAATAATCCAATTAAGAAATTAGCAAATGTAAATCTTATAACTACTGGATCTTCTTCTGGTTGTCTGTGTGGCTATATATTTTTATGTGTGCAATGTCTATTAAAAAGAGCTCTAATTAATTAATTGGCCTAAGAAAAATAAGCACTTAAATATTTATAAGGAAAATATTAAGCAAAGTAATACTGTGTATATTGCCATTTTACTTTATTATTCTGTTGAAGCAAAATTGTAGGGTTGTATTATATGTGTGTGCTTTTGCTAAATGTCCCAGTTAGCTGTGCTGAGATATAACAGTACTATTTATGGTTTAAGTTTTGATTCTTAGATATTTTCTCCAGCATTGACATTGTTTTCCAAAAACACACTAAACTGTATTGCACAGTTCAAAATTTACTTAAGGGATCAATCTAGGCATTGTTCTTGGTCTTAAATTTAATGTCAAACACAGGAAATATTCTGTTTCACTATATTAATTTTAATCACATAATATATATATATCACTCTATTAATTTTCAAGGGTTTTTCTTTCACATTTAAAAACGTGATAACAAGTATTCACCTTCAATGTTTATAAAACCTTAATGTCTTTATTAATAATTTTATTATAAAATTTCATAAACCATGTTTTTCAAAATAAGTTTATAACAAATCTAGCTTCCCAGATATGCTAATAGTTAAGTATGTCAGTGTACTAAGTAAATCATTGACTTGTACCCATTGGGAATATTTAGTGTTATTGCCTTTGCAGTGAAAAAAATAATAAAACCTTTCATTTTTAAAATTAGATTAGAAAATGTGACATAACTTGGGACTTTAGTAGTGTATACACTAGCATTAGTTTATACACTACTTTTGCCACTGGGGAGTTCAAGCTGAAATGTCCCTCAGTCATATAGCCATGGAATACATCTTTCATTCATAAATTCTGCTCAGATAATTAAATATTTTCCCATGTAGGTTATTTTCACTTATATTATTAAAAAAAAACTAGTTCAGTTTAATTTTTTTGCATGTAGAATATTGCACATTTTCTGTAAGTGAGTCATTAAGATTAGTATCTATGTAGGTTCAGTCAGATCCAACCATGTGTTCAAGTTATACTATATAACCCTCTAAAATACATAGAAGTATTACTACTTTGCCTTTAACAAAACTCAAGACTCAGTTTTAATTTATTAATCCAGCATTTGAGCAACAGATTTTTAATTCCCAAAGTTGGGAAAAAAATGAGAAAACAATGAGGGAAGAAAGAACCAGTCCTTAGTGTCACATTTTTTTCCCCTTGGGGTTATAAGTTAGAGTCTCCTTCTTTCAAGAACACTTTTATTATAGTACACATATAGACTTGATTTTTTTGTGTCATTGTATAACTCTCATGCTGAGGGTCTAGCCTAAAAAAGCAAAAGAAAATTGTCTTCATTGTACCAACATATTCATGACTTAACAAGATCATAAGGGAACAAAACTTTGGATTCAAGCTGAGTGAAAATACCATTTCAGTGAATGTGTTCCTAAGAGAAACCAGAATTGGCAGTTAATTTAGTCATCTAGAAAATCTCAGTTCCCACCAGTAAAAATATCCTGAGTGGCTAGTGCTCTTTGATAAAAATCTGGCATACTGAATAAATAATGTTCATGTGGGAGCCAGCAACTAGGTAAATCTTGCCTTTAGTATAATCTGCAACCACAGAAATAAAGCCAGCACTTTTCAAACTAATAAGCCTTCCTTGTCAGTATCATAAAGAATATTGCCTAATTGAACTTGCTCCCATTGATGTAGTAGTTACTTATTTCTACCTAACAACTCACCTTCTGAGTTTCCCCAAGTTTTTTCTTTTTTAAAAAAGCATTATATTTGAGAGCTACTTTGCCCAAATTACAAAGTGAGTCAGTGTTTTTAATTTGAAGGGACAGTTAAAAAGAAAAAGAAAAAGAAAGAAATGATTTGTTCCCTGTTTTAGCTATGCATAAGTGTTTCTAGCAAAGGAAGGGTAGAAAAGAGTTGAAAATTATTTACAATACTTGCTACTTAGAAATACAGGGCCTTTTGAGGGTAGTATGTATGTTAATGGTTTTCATTATGTACTTATTCCTGTTAAAACAAGCAGTTGGCCAGTTGTGGTGGCTCAGACCTGTAATCCCAGCACTTTGGGAGGCCAAGGCAGGCAGATCACCTGAGGTCAGGAGTTTGAGACTAGCCTGGCCAACATGGCAAAACCCCATCTTTACTAAAAATACAAAAATTAGCTGGATGTGGTGGTGCACACCTGTAATCCCACCTACTCAGGAGGCTGAGGCAGGAGAATTGCTTGAACCCAGGAGGCAGAGGTTGCAATGAATTGAGATGGTGCCACTGTACTCCAGCCTGGGTTACAGAATGAGACTCTATCTCAAAAATAAAAACAAAAAAAACAAACAAAAAAACAAACAGGCAGTTTCTTCTTCGAGTATGCCCAAATAACAGTATTCCTAAAATCTGACAAGTACCCTGTTAATTATTTGACATTCCTTGTCCCCAGTACCACAGGCCACTCTTAACATCACTTGCTTGCCTAGATAAAGTTCTGCATTTCAAGCAGTGTACGTATTTCCCTGTGGTTGATTATAGTAAGGACAGAAACATATAAGTAACCATGCCCCAACTATACTGGAAGAAGTCAAACTTCATCTGCATCTACCAAATAATAATCATAATTATGAAAACTTAACAGGTTTTATATTAAAGTTAAAATTTGCTAAGAGTTACCATTATAATGTAATTAAAACCGCTAAACATGGATTTACATGCAAGGTGTATAAAAAGATTAAAATGTATTTTTATTAAAAATTATAAGAAGGCCTAAAAAATGTACATTTTGCTTAAGAATAAAAATAACCTTAAAGTTAAATAAAATAAAGCAGATGGTTTAAGCAAATTGTAAAAAAATTGTACAAATTAATCCTGTAAAGAATTACTCAAAAAGGTATTATATGGTTTTTTTCCTGTTAATTAAACGCCACAAAGTTTTCTTAAAATGCTAATCTAATCTACTCTTTTTTTTTTTTTTTTTTTTTCCTTTTGGGACAGAGTCTAGCTCTGTCACCCAGACTAGAGTGCAGTGGTGCAGTCTTGGCTAACTGCAAGCTCTGCCTCCCGGGTTCATGCCATTCTCCTGCCTCAGCCTCCTGAGGAGCTGGGAAGGTGGTACTACAGGCACCCACCACCACGCCTGGATTTTTTGTATTTTTAGTACAAATGGGGTTTCACCATGTTAGCCAGGATGGTCTCGAACTCCTGCCCTCCTGATCCGTCCGCCTCGGCCTTCCAAAGTGCTGGGATTACAGACGTGAGCCACCGTGCCCCGCCACTAATCTGTTTAGCAAAACTTGTCAAGGGGTATAATGGGTATGTAAAATCTCACTTCATATTCAAACTCATTAAAATTAAATAAAATTGTCTATACGGTATTATTAAAATTAGGGTTAACATTAATGACAAACTAATGCAAGGGTAAAATTTAACTTTCTCTCTTAAACAGAATTTTCATGTAATAGAAAAGGCTAATAAATGGTTTTTGCTTTTCCAGATTGTTAACTCATCATTTTGGCAAAACAAAACAAGACAAACAAATTTATGGTAATCTAATATTCTATTTCGTAACATCAAAGGTTTTAAATTTTAAACGTATGTAACAGGCTTCCCCAAATCAAACTTTAGTCTCAAGGTGGTTTTTCCTAACCCTTGGCTTTTGGGTGCTGCATAGGACCCCTGAACCATCCAAAAAAGAGATAAACAGAATTATTTGTCAATATAAAATTTCCAAAATAATGTATAATAGGTTATATTTTAGGGAATAATGTTAACATACGTTTCAAAACTGTATGGGATGTCTAAGGGTCTCCTGTCTGAATATGCACTATTAATCACTACTGAGGTTGTTATGTTGGATTACTGTAAACCACAGAAATAACCAAATGTATTTGTCAATTGTGTTTCTAACTGTATCCAAACTGGACATTTTGTTACTTACAGACAATGGTATTTTGTTTTAATTCTCTTCGAAACATGGTTTATATTGAAGCTGTGGAACCTTAACAAGTACTCTTAAATGCAGGTTACAACTACAAAACATACAGAACTCATGAAAAGCTAAAATGTTTATAAATATCAAGCAAAACAGAGTAATAAAATGAACTAAACTAATAGAAAACAAAAACAAATTTTTACCTTTTGCTTAGAACACTGCTAATCTTTATTTTATTTTTCAGAGTGAAGAAAACTTGTCTCAAGCTAGCAACAGCCTTTAACAGCTAAGTAAAGTATATTCCTGTAAATGGAATTTAAAGTGTTTGTTCCCCTCTGCCTAGTTCCTCTAGAATTCGAAAACTAGTGATAAGTGTTCATAAACTGCAACAATATAGTTGTTTACATCAATGCAATAAGAATCTATTTTCTTTTGTAACAGAATACAATGGTAAAAACTGCTTATTTTACCAAAGCTTTGACAGGAATGATATGCTCTCCCTTAAGGAACTGAACTTGTGGAGCTAATAAAGCTCTTGAAAAACTGGCCTAATTTTCTGTGTTCACAGTCCCTGTACAGGGTTTCCAATCTATAGTAAGTAAAGAATGTCATTTTCTAACTGGCCAGGAACCCCAGGTTATTGTAAATCATCAAGGAGAGGAATTCACCCAACTCATAGGTATGTAATGGTAAAAATTCATGGTTAGGTTTGGATTCAATATGTCTTATCTCAAATTCCTTCTATATAACAAAGTTCCATCAAAGCTGATTTATTTATTATTTTTTTAATTCTGCCCTCAGAATCTTAATTGTAAAAAAAAAAAATTCTACAGATATCTGCACATGAAATGGTAATTCACTGATGAATTTTTATTACTTTTTTATTAAAAGGTAATTCACTAAAGAATTTTTTTATCATTATTATACTTTAAGTTCTAGGGTACATGTGCAGAACATGCAGGTTTGTTACATATGTATACATGTGCCTTGTTGGTGTGCTGCACCCGTTAACTCATAATTTACATTAGGTATATCTCCTAATGCTATACCTAGCCCCTCCCCAACTTCACGACAGGCCCCAGTGTGTGATGTTCCAAACCCTATGTCTAACTGTTCTCATTGTTCGATTCCCACCTTTGAGTGAGAACATGCAGTGTTTGGTTTTCTGTCCTTGTGATAGTTTGCTCAGAATGATGGTTTCCAGCTTCATCCATGTCCCTACAAAGGACATGAACTAATCCTATTTTATGGCTGCATACTATTACATGGTATGTATGTGCCACAATTTCTTAATCCAGTCTATCACTGATGGACATTTGGGTTGGTTCCAAGTCTTTGCTATTGTGAATAGTGTCGCAATAAACATACGTGTGCATGTGTCTTTATAGCAGCATGATTTTTAATCCTTTGGGTATATACCCAGTAATGGGATGTCTGGGTCAAATGGTATTTCTAGTTCTAGATCCCTGAGGAATCACCACATTGACTTCCACAATGGTTGAACTAGTTTACATTCCCACCAACGGTGTAAAAGTGTTCCTATTTCTCCACATCCTTTCCAACACCTGTTGTTTCCTGACTTTTTAATGATCACCATTCTAACTGGTGTGAGATGGTACTTCCTTGTGGTTTTGATTTGTATTTCTCTGATGGCCAGTGATGGTGAGCATTTTTAATGTGTCTGTTGGCTGCATAAATGTCTTCTTTTGAGAAGTGTCTGTTCATGTCCTTTGCCCACTTTTTGATGGGGTTGTTTGTTTTTTTCTTGTAAATTTGTTTGAGTTTATTGTAGATTCTGGATATTAGCCCTTTGTCAGATGAGTAGGTTGCGAAAATTTTCTCCCATTTTGTAGGCTGCCTGTTCACTCCGATGGTAGTTTCTTTTGCTGTGCAGAAGCTCTTTAGTTTAATTAGATCCCATTTGTCAATTTTGGCTTTTGTTGCCATTGCGTTTGGTGTTTTAGTCATGAAGTCCTTGCCCATGCCTGTGTCCTGAATGGTATTGCCTATGTTTTCTTCTAGGGATTTTATGGTTTTAGGTCTAACATGTAAGTCTTTAATCCATCTTGAATCAATTTTTGTATAAGGTATAAGGGTGGAATCCAGTTTCAGCTTTCTACGTATGGCTAGCCAGTTTTCCCAGCACCATTTGTTAAATAGGGAATCATTTCCCCACTTCTTGTTGTCAGGTTAATCAAAGATCAGATGGGTGTAGATGTGTGCTATTATTTCTGAGGGCTATGTTCTGTTCCATTGTTCTATATCTCTGTTTTGGTACCAGTATCATGCTGTTTTGGTTACTGTAGCCTTGTAGTATAGTTTGAAGTCAGGTAGCGGCATGCCTCCAGCTTGGTTATTTTGGCTTAAAATTATCTTGGCAATGAGGGCTCCTTTTTGGTTCTGTATGAATTTAAAGTAGTTTTTTTCCAATTCTGTGAAGAAAGTCATTGGTAGCTTGATGGGGATGGCATTGAATCTATAAATTATTTTTGGCAGTATGGCCATTTTCACAATACTGATTCTTCCTGTCCATGAGCATGGAATGTTCTTCCATTTGTTTGTGTCCTCTTTTGTTTCATTGAGCAGTGGTTTGTAGTTCTTGAAGAGGTTCTTTACAGCCATTGTAAGTTGGATTCCTAGGTATTTTATTCTCCTTGAAGCGATTGTGAATGGGAGTTCACTCATGATTTGGCTGTCTGTTTGTCTGGTATTGGTGTATAGGAATGCTTGTGATTTTTCACATTGATTTTGTATCCTGAGAGTTTGCTGAAGGTGCTTATCAGCTTACGGAGATTTTGGGCTGAGATGATGGGGCTTTTTAAGTGTAATTATGTCATCTGCAAACAGGGACAATTTGCCTACCTTTTTTCCTAATTGAATACCCTTTATTTCTTTCTCTTGCCTGATTACCCTGGCCAGAACTTCCAACACTGTGTTGAATAGGAGTGGTGAGAGAGGGCATCCCTGTCTTCTGCCAGTTTTCAAAGGGAATGCTTCCAGTTTTTGCCCATTCATTATGATATTGGCTGTGGGTCTGTCATAAATAGCTCTTATTATTTTGATATATATCCCATCAATAACTAGTTTATTGAGAGTTTTTAGCATGAAGGGCTGTTGAATTTTGTCAAAGGCCTTTTCTGCATCTATTGAGATAATCATGTGGTTTTTGTCTTTGGTTCTGTTTATATGCTGATTATGTTTCTTGATTTGCTTATGCTGAACCAGCCTTGCATCCCAGGAATGAAGCCAACTTGATCATGGTGGATAAGCTTTTTGATGTGCTGCTGGATTTGGTTTCCCAGTATTATATTGAGGATTTTCGCATGGATGTTCATCAGGGATATTGGTCTAAAATTCTCTTTTTTTGTTGTGTCTCTGCCAGGCTTTGGTATCAGGATGATGTTGGCCTCATAAAATGAATTAGGGAGTATTCCCTCTTTTTCTATTGATTGGAATAGTTTCAGAAGGAATGATACCAGCTCCTCCTTGTACCTCTGGTAGAATTCGACTGAGTCCATCTGGTCCTGGACTTTTTGTGGTTGCTAGGCTATTAATTATTGTCTCCATTTCAGAGCCTGTTTTTGGTCTATTCAGGGATTCAACTTCTTCCTGGTTTAGTCTTGGGAGGGTGTATGTGTCTAGGAATTTATCCACTTCTTCTAGATTTTCTAGTTTATTTGCATATAGGTGTTTATAGTATTCTCTGATGGTAGTTTGTATTTCTGTGGGATTGGTGGTGATATCCCCTTTATTATTTTTTATTGCATCTATTTGATTCATCTCTCTTTTCTCCTTATTAATCTTCCTAGCAGTCTATCAATTTTATTGATCTTTTCAAAAAACCAGCTCCTGGATTCATTGATTTTTTAAGGGTTTTTTGTGTCTATCTCCTTCAGTTCTGCTCTGATCTTAGTTATTTCTTGCCTTCTGCTAGTTTTGAATGTGTTTGCTCTTGCTTCTTTAGTTATTTTAATTGTGATGTTAGGGTGTCAGTTTTTGGCCTTTCCTGCTTTCTGTTGTGGGCATTTAGTGCTACAGATTTCCCTCTACACCCTGCTTTAAATGTGTCCCAGAGATTCTGGTATGTTGTGTCTTTGTTCTCACTGGTTTCAAAGAACATCTTTATTTCTCATTCATTTCCTTATATACCTAGTAGTCATTCAGGAGCAGGTTGTTTGGTTTCTATGTAGTTGAGTGGTTTTGAGTGAGTTTCTTAATCCTGAGTTCTAGTTTGATTGCAATGTGGTCTGAGAGACAGTCTTTTTATTATTTATGTTCTTTTACATTTGCTGAGGAGTGCTTTACTTCCAACTATTTGGTCAATTTTGTAATAAGTGTGATGTGGTGCTGAGAAGAATGTGTATTCTGTTGATTTGGGATAGAGACTTCTGTAGATGTCTATTAGGTCCACTTGATGCAGAGCTGAGTTCAATTCCTGGGTATCCTTGTTGACTTTCTGTCTCGTTGATCTGTCTAATGTTGACAGTGGGATGTTAAAGTCTCCATTGTTGTGTGGGAGTCTTAAGTTTCTTTGTAGGTCTCCTAGGACTTGCTTTATTAATCTGGGTGCTCTTGTATTGGGTGCATATATATTTAGTTTAATTAGTTCTTGTTGAATTGAGCCCTTAACCATTATGTATTGGCCTTCTTTGTCTCTTTTGATCTTTCTTGATTTAAAGTCTGTTTTATCAGTGACTAGGATTGCAATCCCTGGTTTTTATTTTTGTTTTGTTTTCCATTTTCTTGGTAGATCTTCCTCCATGCATTTATTTTGAGCCTATATGTGTCTCTGTACGTGAGATGGGTCTCCTGAATATAGCACACTGATGGGTCTTGACTCTATCCAATTTGCCGGTTGGTGTCTTTTATTCAAAGCATTTAGCCCATTTACATTTAAGGTTAATATTGTTATGTGTGAATTTGATCCTATCATTATGACGTTACCTGGTTATTTTGCTCATTAGTTGATGCAGTTTCTTCCTAGCATTGATGCTGTTTACAATTTGGCATGTTTTTGCAGTGGCTGGTACCTGCTGTTCCTTTACATGTTTAATGCTTCCTTCAGGAGCTCTTTTAGGGCAGGCGTGGTGGTGACAAAATCTCTCAGCATTTATCTGTAAAGGATTTTATTTTTCCTTCACTTATGAAGCTTAGTTTGGCTGGATATTAAATTCTGTGTTGAAAATTCTTTAAGAATGTTGAATATTGGCCCCCACTCTCTTCTGGCTTATAGGGTTTCTGCAGAGAGATCTGCTGTTAGTCTGATGGGCCTCCCTTTGTGGGTAACCTGACCTTTCTGGCTGTCTTTAACATTTTTTCCTTTATTTCAGCTTTGGTGAATCTGACAATTATGTCTTGGAGTTGCTCTTCTCGAGGAGTATCTTTGTGGTGTTCTGTGTATTTCCTGAATTTAAATGTTGGCCTGCCTCACTAGGTTGGGGAAGTTCTCCTGGATAATATCCTGAAGAGTGTTCTCCAACTTGGTTCCATTCTCCCCGTCACTTTCGGGTACACTAATCGGACATAAATTTGGTCTTTTCACATAATCCCATATTTCTTGGAGGTTTGTTCATTTCTTTTTGCTCTTTTTTCTCTAAACTTCTCTTCTTGCTTCATTTCATTCATTTGATCTGCAATCACTGATACCCTTTCTTCCAGTTGATCAAATCGGCTATTGAATCTTGTGCATGCATCACGTAGTTTTCATGCCATGGTTTTCAGCTCCATCAGGTCATTTAAGGACTTCTCTACACTGTTTATTCTAGTTAGCCATTTGTCTAATCTTTTGTCAAGGTTTTTTTCTTATTTGCGATGGGTTCGACATCCTCTTTTAGCTTGGAGAAGTTTGTTATTACTGATTGTCTGATGCCTTCTTCTCTCACCTCGTCAAAGTCATTCTCCCTCCAGCTTTGTTTCATTGATGGTAAGGAGCTGCATTCCTTTGGAGGAGAAGACGTGTTCTGATTTTTAGTATTTTCGGCTTTTCTTCTCTGGTTTTTCCCTATCTTTGTGGTTTTATCTACTTTTCGTCTTTGATGATGGTGACCTATAGATGGGGTTTTGGTGTGGACGCGCTTTCTGTTTGTTAGTTTTCCTTCTAACCATCAGGACCCTCAGCTGCAGATCTGTTGGAGTTTGCTGGAGGTCCACTGCAGACCCTGTTTGCCTGGGTATCACCAGCGGAGACTGCAGAACACTAAATATTGCAGAACAGCAGATGTTGCTGCCTGATCCTTCCTCTGGAAGCTTCATCTCAGAGGGGCACCCAGTTGTGTCAGTCAGCCCCTACTGGAAGGTGTCTCCTAATTAGGCTACTCAGCAGTCAGGGATCCACTTGAGGAGGCAGACTGTCTGTTCTCAGATCTCCAACTCCATGGTGGGAGAACCACTACTCTTCAAAACTGTGAGACAGGGACGTTTAAGTCTGCAGAAGTTTCTGCTGCCTTTTGTTCAGCTGTGCCCTGCCTGCAGAGCTGGAGTCTACAGAGGCAAGCAGGCCTCCTTGAGCTGTGGTGGGCTCCACCCAGTTCAAGCTTCCCAGGTCCTTTGTTTACCTACTCAAGCCTCAGCAATGGTGGATGCCCCTCCCCCCACATCCCTGCTGTCTTGCAGTTCAATCTCAGACTATTGTGCTAGGCTCCGTGGGCATGGGGGCCTCCAAGCCAGGCATGGGATATAATCTCCTGGTGTGCCATTTGCTAAGGCTGTTGGAAAAGCATGGTATTAGGGTGGGAATGTCCCGATATTCCAGGTACCATCTGTCATGGCTTCCCTTTGCTACAAAAGGGTATTCCACGACCCCTTGCACTTCCCAGGTGAGGCAATGCCCTGCCCTGCTCCATGGGCTGCACCAACTATCTGACAAGCCCCAGTGAGATGAACTTGGTACCTCAGTTGGAAATGCAGAAATCACCCGTCTTCTATATCACTCAAGCTGGGAGCTGCAGACTGGAGCTGTTCCTATTCAGCCATCTTCGAACCTTATCATCAAAGCTGATTTAAAAGGCCTATGTAGCAAATAATTATTCTTGCTGCACTGTATATGAATAATTAAGACAAATATAATAAAGCAAACAGTCCTACCATGATTTGTCTTTTAATAAAAATGAGAAACTGAAGAGAGAAAATTATATTTCAAAAACTGTAGCCCACCTGTTGTTAAATTCTTGCCTTACCTAATGTTTTTCAATTTTTATTATTTTCTACAGTTGAAATTATATTCATTTCAGAAATCAACCCTGGATACATCACACTCAAGTCAAAGCCTATAGAGCTAAGAAAGCAACCCCTAACAGTCCAGAAAAATTTCCTATCAATGCAAAAAAAAAAAAAAAAAGAGGAACTCTTAAGCCAAAAATTATAAAGAAGAATCATGGCCATTTTGCGGACAACTACCCAAAAACATCTACAGACAGTGTTGCTCCTGCAGTCAATCCAACAACAAAAATCTCCCCACCCTGCCATCATCAGGAAGCAGCCGGAAAGAACATGTCACACCTCATCCTTTTATAAACTATAGGGTCTAGTCTGGAATGACATAGCTGGAGCACCATCGTCTTAAACAAACACCACCACTTTATGTTCCAGCTACCTTTCTGCCCTCATGCATTTTAAGGAAATCACTTCTCTCCTAACTGCAAGCATCCAGAAAGAGCAGATAGTAAAACACAGATAAGACAGCTCAGGCACAGAGGGAGATGGAGGAAAGTCTCATGGGTAACTGCCAAACTTCACCCGCAAACAATGGGCCCTAGTAAAACAGCCTTAATATGCTCATTCCTTTCCCTTTAGGTGGACTAAGATAGGGAATCTAAAAGCCTACTGTGCAGTATGCCTACAGCTGCAGAGAAATGTATGGGAACAGACACAACTCTCCCTCCCAGAGAAGCACAACAAAAAGACACAGAAGAAGTCCAAGCCTCTGATAAACTCTTCCACCCTGAATCCTTAAAAACTCTTAGTCTGTAAGAGAGTTTGTCTCTGACCTAACTCAGCCAGAAGCTTCTTTCAAGGTGGTTTTCTCTAAAATAAACCTCTGTTGACTGGTGAGCCACCTTTCCTGTTTTTTCCCTCTTTCTTTAATTCTTACAGTAGCAACTTTAGGATATTTTTGATATAAATATTTATATTGTCCGATTTTTTTTTCAAGAAAGAGTCTTCTGCATTTTCTTTGTCCTTCTGTGTTCTGCCATAACAGAGTACCATAAGGTAAAACATGAGCTCCAAACCTTAAAATATAGGTTGTTAAGGTTCTGAAAATATTAGCATCTGTTTAGATAAACTTAGATGTTTGTCTCCAAAACAGAAAAAACTAAGATTACCCTCTTGTGCTGTTTTATGTTCTTGAGAGCTTGAGTTATGACCAAGTGGGACTGCTCTTTTGTTCATTATCTGAGGGATGTAATTTTTTGGTCACATACAGTGTGAGGCTAAAAATTGCTGAGAACATGAGACATATAATATTTTAAGCAGGGCACTCTTTCTTTAACTTATCAGATGAGTTTGTATTAATAAAAAGTTTTATCCAAAAAGAAACTTTGGTCATCTGAACCCTTGTTGCTTGGCTAGTCCTAAAATGATACAATTTTAGCAGAGCCTACCTAGTGTTAAAGATTAATGGGTCTGTGAAAGGCAGTGCCACAAATCTGTGAGATACTGGAGGCACTGTAAACATAAATATAGTCTAGGGTTAATCATCAGTGGCAACAGACTCCTTTGCTGTGTTAATTCATTCTGGAAATAAATTTTGGGGAAGTATGGAAACAACCTCTTCAATACCCTCTAACAGAACACCTATTATTTTTATAACAAAACTTATTCATGGAAAAGAATCTCCTGAGCTTTTGTTAAGAATTTTGTATATTAAGTCACTACTAGAATAAGTAAACCATTGAAAATGTTCATCATAAGTGGCCAAAAGATTGATTCTTTATAATAAAAATGCACCTACTTTTAAAATATAGTATTTTAGATAGCTCTAATTCTAAAAAAAAATGCTTTATGTGTATTTATGGAAGAAGCAAAATTTCAAAAAGACACATAATAGTGTCATGAGCAAGTTTTAGAAATTGTATTGACAACATTAAATAGTAGAATCTACAGCAATGATAAATTATTTTCATGCTCAAACTGTCTGCCTTGGATTCTCTTTCATATTAACAAATTATATACCAGGATATTACATACCCTGTAGGCTAATAAGTAGGATTCAGTTCCTTTCTCAGCTGTGGCTAAGATATAATTCACACTCAGGGAACCAATACCTTGGAAAGTTAAGTCTTTTACATTTATAAATGTTGGTTTGATATTTATTTGACTCAACTTTTTGAAGCACCCATTTTTTATTCATTTTTTCCTTTCAATTTCTTATCTTACTGATGATTTGTTTGTTAATTTTGTTTGTGGGATACATGAGACAATTAGTATTTTTGTGTTGATGGTAATCTTAGAAACTGAGGCCCTAAACAATGTGGTAGAATAAAAGGTAAGTTGTACCCACTATTATGCAGAAAAAAACCTTTTCTTTCTTTGGCTGTCATTGGGGTGGTTTTGAAGCTTGTGAAAACTACTTTTCACCTCTATTTAGATATTTAATCTGTTTTTGGTTAAGTCACAACATTGATTATGGTTTATTGATTTTGATGAATAACTTGAAAAGGAGCCTTTGCTTTTAAAGAATATCAACAAATTTCAAAAACCAGGAATACTTGTTGCTTGTCCTTGCTAAAATATGAAAATAAGAAATTTGATATAATTATTTTAAAGAGCAGTAGCATCACAATTTGTTTTAATTAAAAGCTAATATTTAGGCTATGTTTTTAAAAAGCATTTGTACCTTTTGTCTTATAAATCTTGGTCTCTCGGAAGTTGATTTAGTTAACTGAAATTCTTTTTCAATTATATATATAGCCTTCTGGTGTGCTTTCTTCCTTGTTGTCTTAATTTTTCCTGAAAAATGGTAAAATATAAATGACATTCTAGAAAGCTTAGAATCTCACCAAATTTTCTTTTATAAGAATTTTTCTTCCATCTATTTCTACACATCCCTCTTTTTTGCTATCTTTGTTACCACATGAATAGTTCTACCGCAGACTTTAATGACCCTGAGATTTCTGGAGGAGCACAGCAAAAAAGTATCAAATACAACCTTTGAAGTTGCTCCCCTCACCTCCCCTCCACTCACCTCCCCTCCTCTCACCTCCTCTCCCCTCCCCTCTGATCTCTTTGACATTTGGGGTACCAGAAATTACTTTTTACTACAAGAAAAAACTTAACCTTTTGTGTGAAGTAACTGGCAAATCACTGGTGAGAGTTGCAGTTTCGGAGGTGACTAACATCTATTGCAGTAAATGGTTACTACTGCAGGAGGCTACTCATTTATTTAAGTTTTTAAATTAGAAAAGCAACGTTTAAGCTTTTGGACGCTATAGGAACACTTGCCACTTGGGAATACACTTTTCCATGGAGTTGGGTGGAACACAGAGTGGGCCACTGGAATTGAGTGGCCCACCAGTCTCAGAGTAATCATTGTGGTTTTCACCATTGCTCCTAATTAGTTCTAATGGCAAAGCTGCAATGACTTTTGCACCAACCTAATAGATGCACTATGGAAGAGTTGTTAGGTTTCATGGTATTTTCCCCTTTTTGAGGATCTAGGATTTAATGTAAATTTGGATCCTTTATTTTGGGCTATATAGAGGTTCTGCCTTTTAGTTCCTGTTTTTACATATGTGAGTACTTAGTTTTGAACATTGCAGCTGCTTTCTTGACCCCATTGGTTAATAGAATTTGCTGTAAGAAAGTGTCCCAGTTGGAAAATGATAACAATTATTTTACCTATTTAAATAAAATTGGCCTTCTAATACAATTTTCTGGTAAATTTCTATAATTTTATATCACCTTGAAATAAGTTTTTAATTTTTTTTTCATTTAGGCCATTCTTAAATTGTTTTTAAACTTCTATTGGTACACAGTAGGCATATATATTTATGGATGGGTTACATGATATGTTTTGATACATTGTATGCAATGTGAAATAAGTACATCATGATGGGGTATCCCTGCCCTCAAGCATTTATCCTTCGAGTTACAAAAATCTATATACCCTTTAAGGTATTTTAAGATATTCAATTATTATCGACTATGGTCACTCTATTGTACTGTCAAATAGTAGATCTTATTCATTCTTTCTATTTAGTTTTGTTTACCCATTAACAAACCTCACCTTTCCCACTGCCACCTAGTACCCATCCCAGCATCTGGTAATCACCATTCTGCTTTCTATCTCCATGAGTGTAATTGTTTTGATAGTTAAATCTTACAAAAAAGTAAGAAAATGCAATGTTTGTCTCTCTGTGCCTGATATATTTTACTTGACATAATAACCTCCAGTTCTATCCATGTTGTTGCAACTGACTGACCCTCATTATTTCTTATGACTGAATACTACTATATTGCCTATAAACACAACATTTTCTTTATCCATTTATCTGTTGATGGACACTTTTATTGCTTCCAAATCTTAGCTATTGTAAACACTACTGGAAAAAACATAGGAGTGCAGGTATCTCTCAATGTATTAATTTCCTTTGTGTGTGTGTGTGGAGGAGGAGGGGCAGGCATATATCCAGCAGTGGGATTACTGGATCATGTGGTAGCTCAACTTTTAGTTTTGTGAAGAACCTTCAAAATGAGTTGACTGAAAATGTTTCGATTTGTGCCTAGATTTTCTATTATGTTCCCTTGGTCTCTGTGTCTGTTTTTATGGCAGCATCATGGTGTTTTGGCTACTGTAGTTCTATATTTAATTTGAAATCAGGTAATGAAATTCCTTCAGTTTTGTTCTCTGTGTAGAATATCTTTGGCTGTTCTGGATCTTTTGTATTCTCCATACTGGTTGCACTAATTTACATTCCCACAAACAGTGTATGAGGATTCCCTTTTCTCCATATCCTCACCAGCATTTGTTATTTAGAAAAAAAAGAAAAAAGCCATTTTAACTGATGTAATGATATCTAATTGCAGTTTTGATTTGCATTTATCTGATGATTGATGATGTTGAGTACATTTTCATATGCTTGTCATTTGTATGTCTTATTTTCAGAAATGTCTATTCAATTTTTTTGTCTATTATTAATTGGATTATTAGATGGTTTTCTATAGGAGTTGTTTGAGCTCCTTATATATTATGGTTATTAAAACCCTATCAGATGGGTATATACCAAATATTTGCTCACATTCTGTTGTCTCTTTTTTGTTGATTATATTCACTGCTGTGTGGAAGCTATTTAACTTGATGTGATCCCATCTGTTCATCTTTGCTTTGGTTGCTGGCCCTTGTGAGGTATTGCCCAAGAAATTTTTGTCCAGACTAATGTCTTTTGAGATTTTCCCCCAAAGTTGTCTTACTGTAGCTTAATAGTTTCAGGTCGTATATCTGTTTATAATTTAGTTTGATTTGATTTTTGAGATGGGGTAAGAGATAGTTGTCTTTTTTCCAGTTTTCCCAGCACCATTTGTTGATAAGACTGTCTTTTGCCCAGTGTAGGTTCTTGTTACCTTTGTCAAAAATGAGTTGATTGAAAATGCTTGGATTTGTGTCTAGATTTTCTTTTGTATTCCCCTGGTCTCTGTGTCTGTTTATATGGCAGTATCATGCTATTTAGGCTACTATAGTTCTGTATTTAATTTGAGACCAGGTAATGTAATTCCTCCAGTTTTTTTCTCTTTTTGTAGAATATCTTTTGTATAAGGTGTAAGGAAGGGATCCAGTTTCAGCTTTCTACATATGGCTAGCCAGTTTTCCCAGCACCATTTATTAAATAGGGAATCCTTTCCCCATTGCTTGTTTTTTTCAGGTTTGTCAAAGATCAGACAGTTGTAGATATGTGGCGTTATTTCTGAGGGCACTGTTCTGTTCCATTGATCTATATCTCTGTTTTGGTACCAGTACCATGCTGTTTTGGTTACTGTAGCCTTGTAGTATAGTTTAAAGTCAGGTAGCGTGATTCCTCCAGCTGTGCTCTTTTGGCTCAGGATTGATTGGTGATGTGGGCTCTTTTTTGTTTCCATATGAATGTTAAAGTACTTTTTTCCAATTCTGTGAAGAAAGTCATTGATAGCTTGATGTAGATGGCATTGAATCTATAAATTACCTTGGGCAGTACGGCCATTTTCACGATATTGATTCTTCCTACCCATGAGCATGGAATGTTCTTCCATTTGTTTGTTTCCTCTTTTATTTCATTGAGTAGTGGTTTGTAGTTCTCCTTGAAGAGGTCCTTCACGTCCCTTGTAAGTTGGATTCCTAGGTATTTTATTCTCTTTGAAGCAATTGTGAATGGGAGTTCACTCATGATTTGGCTGTCTGTCTGTTATTGGTGTATAAGACTGCTTGTGATTTTTGTACATTGATTTTGTATCCTGAGACATTGCTGAAGTTGCTTATCAGCTTAAGGAGATTTTGGGCAGAGACAATGGGGTTTTCTAGATATACAATCATGTCATCTGCAAACAGGGACAATTTCACTTCCTCTTTTCCTAATTGAACACCTTTTATTTCCTTCTCCTGCCTGATTGCCCTAGCCAGAACTTCCAATACTATGTTGAATAGGAGTGGTGAGAGAGGGCATCCCTGTCTTATGCCAGTTTTCAAAGGGAATGCTTCCAGTTTTTGCCCATTCAGTATGATATTGGCTGTGGGTTTGTCATAGATAGCTCTTGTTATTTTCAGATACATCCCATCAATACCTAATTTATTGAGAGTTTTTAGCATGAAGGGTTGTAGAATTTTGTCAAAGGCCTTTTCTGCATCTATTGAGATAGTCATGTGTTTTTTGTCTTTGGTTCTGTTTATATGCTGGATTACATTTATTGATTTGCATATATTGAACCAGCCTTGCATCTCAGGGATGAAGCCCACTTGATCATGGTGTATAAGCTTTTTGATGTGCTGCTAGATTCTGTTTGCCAGTATTTTATTGAGGATTTTTGCATCAATGTTCATCAAGGATATTGGTCTAAAATTCTCTTTTTTGGTTGTGTCTCTGCCCGGCTTTGGTATCAGGTTGATGCTGACCTCATAAAATGAGTTAGGATTCCCTCTTTTTCTATTGATTGGAATAGTTTCAGAAGGAATGGTAGCAGGTCCTCCTTGTACCTCTGGTAGAATTCGGCTATGATTCCATCTGGTCCTCAAGATGGATTAAAGACTTAAACATTAGAGCCAATACCATAAAAACCCTAGAAGAAAACCTAGGCATTACCATTCAGGACAT